>NC_000008.11:141151623-141453701 GCF_000001405.40 Homo sapiens | reverse complement strand
TTGAGACAGGGTCTCACTTCATCACCCAGGCTAGAGAGCAATGGCGCAATCTCGGCTCACTGCAACCTCTGCCTCCTGGGTTGAAGCTATTCTCCTGCCTCAGCCTCCCAAGTAGCTGGAATTATAGGCATGTGCCACCACACCTAATTTTTGTATTTTTAGTAGAGATGGGGTTTCACCATGTTGGCCAGGCTGGTCTCGAACTCCTGACCTCAAGTGATCTACCCACCTCTGCCTCCCAAAGTGCTGGAATTACAGATGTGAGCCACCATGCCCAGCCTACATGTTTATATTTTCTCCAACCTTTATAGTTGTTTTCAATGGAGGAGCTGATTCAAGTAGCTTAGTGCACCCCTACTGGAGGATGAAGAAGTCTTCTCATTCCTTTTTTTAAAAAACAGATTTATTGAGATATAACTCACATACTTTACAATTTGGCCATTTAAAGTGTACAATTCAATGGGTTTGGCATATTACATTATTTTTAATGGTAGTAAAATATGTATAATATAAACTTTGTCATTTTATTCACTTTTAAGTGTATGATTCAGTGGCATTAATTATATTTGCAATTGTTGCACAGCTATCACCACTGTCTAATTCTAAAACTTTTTTATCACTCCAAACAGAAGCTGTGTAACTATTAAATAATAATTCCCCATCTTCCCCTCCCCATAGCCCTTGATAACCTCTAATCTACTTTCTGTCTTATGAATTTGGCTGTTCTCGACATTTCATGTAAGTGGAATGATATAATATTTGTCCTTTCGGGTCTGGATTCTTTCCCTCCGCCTAATGTTTTCAAGGTTCATCCATGCCGTAGCATGTATCGGAACTTCATTTCTTTTCATTGCTGAATAATAGTCCACTGCACGGGTAGGCCGCATTTTATTTATCCATTCATCTGTTGACGGACACTCGGGTTGCCTCCACCTTTGGGCCGTCATGAATAACGATGCCGTCAGCACTGGCATACCAGCATGTTCGAGACCCTTCTCTCAGTTATTTTGGGTGTGTACCTAGGAGTGAAGTTTCTGGGCCATGTGGCCGTACTATGTTTAGCTTTTTGAGGAACTGCCGTACCATTTTCCATAGCAACTACACCATTCTCTATTTTCACCAGCAAAGTACCAGGGTTTCTGTTTCTCCACATACTCACCAGCACTTGGTGTCTCTCATCTTGGGGCTGTAGCCATCCTAGGAGGTGTGAAGTGACATATTTTGATTTGTGTTCCCCTGAGCATCTCTTCATGTGCTTATTGGCCATTTGTCTATCTTTTTTGGAGAAATGCCTCTTCAAGCCCTTTCTCCACTTTGGAGTTGGGTTGTTTGTCTTTGGGTTGTGACTTGTAGCTCCCATTCCTTCTTAGACCCACATGAACCAGACTTTGTCCACTGCTGCTCCAATAAAATGGTTCTCGTCAAGGTCACCAGTAACCTCACGTCACTAGGTCCAATAGTCCATTCTCTGTCCCCACCTTATGTGACCTGTCAGCAGAATTTGACTCAGCCAGTGACTCTCTCCTCCTGGGAACGCTGCCCTCCCCGGTTCTCCTCCTACCTCCCCGGCCACTCCCGCTCAGCCTCCTCCAGTGGCTCCTCCTCATCTCCCAGATTTCATAGCCCTGAGGCCACAGGGCTGACCCCTGATCCTCCTCCTCAGCTACACTCAGTTTCACAGTGACCACCTCCATTCCCGTGGCTTCAAATATCCCCTAAATACTGACACCTCTGGCCCAGGCCTCTCCCCTAACCCCCTGACGGCAGCCCTTGGATGTCACACAGGCGTCTCCCACTGACCCAGCCAGGCCACACCCCTGGCCTCCCCCAACCTGCCCCTCCTGCAGGCTTCCCCATGTCACCGCTGGTGACTCTGTGCTCCCAGCATCTCAGGCTGGAATTCTTGATGCCATCCGACTCCTCTACACCCACATCCCATCCCCTAGGAAACCCTGCCAGCTCCACCTCTGCCTGTGTCCCGCCCCCGCTGCCACCACCCTAGTCCAGGACACCACCGGCTCTCACCTGCAGTGACTTGCCCACTTCCAGTCGCCCACCCCCCAGTCCTTGAAGAACACACGTAGGCCCATGCCACGTCTCTGCGTAAGATCCTCCAGTGGTCCCATCTCATTCAAAGCCTCCACAGCAGCCATCAAGGTCGTGCTGTGGCCCCGATGATATCACCGTCTTCCTATCCTCCTCTCCCCTCCCCACTCCACCCCAATGACACTGGCCTTTCTTTCTGTCCCCTGAACACACCAGGATTGAGCTGTCTCAGGGCTGTCTCTCTGGAAGCTTCTCTCCCCCGCATCGCTGCCTGGCTCCCTCCCGATATCCTCAGGGCTTTGCTCAAGTGCCCCCTTCTCAGGGGATGCGTCCCCGACTGCCCTGTCTGAAACCGAAGGCACCCAGACTCTCCCCCGCCCCCCACGCTGCTTTTTTCTCTCAAGCAGCACTGAGCATCCGGCACACTGCGCTTCCTGCTGTGTCCCCGTGAGGCTGTCATGCACAGGAGGCCGGGGACTCCTGCCGATTCCGCCACTACTTGGTCCCCGGGACACTGTCTGCATGCAGTGGCGCTCGGCTCACACCTGCTGACTGGGGGGCAGGCCCGCAGGCAGCAGAATAGAAACACCCACCCTCTGGGCATGCACGCTCGCTCGGGGAGAATCCTCCCGCTTAAGCCTCTTGAGGCAGGCATTGCCCACTACTCTGCGGCCAGGAATCCAAGGCTCAGAGGGGTTAAGTGACTCCCCCAAGGTCACACAGCCAGCTTGGGGCAGAGAAGGGGTCTGAGCCTAGACCCTTCTGACTCCAAAGGCCCGGCTCTTTCCGGCTAGGTGGAAACTCACAGAGTCCTCCGAGCTGTCGTGCCCACCTAGCCAAGGGTCAGATGGTCCTGGAGTGGCTTCCCCAGGGTTTTAAGGAGAGCCACCCTTGAGTCTGTCTTAAAGCAGGGGTGGGAGCGCATGGAGCCACCCTTCTGTGGTCCTCGCAGCCCCAGCCTCCTCATGCCAGGGGCCCTCCTGCCCCTCGAACCCCTTCCACCCAACACTCAGACCCTAAGACCATTTAGGGCAGTAAACAGGGCCATCATGGTCACCAGCACCTCAGGGCAACCCAGCTGTCCCTTCCTTCCCTCCAGGCCTCACCGAGCCATGCCCCATGGAACCATGGAAAGGCCACAGGACTGGACAGCCCTGGCCTCCAGGATCCCCAGTTCCAAGACAGGGCCTTGATCAGGACAGGTCTCCTCTCTCCGGTCCTTAGTGGCCCCATCTGCAAAATGGGCACTCTACAAACTGTAAAGCACTGTGCTCATGCTAGTGAGGACCCAGCTGAGGAGCTGGGCCCCAGCAAACCCGGACTAGGAGGGAGTAGTCAGGGAAGGCTTCCAGAGGGAAGTGACTTTGTGGTGAGCCCTAAGGGCTGAGGGGGAATTAGTCAGGGACAAGGAGTGCTCTAAACACCAGGCCTGCACATGTGGGGGCCCAGAGGAAGGGAAGGACAGGCAGGGGCTGGAGGTCAGAGAGCAGAGAGCTTGGAGGCCGTGACTTTGAGTGCCGGCTGGGGCTGTGGTCTACAGGACCTGGGAGCCAGGGAAGATGACAAGCAGTTGGGAGACAGGGCACATTAGGAAACCTCCAGTATGAGTGAGGAGCTGGCGGAGAGACCTTGAAAGCGGGGAGATCCAGGAGGGGGCTGGTGTGGATGTGAGACCACAGGCAGGGACCAGGGGCCTCCTGTCCAGCCCCCGCCTTGGGCCCCTCCCACACCAACCTGCAATGCTCGTATCTGCCCTGAGCCCCATCCCACTAGGGTCCAGCTCAGGGCCCAGCCTAAGTTTGCTGTTCCAGGCACCCAGGCCCTGGTGATGGTGGCCTGCTCATGTGGCTGAGCCCAGCCAGGCCTCGGTGGCAGCACTGCCCTCACATGCCCTCTCTGCCCACAGCCACACCTTCCAGCTGTGGAGGGCCCTGGGGGCTGGGCAGCCCACGAGCCACCTGGTGCTGACCACACTGCTGGCCTGTCTGCAGGAGCGACCCCTGCCCACCGGTGCCAGCGACAGCAGCCCCTGCCCCAAGGAGAAGACCTACCTGCGTTTGCTGGCTGTGAGTCTCTGCCACCGCCCCATCAAATACTGGCAGCACCTCGGGCACTCACTCTGTGCCGGGCTGTAGGGGGGCACCCCATATCCAGGCTGCAGACACCCAGTCCAGCCCCAGCCTGGAGGAAAGCCGCCCAGGGCTGACCACACAGGCCCAGCTCCCACCTCCTAGCCGAGGGCTGTGAGCTCCTGTCTGTGAATCAGGACAGTCGTGTCAGTCCCCTGGGCTGGCAAGGGAACTCACTCACTCACTGTGGGGCGGCCTCAGAGAGGGGCTTCAGGTATAGGGAAGGGTGTGGAGAGAGTTGAGAACCCTCCCCATGCTTGGGTTCTGGGGAGTCATAGATTCTAGAGGAATCTTAGAGGCTGCCCTCTGCAGCCGCCACCCCCCTGTAGGAAGCCCCTGGTTTTCCTCATAAGCCCAGCACTGCTTCCACACTCCCAGGAGCCAGGAGCTCCCCTCCTGGCATGGCCACACCTGTCCCCCTTACCTGGACCCTGATGAGGCCACAGCTGTGTTCCTGTTTAGAGCTTTCCAGGCTGAGTCCCTGCCCCAAAGGCACCCCAGCAGTGGCCCAGAGCTCACAGCAGCTCCCCTACCACCCAGAGCCCCCCAGACAAGCTGCTGCCTGCAGCAGGGGTGTGATGAGGGCTTAACAATGGCAGCCGGTGGGAGAGCACCCCCTCGGCCTGGGGATTTATCAGCTGGCCATCCCCAACAGCCCCGCCCCGGTCGGCCCTGGGCTGATGCTGCCCCCCTACCAGAGGACCACACAGCAGCATGGGTGAGACCCACCCAGGGGTAGCAGGGGAGCCTTCCCTGCACCCCACCACACCGCCAGTTCCTGCCCTCCCCCCAGTTGTCACTGCTCAGTGCTGGCCCCACCCTGAGAACATTCTGGACTGAAGGCTCCGGCAGGCACATTCGGCCTTTGGGGTTGGGGGCTGCTATCAGCTGACTCTGCCTTCCAGGGCCATGGGTTCCCCAACTCCCAGGCATCAGGCCCTGCTGTGTGCCAGCCACAGAGCTGAGGGTACCGTGAGACCACACAGCACAGGACCTTGCCTTCAAGGCAGTAGAGCAGAGGGCCCAGACGCCAGCAGCTCACCCCTTAGACAGGAGCAAAGTGCAGAGGGCAGATGGTGGCATCCAGTGTGCGGTCTGAGGGAGGCCCTGGGTCAAGGTGGAGGTCTGCAGGAGTGTAGAGCGGACAGCATCCAGGTGGACAGCTAGGGGAGGCTGGGGACCACTAGGCCATCCAGCAGCAGCGAGACCCAAGCGGTGGGTCCAGAGGGTGCAAGAGACGGCCAGGCTGAGTCTGCAGAGGCACGGGGTCAGGCCCCACAGGGAGGGACAGCATGTGGACACTTGGACTTGGTCCTGGAGAGCTTGCAGCAGGGAGGGACGAGCATGCTTGGACGTGGCTTTTGTGGGACAGTAGGTCAGAACCCCTGGTCCCGGGACCCAGGGCCTGGGAGCCTCACTCCACGCCTGCCCCCGACAGGCCATGAACATGCTGCACGAGCTGCAGTTTGCCCGGGAGTTCAAGCAGGCCGTGCAGGAGGGCTACCCCAAGCTCTTCCTGGCCCTCCTCACCCAGATGCACTATGTCTTGGAGCTGAACCTGCCCAGCGAGCCCTAGCCCAAGCAGCAGGCCCAGGAGGCGGCCGTGCCCAGCCCCCAAAGGTAAGACTAGAGCCTCCCAGGCCTCCTGGCCTGGCCAGACACACATAGGGTTCCGCAGGCATCCGAGGGCAAAGACTGTGTTAGCCTCATAGAGCACAGTAACAAAGACGCATACCCCACGGACTCAAAGCAACATCTCCCAGTGCTGGAGGCCAGAAGTCTAAAACCAAGGTGTCACCAGGGCGTGCTCCCCTGAAACCTGCGGGGGCCTTCCTCACTGCTTCCGGTTCCCAGTGTCTCATGGCCACGCTGGGTGTTCCTGGGCCTGAGGCTGCACCACGCTCATCTCTGCCCCTGTGGTCACCTGACATTCTCCCTTGTGTGCCAGTGTTTAAATTTCCTCCTTTTTTTTTCCAGCTCTGTCAGAATTAAGCTTTCGTTCATGTCTGTTGAGTGGTTCAGCAGTTGAACAGTTAAATTCAGCATCTGAATAAATTTCCCCTTCTTATAAGGATACCAATCACTGGGTTAGGGCCCCACCCTAACGACCTCAACTTGATAACATCTGCAAAGACCTTCTTTCCAAATAAGGTCACAGTCACAGGTACCGTTGGTTGACTTCAATATATCTCTTTTCGGGGGGACACAGTTCAACCCACAACAGTCATGAACCTGAGCCCCATCCATGGCCAGGGCCACAGGGGCTGTGGGCAGCACCTGCAGACAGGTGTTCGTCCCACTTACCCGTCACCTGACGGTGCTTGGCAGTAGAGATACTTAGTGTCACTGCCATACAGCGACCTCAAGGGGACAGCAGTTACCAAAAGCACCCATGCAGTGAGCCACATCTTACCCCAGTGGGTTTCCTGCGAGGACTCGAGATGAATGTCGTTGTCCCTGCTCTACAGATGAGGCAACTGAGGCTCAGAGAGGGTCAGAGGCTTCCCCTGGGCCACACAGCATGTCCATGCAGAGGCGAACTGGGCTCACCCATGGGGCAGATGCCTTTCCATGCCCTCTTGGGCATCTCATTGGTCCTCAGCACATGCTCAGGCTGACATCACGGCCAGTTGCCCGCTCCCCCGCCCACCGTATTCTGGCCTCAGTAGGGCTGCCTGCCTTCATCTTCCCTCTGCACCAGGTCATATTTCCAAAAATCCAATAAGCAAGTCTAAAAACCGCTGGGGCCAACTCTTTTCATTTGTTTGTATTATGATGTGCGTCACGCAATTTGTCAGTTTTAACAGCTCTCCCCAAGGCAAGTCACTTAAAAAAAATGCCACTTCTTCTCATCTTGCCTCCGAATTCAAATGTGCACGAAGTTCCTTTTTTATTCAGTTCAACCATGCAAAATGCATGAATCTTTCCTAATAAGCTAATAAAACCTTCTCCTCCCGGAACGTGGGAGGGTTGGGAGAAAGCCTCACCCCGTCTGCTCCTCCCCCTGCTGGAATGTTCTTCCCCCAGCCATCCTGTCTCTGCAGGCTCTGCTCACCCGCACCTCACTGAGGCCTCCCCCACCACCCTCCAAAATAGCAGCCCCTTCGGCGCCTCCCACCCTCTGCTGCTTTATTCTCGCCGCAGCCCCGCCATCAGCTACCATCTGTGATCTGCGCCTTTTACCTGCTTTACTGCCCTCACCCATAGACTGGAAGGTCCCGAAGAGCCAGAGACATCTGTCTGTCTCTCGCGGGCTCCCCATACAGCAAGGACGTCTGTCTGTCTCACTGGGGGCTCCCCATACAGCAAGGACGTCTGTCTGTCTCACTGGGGGCTCCCCATACAGCGGGAATGTCTGTCTGTCTCACTGGGGGCTCCCCATACAGCGGGAATGTCTGTCTGTCTCACTGGGGGCTCCCCATACAGCGGGAATGTCTGTCTGTCTCACTGGGACCTCCCCATGCGGCTGAGACATCTGTCTCTCGCGGGTTCCCCCACCAGCAAGGACGTCTGTCTCTCTCAGGCCCCTCATACAGCTGGGACATCTGTCTGTCTCGGGCTCCTCATACAGCTGGGACGTCTGTCTATCTCTCTTGGGCTCCCCATACAGCTGGGACGTCTGTCTATCTCTCTTGGGCTCCCCATACAGCTGGGACGTCTGTCTATCTCTCTCGGGCTCCCCATACAGCTGGGACGTCTGTCTCTCTCGGGCTCCTCATACAGCTGGGACGTCTGTCTGTCTCTTTCGGGCTCCTCATACAGCTGGGACGTCTGTCTGTCTCTCTCGGGCTCCTCATACAGCTGGGACGTCTGTCTCTCTCGGGCTCCTCATACAGCTGGGACGTCTGTCTCTCTCGGGCTCCTCATACAGCTGGGACGTCTGTCTCTCTCGGGCTCCTCATACAGCTGGGACGTCTGTCTGTCTCTTTCGGGCTCCTCATACAGCTGGGACGTCTGTCTGTCTCTCTCGGGCTCCTCATACAGCTGGGACGTCTGTCTCTCTCGGGCTCCTCATACAGCTGGGACGTCTGTCTCTCTCGGGCTCCTCATACAGCTGGGACGTCTGTCTGTCTCTCTCGGGCTCCCCATACAGCTGGGACGTCTGTCTGTCTCTCTCGGGCTCCTCATACAGCTGGGACGTCTGTCTCACTGGGGGCTCCTCATACAGCTGAGACATCTGTCTCTCGTGGGTTCCCCCACCGGCAAGGACGTGTCTCTCTCTCGGGCTCCCCATACAGCTGGGACGTCTGTCTGTCTCTCTCAGGCTCCCCATATAGCAGGGACTTCTGCCTCGCGCGGGGCCACGGGTGGTTTCTGCTCAGGCCGCTCCGGGCAGGTTCTCCTGGAGCCCTGGAGGTGGCCCCGGCAGCTCCCGCAGCCCCAAGAGAAAAAACTCTCACCACGGGCACAGTCCTGGGCTCTGATTGGCCTAGCTTTGCTCACATACCCAATCCTGAACCAATCACCTTGGCCACAGGGGCCTGTGCGGCTCTGACTGGCCAGGCCTGGCTCCCACGCCCTCCAGGGAGCGGCATGGGCCCAGGCCTCTTCGACCACCGCGAAGGGGCCCAGGCTCCGGTTGCCAAACCAGCAGCCATGCCACCCAGCACCACCACGGAGCCAGGGAGAAAGGGAGGCCTGAGAGCAGAGTGACACCCAGGTGTATCCCGGTGGCTCACGGTCTGAGGTCCCTGCCAGGCTGCTGTGGCACTGTCAAGGTGGGGACAGGGGCCCAGAAGGACAACTGGATGAGCAGTGCTGAGTAGCCACTCTCTCTGCATGCCCAAAACGGTGGGGGCGGCACAGGACACCATGGGGCAGCAGGGGAGTCTTGAGGCCTGATGGGGCCAGCCCTGGGCCTCTGAAGTTCTCATGTCCTGCTTAGATGGACAGGCCTCTGGGACCAGGAAGCAGCGAGTGGGGTTGAGCAGGGCACCCTTCCCTGGGCAGGACTGCAACAGGTGCTGCCAGGCCTGCCAGAGGGGCCTCCCTCTCCCCTGCTCCTCCACTAACAAAGCCTTTTCCTTAGAGATGTTTCCTGCGTTGGTCAGTTCTCAGCTGGGTCCTCCTCCAGCCAGTCTCCACCCTGCCCCACAAAGGAATTCTCATTGTTCTCACACGTCATCCATGTGGGCCAACTCTATTTAATTCAAATGGGCTACATCGTTTCTCTTTATTTCGAAGGCACTCATCATTCTCACCCTCATCTCATCTTCATCTTTCCCTCTGTCCCCTGGGGATTTGGGGCCAAAGGCTTGTGATCAAAAGAAGAGGAGGAACTTCACACCCATTAGGTTGGCTACTGTCCAAAAAAAAATCAGAAAATGAGTGTTGGCGAGGATGTGGAGAAATCAGAAGCCTTGTGCACTGTTGGTGGGAATGTAAAACGGTGCAGCTGCTTTGGAACAGAGTATGGAAGTTCCTCCAAAAATTAAATATAGAATTACCATATGGCCCAGGAATTCCACTAATGGGTGTACACCCAAAAGAAAGGAAAGCAGGCACCTGGGACAGATATTTGTACGCCCTGCTCACAGCAGTGTTATGATAACCAAAAGGTAGAAGCAACACAAGTGTTCATCAATGGGTGAATTAGAATAAGCAGTGTGGTCCATCCATACAATGGAATACTATTCAGCCTTGAAAAGGAAGGAAATTCTGATGCTACAACATGGATGAACCTTGAGCACATTCTGCTGAGTCAAATACTGTGTGAGTCCACCTACTTAAGGTCCATGAGTAGCCAAATCTACAGAGACAGAAAGTAGAATGCTGGGTGCCAGGGGCTGGATGGAGGGAGAATGGGGAGTTAATGTTTAATGGGGACAGAGTTTCAGTGTGGGAAGATGAGAATGTTCTGGAGATGGATGGTGGTGATGGTTGCATAATATTATGAATATGCTCAATGCCACTGACCTGTACACTTAAAACGGTAAATTGTATGAGATGTGCATTTTACCACAATTAAAAATAAAACCAGAAGAGGAGGAGGTAATGGGAGAGGGAAGAGGGTCTCATGGACCCTCAGGCTGGGGAGGAGTATGGAAAGCAGAGGGGCTTTGCCTCCTCTTTCTCAGGTGCCTTTGCCCTCTCCGGGGCCAGAGTGGGGAAAGGACGGTTGGTCGAGTATGGGGCAGGCATCACTGGGATGCCAAGTGTCCAAAGAGGCTGCAGGCAGGCAACGACGTTGAGACCAGCAGGAACGGAGGATGGTTCCTTGAGTCCACAGCGAGGCAGAGACTCAAGGGGCTCCACCTTCATCGGTCTTGGGACTGCGTATGGATTTCAGGAGACACATGTCCTTGAGCATTGCCGGGGGTCCTGGGCTGGAGGTGGTTTTGTGTTCTATGGACCTGCAGGGGAGTTGGGCATGGATTCCCAAGAATGCTGAATCAGCCCATCTTTCTGGAAGCCCTGCTGGGGCTGCAGGGACAAGGCAATCTTGAAGAACAAGCCAATACAGTGCCCAAGAAGTCACAGGACCAGAAGCTTCTGGAGTCCTCCCAGAGCAAACAAAATGCCACTCCCCCCACCAAGTCCCCTTCTTCTGAAAACCATTGTCGCATTATGGCTGAGACCAGTGACCTGGAAAATGCTGCCTTTTTTTATGACACAGCTTGGGGTGAGAGGACAAGCCAGCTGGCATTTGGATTGGCACTGTCAGAACTTTCACGGATGGCATTTCATCATTTGACACTTGGTTTTGCAAATCTGCTCAGAAACGTGCCTGGTCCAAGCTGACAGCCTCGTCCAGGCATGCTCACACATCCAGGGTGATGCACTTACACTGACCGAGCACAGGGGCCGGGCCAGGGGTGTGTGGCTGGAACAGTGAGACAGGCCAGCAAGCCAGGGCCATCTCATGTTTCATGGGCCTGCATTCTGGGGCTTTCTACCTGTGCCCCAGGGACTGCGTTCAGTGACAGTGACATCCTGTGACAGTGACATCACTGGCAGGTTTGGAGCCAGGGCCCAGCTTGACCCCACCTCTGTGCCCTTGCCCAGGCTGTGTGACAGGACTGCTCCCTCCTCTGCTGAAGGACAGCGACAGTAGAGGGCCACCTCAGGCTGGGCAGGTGAGGCACCATCCATGGTACCTGGCAACTACCAAGCACACGGTGACACCACAAGCCGTGCACTCACAAGCGAGGGCCGGTGCCGTGGGTTTCTCCGTCACTCACAAGCAAGGGCCAGTGCCGCGGGTTTCTCCGTCACTCACAAGCGAGGGCCAGTGCCGCGGGTTTCTCCGTCACTCACAAGCGAGGGCCAGTGCCGCGGGTTTCTCCATGTCCTCTGAGGGCAGGAGTCTCAGGAGTGGAGAATGGACACTTCTCTGGGCTCCGCTACGCCACACGCCCTGAGTCTCCCACGCCCTCGCCCGCTGCTACCCTCCATACTCTTGGCCCATATTTAAATGCTGCCATCCTTGAGCTGAAGGGCAGGTGCCCTTCAGCAGAGTGCCCCTCCCTAGAAGGGCACCCCCTGGTCTCCTGCCCAAGCAAGGCCCGGGGTCTGACTGGGCACATGCTGCCTCCCCATGCTCGGCCCGGCTCCGCCAATCCTGGGTCCCAGCATTTCCGCGTAAAACAGGGCAGGAGGGAGTAGCCCCAGGGGGCCTCAGTGACGCCAGGCATAGGAACCAGAACGTGCCTTTCTATCTGGGTCAGGTGGGCACCCTTCCCAGGGCAGGGGGTGGCCCAGGGGGCTGCTTGTGGCCTGAGGCAAGCCCTAAGCCCCCTCTGCTCAGCTGCAGCACGTCACTGGAGGCACTGAAGAGCCTGCTGTCCACCACGGGGCACTGGCATGACTTTGCCCACCTGGAGCTGCAGGGATCCTGGGAGCTCTTCACCACCATCCACACCTACCCGAAGGGCGTGGGCCTCCTTGCCAGGTACGGTGGGGCCAGGGCAGGTCGAGGCAGCCTGCTTCAGGCCACGCCCATCCAGGGGACTGGGTATCTGGACTGCAGTGACAGGACACGGCCCCCTGCCCCCGGTCACAGGCACACGCTCAGAGCCTGTTGATGCAGTGTCTTCCCCCGGCCCTCACCCTGGCCTGTGACCTCCTAGGGAACAAGGGCTGTGCCTGCTTCTCTGTCTCCTGCATGTCCAACCCAAGCCTGGCACGCAGTGGGCAGCCAGTGGGTGGAAAGGAAGTGGGAACGTGCCTGCCACGTTGGGACCCTCCGGGATGCCAGCCCTGATGAGATGGGTGGGGGCAGGAGGGTGGGCTCTGAGCAGTGACCACCAGCCCAGGCCCACCCCTGCAGGGCCATGGTGCAGAACCACTGCAGGCAGATCCCAGCGGTGCTGCGTCAGCTGCTGCCCAGCCTGCAGAGCCCACAGGAGCGTGAGAGGAAGGTGGCCATCCTCATCCTCACCAAGGTAGGGATGCAGGCCAGCAGAGAGCACCTCAGATGTCTGAGCCTCCTTCTCCAGCCTCCTTGACACCCCAGCAGAACCCATGCCAGAGCTCACCCTGACTGGGGAGGCTGCCCAGACGGACCCCCTCGTACTCCTGCCTTCCCACTCCCAGCCCTTGGAGGGGGGCTGCACACTTTGGGGACCTGTCTCCCCACTCGGCCCTCCCTGGCACAATCCCTGCAGAGTTGCAGGGGCACTAGGTGCAGACTCAGGCAAGTCTAGGCTCCAACTTCAGCCCTGTCCTGCCTGTGGGACTCAGGGTAAAGCCAAAGGGGAATGGGTAGAAGCAGATGCCGCTGGGTGTGGCACACTTTGCAGCTGTGAGCTCAGGCAGGGGTGGGACTGGGGCGAGGAGGGTGCTGTTTCCGTAACTGACACTAGTAGGGGAACCCAAGCGAAAGCCTCATGCCAGCTCCCACCCACCAGCTGCCTAGGCCGCCCTCCATGGGCGCTCTACCCCCAGGTGCCCCACAAGCTCGGCTCTTGATAAAAGTGAGGCCTTGCCTCGCTGTGTGACCTTAGGCAAGGCCCTTTCCCTTTCTGGGGCTCAGTTTCCCCAGCTGTACATTGAGGGGTTGAACCAGGATACTTGTTCACCAAGATACCCAGAGGGTACTGGTCAGCCTCCCTCCCTGAAACTCCCACCGGACTCCGGTCCTAGAGCCCCACCCCTCAACACAGATGCAGGCGCCTAAAAAAGAGTGACCTGCCTGCCCTCCCGGGGGCCACCTCAGTTCCTCTACAGCCCTGTCCTGCTGGAGGTGCTTCCCAAACAAGCTGCCTTGACCGTGCTGGCACAAGGCCTCCACGACCCCAGCCCTGAGGTCCGCGTGTTGAGTCTGCAGGGCCTAAGCAACATCCTCTTCCACCCAGATAAGGTAAGGGCTGTCGGGCACTGTGGCTGGTGCACACGCAACCCCACAGAACAGCCGGTGCACCGGGTGTAGGCAAGGGCCACCGGGTTGGAATCCCGGCTCTGTCACTTCAGGTGGTGTGGCTTGGGACACCTGACTCCACCTCTCTGGGCCTGTTTCCTCATCTGTAGAATGGGGCAGGTTGTGGGAGGGGTCAAAGTGTCTATTCCCCGGACACAGAGTCTCCTCCACGCCCGAAAGAGAGAGGGGCCTTGTTGCAGACCTCCAGGTGGTCACCGTGAAGCCCACCAGATGGCATCCCAGGGCTCACCCAGAGAGGACAATGCCCTCTGAGAATCTTATGAATGGGTCTCCCCAACCCATTGCTGACTTCTCCAGTCCCAACCAATTCTACCTCATCACCATAATAACCCATATCCCATCATGGACAGCTGTGGGAGAGAAAGCCTGCGATGCCGCCTTTGGGGGATCTGCCCTTACCCCAGCTACAGCCCCCCACTTAACTGACATCGCCCTTGCTGTGGGGGCCCAGGGTACCATGCAGTGGTTAAGAGTCCAGGCCCTAGACCTATCCCCGCTCCAGCACCTTCTAGCTGGCAGGCTTTGTCAGCTCTCCAGGCCTCAGTGACCACATCTGTACAACGAGAGCAGTAATAATGCCTGCCTCCTGTGGTAGGCAGGTCATGAGTGCCATGCAGAGACCGGTCCCTGGCACGTGGTCAGCCCTAGGGGCACCAGCTGGCAGCAGCAGCAAACTTCCTGCCTGGCTGACTCTGCACCCTGAAAATGCTGAGTTAGAGGCAGAAATTTTCTCACCTGATCAGGAAGTGTGGAGCCTCAGCCTCCTCTCATCCACCCCAGGGCTGCATTAAGACCCCAGAGGGAAGGCGACATGCCCAGCCCCCATTTCTGTTGCTGTTGGAGGAGGCTGTTATGAACATAAATATTTTCAGGGCTTGTGGGAGAAAACTGTCATCATGGGAAGGCAGCAGAAGGGGTCGTTTCCAAAGAGATCCCAAAGTCATTTGCCTAGCAGACTAGTTCACTGTGATTCTGTTCCAACCACAGGCCTCCACATGGTTAACAAGACTGACTTCCATCAGGGTCACAGTTGGCAAAGCTCTTTGCATTGTGCGTGATGCATAGTAGGTGCTTAATGGAAGATGGAGACTAGATAGCACTTCCTCAATGATCTGTTCATCTCTCCATCCTTCATCCATCCACCCACCCACCCATTCATCCAGCTATTCACCTACCCATCCATTCATCTCTCCATCCATGCTTCCATCCATCCACCCACCCATTCATCTTCCCATCTATCCACTGATCCCTCCATCCATCCATCCACCCACCCATCCATCTACCCATTCATCCCTCCACCCATCCATCCATCCATCTACTCACCCATTCATCCAGCTATTCACCTACCCATCCATTCATCTCTCCATCCATGCCTCCATCCATCCAACCACCCATCCAACTATTCACCTACCTATCCATCCACTCACCCATGCATCCCTCCACCCATGCCTCCATCCATCCACCCACCCATTCATTCCTCCATTCATCCCTCCATTCAACCATCGACCCACCCATTCATCTCTACCCATGGCTCCATCCATCTACTCACTCATTCACCCGTCCATTCATCCATCCATAGATCCCCCCGTCCACCCACATATCCCTCCACCCACCCACTTGTTCCTTGGGTCCTTCATCTGTGACCCATTCTTGCATTATTTATTTTGTTCATTCTTTTTATGTCTATTCATTCACCCAGTTATTCACGTTTGCTCCCTCATTCATTCATTCAGTGTTCGGTTATCTGTGCACCAAATGTTCTCTCAGGCAGGGAAATGATCAGTAGGAAGTTTCCATGTGCCTCCTCTGTACCCTGCACTGAATACAGGGAATACAGAAAGGCAAAGAAGGGCCCTGCTAGATCAGGAGGACCAGGTCCAGAGAAGAGGGAATGGTTCCCCGCCTGGCATCAGGTGGGATATGGGCAAGCAGCCACAGCAGACCAGAGGAGACAGGCCCCGAGAGCACTGCCAGCCAGGGAGGCCTGCCGGCTTGGGGATGGGAAGGCTGAACCAGGTGTGGCTGGGGCAGGCCACCCCACTCCACTCTGAGTGGAAATACGCCATGCTATGCATTTTTCTTTTCTTTTCTCACCATTTCCATTACAATTTCATTCTGTTGTCCTGCTCTGACCTGGCCAGAACCCTGGTCTTCGAACACTGGCTGCAAACATAGATGCTCAGAAAGTGTAACTGTTGAATGACTCACTTGCTGAAAATGAATTTAATATTTTCAAAGCAAACAGCTAAGAAAGCCAACAAAGCTGCTTTAAACTTGTTTAAAAGTTGTAAAAATCACCCTGGTTTGCACCCAAGTCACTGCTAAGGGGCCCAATGGCAGGAAACATCCATTGGTGGGCACACTGCTTTCTGACCATTCATCCCGATAACTCAGGAAATCACTGCAAACACGCAATCAAGTGGAGAAGACGGAACTGGCTGAAAATTAATTAAAAAAAAAAAAAAAAGACAAGTCGAATGTGTTGGCTCACACCTATAATCCCAGCACTTTGGGAGGCCAAGGCAGGTGGATTGCTCAACCCCAGGAGTTTGAGACCAGCCTAGGCAACATAGTGAGACCCCATCTCCACCCAAAAAAAAAAAATAGCCAGGTGTGGTGGCACGCACCTGTAGACCCAGCTACTCAGGAGGTTATGTTGGGAGGATTGCTTGAGCCTGGGAGGTCAAGGCTGCAGTAAGCTATGGTCACACCACTGTACTCCAGCCTGGGTGACAGTGTGAGACCCTGTCTCAAAAAAGAAAAGAGGCCACCCTGTCCAGACCACGCAGCTCCTGGTGGACAAAGCCCAGTTAGGGGCACAGCTCCCCACGGCGGGCAGGGCCAGGCCAGGACCCACAGCTCCCCACGGCGGGCAGGGCCAGGCCGGGACCCACAGCTCCCCACGGCGGGCAGGGCCAGGCCGGGACCCACAGCTCCCCACGGCGGGCAGGGCCAGGCCGGGACCCACAGCTCCCCACGGCGGGCAGGGCCAGGCCGGGACCCACAGCTCCCCACGGCGGGCAGGGCCAGGCCGGGACCCACAGCTCCCCATGGCGGGCAGGGCCAGGCCGGGACCCACAGCTCCCCACGGCGGGCAGGGCCAGGCCGGGACCCACAGCTCCCCATGGCGGGAAGGGCCAGGCCGGGACCCACAGCTCTGAATCACCACCCCCCACCCCCCCACCCAGTGCAGATGGGGTGAGGGGGTCAAGTGGGAGAACGAGGCGGGGGCATGGGGCCAGCGGGTCCTAGTGCTCTCCGCCCACCAGCCGCCACCACCCCCAGGGAAGCCTGCTCCAGGGACAGCTGCGGCCCTTGCTCGACGGCTTCTTCCAGAGCAGCGACCAGGTGATCGTGTGCATCATGGGCACCGTGTCAGACACGCTGCACCGCCTGGGCGCGCAGGGCACAGGGAGTCAGAGCCTCGGCGTTGCCATCAGCACACGCTCCTTCTTTAATGACGTGAGCACTGGGGCAGGGCGGGGCTACCTCCTGCTCACGCCCTCCAGGACCCTCCTCCCAACCCAGCTCCCTTCCTCTGCCAAAGGGGGAACCCCAAGCTGCAAGCAGGGAGGCCCAGGCCCTGGGGAGCTGCCCGCTTGTGGCCCTCGGTTGAGGTGGGCGCTGAGCAGGTGGGCTGGGTGGGCCCCTGGCGCTCACCCCTTCTCCACAGGGCTGAACTAGTTCTCACGTTCAGTCTCCAAGTGCAGTGGTCTCCGGCCCCACGACAGCCTACCCAGATTTGCTTTCTGACATGTCAGCACGGTTAGCGTGGCTGTTTTTCCTTCACTGGGGAATCTGGGGGATAGGCGCCCCTCAAATGCATTCATGAGGCCTGGGCTGCCAGGATGCAGTTGTGGGTAGAAGGGAGATGTGATTCTTACATCCTCAGGGACACCAGAGAGCCCTGTGTGAGGGGGGAGCCCCAGCCCTTCCCTTCCCCGGGAGCCGAGAGCCTGGGTGAAGGAATCCTGCAGAAAGAACTGAGTTGTACCCCTACAAGGTGTGGGGTCCCAACTTGGACCAAAGCTGGGACCCCTGGACAGGTCTGGCCGTGCCTCTGAGCCTCTGCCTTGCAGGAGCGGGACGGGATTCGGGCGGCAGCCATGGCACTGTTCGGGGACCTGGTGGCGGCCATGGCAGACAGGGAGCTGAGCGGCCTGCGGACCCAGGTGCACCAGAGCATGGTGCCCCTGCTCCTACACCTGAAGGACCAATGCCCAGCTGTCGCCACGGTCAGTGCCCACCCCAGGAAAGGCAGGTGATAGGCCTTCACCTTGGCCAGGGCTGGGACCCACAGGAGGCCAGGGTACGGGGCAGACGGATGGCAGCAGCACTGCCTGAGAGTTGGGGGAGCTCCCACGGGGCAGCAAGTGGCGGGCAGAGGGTCTGGCCATCTGCACTGGTTTCTGTGACCACAGTTGGCCTGCCCGCTCCCCCACTGCGCACACGCATGCGAGCGAGACTTGCCGTCGATGCGGCAGGACCCGGTCTTTTCTGCTCACTGCTGTGCCCCCAGTCCCTGTAACGGGGCAGGGGGTCCAGCAGCTCACAGAGCTTGTGTGAATATGGACTGTGCCCTGCCTGCCGTGGCAGCACATGCCCTGTGCACAGCCCACGAAGTCAGAGCTTGGCCTCGCGGGTCTCCCTGCCATGGGGAAAAGGATACGGGGCAACCGTGGAAGGGGCAGGGCCAGGGCCGCGGGCAGACCAGCCTGGGCTCCGGGGGGCCAGGTGCTGTTGCCAGGGTCGGGGAGGCTTGCCGAGGGGCACAAGCAGGACAGAACCAGGGAACACCCGCACAGCAGGCTGCCTCCAGTGCCCATGGAGGCCTGTGGCCTCTAGGGGAAAGGGCTCAGACATAGGCGGTGGGTGACCCTCCACGCCTGTCCCTGCAGCAGGCCAAGTTCACCTTCTACCGCTGTGCTGTGCTGCTCCGCTGGCGGCTACTGCACACCCTCTTCTGCACGCTGGCCTGGGAGAGGGGCCTCAGCGCCCGCCACTTCCTCTGGACCTGCCTGGTGAGAGGCCTGGGATCGGTGGGGAGGAACAGGGCCAGGGAGTGGGGGAGACCAGGCTTGCGGCTCCCCCATTCACTCCCGTCTCACACACAGCTGCTATAGCAGCTCCAGGGGCTGGGCAAGGCAAACTGGGGCTGGAGGACCCTGGTATGCCCAGGGCCCCCAGCCCGTCCCAGCCAGGTGTGCTCTCCTCCGGCCAGATGACCCGCAGCCAGGAGGAATTCAGCATCCACTTGTCACAGGCCCTCAGCTACCTGCACAGCCACTCCTGCCACATCAAGACCTGGGTGACACTCTTCATAGGTGGGAGGGCGAGGCCGGGCTTAAAGACCCCCAGGCCTGCCCCCACCCAAGCACCCTTGACCCTCCCTGACTCACCACCCACAAGAGAGGAAAGGGGGTGGATGAGGAGGAGCTTGGGGCTGAAGAGGGGCAGGGGTGGGCTACAGCCCCCCAGGAGACAGGGAGCCCTGAGCCACCAGCTGCCCGTCTGTTACACAGGCCACACCATCTGCTACCACCCCCAGGCCGTGTTCCAGATGCTGAATGCTGTGGACACCAACCTGCTGTTCCGCAGTAAGCAGCCCTCCCTCCAGAGCTCCCGCAGCCCGCACCCTCCCACCCCTGCCCAAGCACTCTTAAGACCCACTGCACAGACAGCAAGACTGAGGCCCCAGAAGGGAACCCCCTCCTGCCCCCCCTACCCAGCATCAGCATCAGGACAAAGACACAGGCCTCCTGGGCAGCACCCAGCCGCCATCCCACCTTCATGTCTGGAGGCTGAGGTTGGCCCTTCCCCTCCCCAGGCCCCCATCAGGGCACCTGGGGCCTAAGGCTCACACTCACTCCACAGCTGCCTCATGGCACCAACAGAACAAGGGGCTGGGGAATGGGGGTGGTGGGTTAGTGGTGGAGGGAAGCATCCCAGGCCTGGAGTCACAGGAGGTGGGGTCTGAGCTGGCCCCACCCACCACCCACCCCACCCCCCACCCCCCCAACACCTGGGCTGGAGTAAAGGGGCTGCTCCTGCGCTGGGGTCACCTCTGACCTGCTCCTCCTCTTCTGGAGCTTTTGAACATCTCAGAAGTGACCCTGAGCCCAGCATCCGGGAATTCGCCACCAGCCAGCTCTCCTTCCTCCAGAAGGTGTCGGCCAGACCCAAGCAGTGACCTCCAGCCATCCTCCCCCACCCACCGCCTTCCCCTCCCGTGTCCACCTGGTCAGCCCTGCCCCATCCGCCCCCCACAGAGCTTGGTTGCATAACGTTTTTCCATTTGAAAGAAAGATCTAGATTCAACAAAAGAAGCGTTATGCGTGTCAGCTCCCTGCCCACCACAGGCCCCTCTGCTGTGACCAAGCCAAGCCCCAGGAGACACTGGCAGGACTTGGGGACAAACTCAGGGTCAGGCCCAGGGGACAGAGACAAACTATGAAGTCTGTGAAGTGCCCTGCAGGTGGATACCCGTCCACTCCTGGAGACAGGGTCACCTTGACTGGGGCCTGAGCCCAAGCCACAGCCTGCCAGGGTCCCAGGGTCCTGGGGGCTGGGGCTGGGCAGGCACTCAAATTGAGGGCAGCCTCCGCCCAGGGTGGCCACTCAATCTTCAGTTGTCTCCATCTTGGCGCGCCACAGTGGCTGGGGGCTGACGGTCGGACGGGGTCCCCTCAGTCGGGACCCCCAGCCTCGGGCCCCCAGCGTCTCCCTCCACCCCCACCAACATCCTCCTCAGTCCATTCAGGGCTAGCAGCAGAACCAGCCAGGCCCACCCTGGACACACTGTCGCCTGAAGCAGGAGTCTTGGTTCTCTGAGCCTCAGCTGTTCCATCTGTAAAATGGGCAGTAAGACCTTTCTCCCGAGACCCTTGGAGGGATGAGTCCAGAGGCAGGTACCCTGGACTCCCAGAGAGCCACCAGGGGACCTGCCCAACCTTCGGCCTCGGCCTGGGTTTCCGCCTGGCCTGGGGTCCACACAGCTCCTGGAGAGCCCCTCCCTGCAGAGCTCTGCCTGGGGCCCCATCCCATGCTGCATCTGTCTCGGGATCCTGCCAGGCCAGCCACCATCCCACCAATGGGATAATCCAGACTGCACCCCTTTTCCCCTCCTGGCCAGCGCGGACCCCCACTCCACACTCAGCTCAGGCAGTCCTTCCACCTGGGGCATCTCCCCCACCTCCCGACGTGGTACTCTGCACTGTGCCCCCCCCAGGCCCCGCCTCCATGCCCCTGTCCCCCTGCCCCCTAACAAGGTGGAGCACACCAAGGCCCCACCTCCATGCCCCCATTTCTCCTGCCCCACGAGGTAGAGCACACCAAGGCCCCACCTCCATGCCCCCATTTCCCCTGCCCCCCAAGGTGGAGCACGCCAAGGCCCCGCCTCCATGCCCCCCATTCCCCCGTCCCCCCGGCAAGGTGGAGCACCCTGAGGCCCTGCCTCCATGCACCCTGTCCCTCAGTCCCCCCAAGGTGCAGCACCCCAAGGCCCCACCTCCATGCCCCCTGTCCCCGCCACCCCCCGAGGTGGAGCACCCCTAGCTGTAACTGGGAGGCTTACCAGCCTGTCTTCCCCCCAACCCTGCTAGACTGTGAGCCTCTTGGGGCAGGGACATGGCTACACAGGGCCAGCAGAGGTGACCCCAAAACTTGGCTGGTGGATTGAAAAAATACAGCAAACTTCACCCAACATGCATTGGATTTACTTGAGTTCCAAATGTGTTTGAGGAAAGGAGAGAATAACCATCCGGGACAGCTGTTGCCCTTTCTCCACACAGGAGCTGGGGGAGCCAGGTCTGCGGCCCCCTTAGCCATCTGTCGGTCTTGGGGGCAGGGCTGCCTGAGAAGGGGCTTTTGGGGTTTCCACATCTCCCCATCTTGTCCACTGACCTCCTCCAGCACCTGCCCCAGTCGCTCCTTGCGGGAACCTCCTGGGGCCCCAGGACGGAGACCACTCCCAGGCTCTCCACACCCTGGAGCCAGCCCTAGGCCCACCTTCCTCCCCGCTGGGGCCATGCCCTCCATGCACCCCGGCCCAGGGTGGGGCCAGCCCCCAACACAGACACTGCACCCAGGAACACATGAGCATCTGGTCCACGCCCTCCGGCGGGCCCTGGTCCAGGCCTCTCACATCCAGCCCCAGGTGCCCAGGTGGCACCCTCCCTCCCTGGGCTGATGGATGGTGACTTCCTCCACCCAAGCCACCACCTGCCCCCTTCTCTGCGCCTCGGAGCCGGAAATGTGGACACCTGGTTTGGGCAGCACAGGGACCAACCAGCCGGACACAGGCCCTGAGAAGCTGCCAAATGAATCCCAGCCCATCCTGCAGAGGACAGTGCTGGTGACCTGCCTCGCCTTCCAATGTCACAGTCCCAAGAACCGTCAACACGGCCACCCTGGCCAAGGCAGGGCTCCCACCTCGGTATCAGGACAGGACAGGGCAGGCTGGCCCCTGGGTCGGGGTGCAAGGACCCAGAGCGGCCACCAGAGGGCAGCGCAAGAGCACGCGGGAGCCCCATCCTGGGCACCAGCCCAGGATCCAGACAGCAGCCTCTGGGGCCCCCAGGCCACCAGCCCGCCCCGCCTGACGCTGTAGCCCACTCCACACACACGGCCACGGCTCCTGTTTTATTGCCTTCGGGTGTCCGGAGCACCTGACTGCCCCGGGGTCTAATAATTTAAGGTGCCGAGAACAGGTCAGGACAAGGGGTCGCAAAAGAGGGGCTGGGGGCCCAGTGGTTACAAAATATACCCCCACCCCACAACAAACAGGCTAGAGGAGACCAGCCTGGCTGGTGTGGGAGGGGGCGGGCAGAGGGCGCCCGACCCACCTCAGAGAGACAGAGCCACGGCCAGCGCCGCCAGAGGGAGTGGCGGAGACAGGAGAAAGGGCCCAGAGGCCACCCAGGGCCCGAGGGGCTCCTCGCTCCTCGGACACAAGTGCACGGAGGTGTCGGGGAGGAAAAGGCGATGTGGGGCCAGCCAAGGCCTGGAGCCCCTGCTGGGCTGGGCAGAGCAGGGCTGGGCAGGGCCTCCAGGTCCAGCCAAGGTCCTGACCTACATGACGACCAGGCCCAGCCAAGGTCCTGAGCTACATAACGCAGCACCGGGTCTTGTGCGTGTGTGGGTCTTTGAACCGCAGCCTCTGTTTGGGCCGGTATTTCTCCAGGTAGGTGAGCTGCTTGCTGTTGATGGCTCCGCGGCGCTTCCTGGGAAGAGGGGAACAGGAACAGAGATCATCCAAGGACCTGGCTCGGCCATCTCACCTGCCCCAGGGAGCTGGAATCTGAGAGTGCAGTGGGCTGGAGTAAGGCCTTGAGGCTGGCCAAGCCCCTCCTGTCCCAGGGCCTTGGCACGGCTGCTCCCAGAGTCACAGTCACCCTTTCCTGGCCCCCTGCAGCTCACCCCTGCTTGCCTTCCAAACTCACCAAAGCGCCACCTCCTCCAGGCTGACTCTGGGCTCCCTACGGCCCCCAGGCTTCCCTAGCTCGGTAGGACCCACCCCAAGGCCATGAGCAGACAACAAGGGTGGTGCCTGGGCACCTCCACCATCCAGGAAGGGGGGCCTGTGAGTAAGGGAGGGGCTGAGCCCAGAATTCCAGCCCAGCTGCGCGACCTTCCCTTACAACAGGGACCTGGGCTGCATGCTCACCCTGTCCCCACCATCCCCACCACCTGGTCCTTACAGCGGGGACCTGGGCTATGCGCTCACCCTGTCCCCGCCACCTGGTCCTTACAGCGGGGACGTGGGCTGTGCGCTTACCCTGTCCCCGCCACCGGGTCCTTACAGCGGGGACCTGGACTGTGTGCTCACCCTGTCCCCGCCACCGGGTCCTTACAGCGGGGACCCGGACTGTGTGCTCACCCTGTCCCCACCATCCCCACCACCTGGTCCTTACAGCGGGGACCTGGGCTATGCGCTCACCCTGTCCCCGCCACCTGGTCCTTACAGCGGGGACCCGGACTGTGTGCTCACCCTGTCCCCGCCACCTGGTCCTTACAGCGGAAACCTGGGCTGTACGCTCACCCTGTCCCCGCCACCTGGTCCTTACAGCGGGGACCCGGACTGTGCGCTCACCCTGTCCCCGCCACCTGGTCCTTACAGCGGGGACCCAGACTGTGCGCTCACCCTGTCCCCGCCACCTGGTCCTTACAGCGGGGACGTGGGCTGTGCGCTCACCCTGTCCCCGCCACCAGGTCCTTACAGCGGGGACCCGGACTGTGCGCTCACCCTGTCCCCGCCACCTGGTCCTTACAGCGGGGACCCGGACTGTGCGCTCACCCTGTCCCCGCCACCTGGTCCTTACAGCGGGGACCCGGACTGTGCGCTCACCCTGTCCCCGCCACCTGGTCCTTACAGCGGGGACCCGGACTGTGCGCTCACCCTGTCCCCGCCACCTGGTCCTTACAGCGGGGACCCGGACTGTGCGCTCACCCTGTCCCCGCCACCTGGTCCTTACAGCGGGGACTGGACTGTGTGCTCACCCTGTCCCCGCCACCTGGTCCTTACAGCGGGGACGTGGGCTGTGCGCTTACCCTGTCCCCGCCACCGGGTCCTTACAGCAGAAACCTGGGCTGTACACTCACCCTGCTCCCGCCACCTGGTCCTTACAGCAGGGACCTGGGCTATGTGCTCACCCTGCCCCGCCACCTGGTCCTTGACCACATGTACCTGGCTGGGGTGAACAGGAAGACTTCCTGGAGAGGATGCTGCAGCCACACCTGAGAGGCCCTGAGGTGACAGGCGTTGAGGGGCGGGGGCTGCCCACCCAGCGCCTCTGGAGGCTCATCCATCCCCACCTGCCATGACCTCAGGCGTGGCCACAGGCTGGCCCTGGCCAAGGAAGTGGGAGCAGCAGTAGCGCGAGGAGTCTCTGCCCAGCAAAGCTGCAGGTGCCCCGTGTGGCTCCACCGTGCTCGTTTCCTCGCCCAGCAGCCGGCACACTGGGGAAGGCGCAGCCCTCAGCCACGCCTCCGGGTAGGGCCCCCACCAACAGACACGCAACAGGGGCAAGAAACGCCCGTGCTGTTCTGAGTCGTTGGGGTTCAGGCCTGGCTGTTTCCGCAGCATGGCCCAACCTGTCCTGACCAGCGCAGCCTCAGGTGCGGGGAGCCACACAGCAAAAGCCACAAGGGAGAGACAAGCCCTTGCTCGGTGAGACGTGGGGTGGGGAGAGAACCCGGGGAAGGTGTGCACCCGCATGTGTGAGAGTGCATGTCATGTATGAGTGCACACGTGTGTACATGCCTGAGTGCATCCATGTGTGTCCATGTGTGCAAATACCCGCTTGTCTGTATGTGCCTGTGTTCACACACCTGCCTGTGAGTGTGTGCCTGCGTATGCCTGGGTCTGTGTGGGCACACATGTGCTTGTGAATGTGTGCCTGTATGACCCCCATGCGTGTCTGTGTGTGAGCGTGCACATCCCATGGTCCCCAGGGAGACCTGAGCACCTGCAGGCCACGCTCTCGCACAGACCCACAGGGCGGGCCACGCTCTCGCAGACCCACAGGGCGGGCCACACTCTCACACAGACCCACAGGGCCAGCTGGCATGGCTGGGAACAAGCCTGCCTCTGGGAGGAAGAGATGGCCCCACCAGCCAAGCCTGTCCGAGGAGTACCACAGGTGTGTCACACTCACGGGCACACACATGGTGGGCTGGGCAGGGGCAGGCTTCAGGTGCCGCATCCGTTCCTCCAGAGTTGGCCCTGCCATCCCGGCCAGACTCCCCCAGGACCCCCTGGGCAGTGGGCAGATGGCAGCCCTCCCCAGGGAGGCCACCAAGTGACAGGGATGGGGCAGGCGAGCTGGCCTAGAAGCCTCTAAGGAGGGCGGGGAGGGGCTGAGCTGGAGAGCTCGGGGTTGGGGGGAGGGGTGGTGAGCAGCTAGACTCAGAGTAGTCCTGAGACACTAGCCCACTGTCAGCGTCCCTGGGGGTGGACACGGTGTGGTGTGGGGTTTCAGGTTCTAGTTTTTCATGGAGGGACTGAACTGGCTGGCTCTGGGGGTCCTTCCACCCCCGTCAGGATGGCTGCGACAGAAGGAGCTCTGTCTGTGGAGGGCGGGCAGGACGGCGTGGCGGGTGGCCTCGCTGTGTCCCTGTGTGGCTGCATGGTCACTCGGGGGCTGCTGTCCCCACCCATCAGAAACACCTCAGGCTTCCCCGTTTCTGCAGCAAGGCCCAGCTTGTGCTGATCGACGCAGCCTCAGAGCGACGGAACCACACAGCCAATGCCGCCACCCTTCGTGGGCAGCCGGATCTCCCCTCCCCCAGCGCTCACAGCCCACCCCACCACCGCGGCCACTCACTGGCGGATGAACTGGATGGCGTCCTCGTACTTCATCCCGCTCTCAATAAGGGCCAGCGCCACAAGGACTGGAGCCCTGGGGGCAAACAGCAGGGCGGGGGTCATCGGAGCCTGCGCACCCCTGTCCCCTTGGCAGGGCACCTGCTGAAGATGCAGGGCACGGGGGCCCAAGGGGCCCAGAATCCCCCCTGCCTGAAGCTCCCCCATGGAGGCCACAGCCTCACAGCCCAGCCTGAGCACTGGGTCTAAATCCTGGCTCCCTCCTAGGCAACCTCTCTGTGATCTGCTGGGGGAGGGTTAAATAAGAGCTGGCGGGTGAAGTGCTAAGAGCCGGATCCATGCCTGCTATCAACTCTGCTCGCCTGGGTCTCCCTCTGCAGATGGGGGTGTCCCACTGGTCATGTCATCCGATCCCAGCTGCCATTCTTCCTCCCGTTCTCCCAGCAGGGAGTCTGAGGCCCCAGCTGTGTGTGGGGGGATCTTTGTGTCTGGAGAGGGGGACGGCAGCCCTTTCCTACACAAGATGTCAGGATGGTTTCAACCATAGCAGGAAGAAGTTGGGTTAGACTTTGGGAAGCACTTCCTCTCTGTGATGCTGGGAGAGGACCAGTCTGGGAGCCCCAGCACTAGGGGCATGGGCCTCCTGGGAAGGTCGCGTGGACGTGTGTTCAAGACCCACATCCAAAAGCGAGGCTGTCAGACCACGAGATGCCCAACCACCTGACATGGCGAGCCCTACCCCGCCCCGACACTCACCGGCCCAGGCCCGCCACGCAGTGCACAGCCACGCAGCTGCCGGGGGCCTCACAGAACTTGGCCTTCACCAGGCTCAGCCAGTCTTCCACTACCTTGCCGGGCGGGGGCGCCCCATCGTCAAACGGCCAGTCCTACGGAGGGAAGCAGACATGAGGACCCCCGGCTGAGGGAGGGTAGAGAGGCGGCTCTGGGGCTCAGGCGAGGAAAGGGAGCTCTGAGAGGCAGAGGGTGCCAGGAGCCCACTAGGGTGGGGGCAGCAGACCCAGAGGGCACACAGGAGGGGCACAGCTTGCCTATGGGCACCCCATGGTGAGTGCTTCAGACTCCTCATCATTCCCTGTACACTGCAGCTATCCCCTCCTCCAGGAAGCCTTCCTGGACCACCCCACCCCTTTCTGAATAGAGCCTGCTCCAGAGTCGCACAAATCCTAATCCCCACACCTGTCAGCCCGAGCTCTGGTTCTGGGGTCACAATCCCTCACGCCTGTGTGCCGGTGGCAGCCTGAGAGGTTTTGGGTCGGCTGGTGCAAAGGGTCTCATCCCCTGTGCTGGCATGCAAAGATGGCTGGCACATGCCACACACAGCCCAGGTGCCAGGAAGGACTGAAGACAGGGCTGTGGGGCGAGACAGGGCCCACATTTCTGAGGGCAGGACTCGAAACAGGCGGTTCCACCGGGCCCCGGCCCATTGCTCCTGGGGGTTAATTTGGTCTTGGAAGATGACCTGTGCTTCCCACTGTCCCGTCCCCCAGCGCCCTAGATCGGTGGGCAACGTGAGTCTTCCTAGGGGAGGGCCCGGGCCAGGGCGCTGCAGTAGGAGTGGACACGTTTCAGTCTTGGGAAGGCGGGTTCATGCAGGGACTGTGCCAGGCATGGGGCTGTCTGGTACCAGGGAGAGCCCGCTGGGCCCACTGAGGCAGACACACAGCCCTCGGGGGCATCTCACCCCTCCCCAGCCTCCAGGCAGGGCAACTCCTAGAGACAACCGGTGTCACGGCTACTTACGTCTGACCCCAATCCCTCCCGCTGCTGTGGAAGGGGAGGGAGGGTGTGGGCGCACCCCGTGCGAGAAGCGGGGACATGCCTTTGCCTCCCATTCTTCCAAGCAGCCTCGCTTTGAGGTGAGGAACCCAAGGCTCGGAGTGACCTGCAGGGTCGCAAGGCTGGGGAGGGCAGAGGCGGGACGCAGCCCAAGGCCTGTCTGACCCCAAACCGCCAGCGCTGCCACCATTCCAAACCGCCAAGCTGAGGTCACAAAACTGCAACCCCAGCCAAAAGCAGAGTCCTGGGATGAAAAGCAGTGACTGAGGGGTGCTCCGCACTGAGGAGACTGAGGCCCAGGCGCAGCTGGGCAGGCCTGCACCAGGGGGGCAGTCGTCCACCGGGCCGGGGGTGGACCCCCCTGGGGCTGGCTCTGGGCCTGCAGCTGCTGTGGCCCACCCCCCCAAGGATATCGCAGCAGAACCGCCCCACCCCCCGCCCAGACCTGGGTCCCCAGGGCCAAAGAAGCCGAGGAAACTGCCCAAGGGCCCTCCCCAGGAGCCTGCTGCCTGGCAACAGGGCCCCAGCCGCCCAGGCAGCAAGACTGAGATGCACCCAAGACAGGCCCAGAGGAGGGCCTGAGACAGGCAGAGGAGCCCACCCGCCACCTTGGCCGATGCACCAAGCATGTGCCACCCCTGCCTGGCGAACCGTGCTGGCCCACCCTAGAGACAGAAAGACGGGTGCGCAAGGGTGACTTTCTTGAGGTCACACGGCCCAACACCCTGGCCTTCCCTTGATGTACCCAGACACACACGTGGCCCAGGCACAGACATGCCCAGGGCTGCCACAGGAGGGGCACCAAACCCTCTGCGCAGGCCCGGAGCCCCCCGCCCCACCCTCCCCCGGTGGCAGCAGTGACTAGGGTCCCCGTGGCGCGCGCCTCACCACAACGGTGATGCCATCCTTCTCCAGCGGCGTTTTGTCATAGGTCACTTCACACACACGCACCACAGTGGTAGCCCCGTACTTCTTCAGGTCCTGGGGGTGGGAGGACGGAGGAGGCAGGGCTGGGCTGGGGCTGCAGGGCTCAGGGGGCAGGACCCACTCACCAGGGCTCCCAGGGCACAGCTGTGTCCCCCACAGTCACCCAGGACTTGGACATGTCCCCTCAGACCTCTCGGGGTGGAGCCCTGTCCCCTCAGTCCCCTGGGGCAGGGTCATGGCCCCTGAAGCCCCCAGGGAAGGGCATGTCACCCTCCAGCCAGGCAGACCCTGATGCAGTGAGGTCCACCAAGAGTGGACTTCAGGCTCCACTACTGGTCGAGGTAGTGTCTGGCTGTCGAAGAGCCTGTCCTAGGTCCCTTGGGCCACCCAGCAGAGGCAAAGGTGTCCCCACCTACATTCACGGTAACTGGCAGCTGGGACCCCAGCTGCCCAGCACACCACTCCCTCCTCTGGGGTGCTCAGGACCCCAGATCTACCAGCAAGGACATTTCTTCCAGAAAAGCTACTGGGTCCCCACAGCAGGAACTGGACTCCCCAGCCCACGTGTGAGCCCCTGCATCCGAACAGCGACCCCAGCTGAGCCGCAGGGATGGGTCCAGTTTTTAGGGTCTAAGAGGGGCGGGCATCAGCTGGGGCGCCTCAGAGCAGGGAGGGTGGGCACCGCTCAGATGGCAGCCAGGAGGAAGCTGGGCCCTGTACGCCAGCAGGGAAGCCCCACACGACCAGGGAAAAGGTGGTGGTAGTTCACAGCCAGGCCGATAGTTATACCCCCACTGCGGAGGATCCACTCCACAGGGGTCACGTGCGGGGGCTGTTCCCACCCCACCTGCTCTCGTAGCTATTTTGGGAGGGGTGAGGAATCAGCTGATGGGTCTTGCTGGTCACGGGACAGGGACCTGGAACACAGAGAGGCCAGCACCCAACTATCTGAGAATGCAGGGAGCAGGCAGGGTGCTGGGCTCTGTGGCCATGGGGTACCTCAGAGGCCCTCTGCACCCTCAGCAGAGGGAATGGCCACCCAGCCCACGGCTCAGCCCTGGCCCTGGTCACAGGCTGAGCCCTTCCTGATCCTGGTCACACACTGAGCCCTGATCCTGGTCACGTCCTGAGCCTTGATAGTCACACACCTCTGAGCCCTAATCCTGATCACGTGCTGAGCCCCCAACCCTGGTCACACATTGAGCCCTAATCCTGGTCACATACCGAGCCTTGATCTGGGTCACACACTGAGCCCTGATCCTGGTCAGACACTAAGCGTTAACCCTGGTCACAGGATGAGCCCTCCCTAACCCTGCTCACCTACTAAGCCTCAATCCTGGTCACACACTGAACCCTGATCTTGGACACACACTGAGCTTCGACCCTGGTCACATACTGAGCCCTGATCCCAGACACACACCAAACCCTGGCCCTGGTCACACACTAAGCCCTGATCCTGGTCAAACACTGAGCCCCAACCTTGGTCACATACTGAGCGCTAATCCTGGACACACACTGAGTCCCAACCTTGGTCACATACTGAGCCCTGATCCTGGACACACACTGAGCCTCAACCCTGGTCACACATTGAGCCCTGATCCCAGACACACACCGAACCCTGACCCTGGTCACACAGAGCCCTGATCCTGGTCAAACAGTGAGCCCCAACCTTGGTCACACACTGAGACCTGACCTTGGTTACAGACTTAACCCTGATCCCAGTCATATTCTGAGGCCTCACCCTGGCCACTCACCGTGCTGTTCTCGCCAATCTTTCTGTAGATGCTGCTGTTATCTCAGGGGTCTCAGCTGCGAGAGGGACAGCCATCTTCTGTAGGGCACCTGGCTCAGTGTCCAGGGTCCAGGCTCCCTGATGGCAAGGTGCCCAATGCCTCCTGCTGCTCTACAGTTCTTAATGCCCTCTCACGCCCAAATCTGTTTCATTATGACAAGACCATGATGGCTTATCTCATGTCACAGGGGAAAGGACTCAGCCATAAATGACCCTGCACACAGCTGCAGCCTCTCACACAGCCTGGCACAGTCAGAGGCTCTGTCAACGGCCCCGCACACAACTGCAGACGCTGCAAACGGCCCCAGGCCTGCAAACAGCAGGGCGTTCTGCAGAGGCCAGGCTCCTCCAGGAGGCCATGCAGGTCGCTCCAGACTCCACTCCCAAGAAAGCTTCTGTAAACGCATCTCGTCCCATCTGCCAGGGTTGCCAGCGGCAGGTATCTCTGCTGCCTCTCCAGGGCACAGTGGTCCCTCCCTCCTGTGGTCAGCGCTGACCCTTGCTCAGTCCCTCCTCACACAGAGATCTGGGCCCTGAAGCCCCTAGTCCAGCCTGGTCTAACCTGAGGCCTCATCCAGAGCCCAGCAACATCTGGGACAGCAAAGGGCTCGGGAGGGCCCCAGCCCAGGCCACGGCTGAGCACGCACAGCCTGGTCCATGTATCCCCCTGCCTCACCCCCTGCCTCTATCCACACAGCGTGGAGTCCCTCCTATCACACGCCAGCCCCCTGCAGGCCTCCCAGGGGACCCCGTTGATCCCCCAACACCCTCAACCCCAACCCCCGGGGCACCCCCATCTCCCTCCTCCAGGATCCTGTAACAGGCGACTGGGCTTTGTTCCAAGGCTGTGAGCCCTGTCTGGCCAGCCGGGGCTGGGGACCCCTCTTGCGAGGCCTGAGGGCAGCTCAGCCGGGCTTCCCAGACACCTGGGCCACCTGCCTGCCACACCTCCGTCTCCACTCACCTCAATGAAGGTGCTGAGCGTGGCGTTGGTGGGGTTGTGGGTGATGAGGAAGCGCATGTGTTTGTAGCTCACCTCCACCGGGGCCGGGCGGTTCATCCGAGCCATGGCGCCTCCCGACGGGCCCGGCAGGGCAGAAGGGACTGCAGAGAAGGCTGGGGACACGACCTGAGAAGTCCCCACACACCCCCAAAAAATGAGGAGAACGAGATCCCTGTGCTTGTCCAAGAGAAACGAGATTTAAAAACCCACCCCCATACCCCGCACAAATATTGTGCAAATACTTGGGTGTGGGGGAGGAAGCTGCCCACTGTTTGGATAATTAAAAAAGAAAACCCAACTCTTAAAAAAGAAAAGGAACAAAACAGCCCGCCGCCCCCCCCAACCCAACCAAAGTAAAGCGGGCAACTCCAAACTCCCGTCTCTCAGAGCTGGATAGTCATAAAGAGGCAAAAAATAAAAAGAACAACCAAAAAAGCTCAGCAAAGAAAACTTAAAAACTCAAAGTGAACCCGGCCGCCAAGCAGTGTCCAGAGCTGGACCCCACACCGGGGGCGCCCTCTCCACATTGGTGGATGGGCAGACAGCCCCCTTCACTCAGAGGTGGGCCCCAAGCCCCCAAGGGCCAGAGGAAGAATGAACTTGAACTGAACCAACTCCAGCTGCCTTGGGCCAGGGGTCACGGGCAGTGGCCGTGGGGACAGCGGCCTCTGACGTGTGGGGCCTGTGTCACGTTACCCCATCGGGGTACGGTGAGTCCTGGAGTGGGGCAGGGGGCTCAGGCGGTAGAGCTGGCCCCAGGCTGGGCAGCAGAGGCCATCGGCAGGCGAGGGCAATGGTGAGAGCCAGTGGCACGGGGACCCCTCAGCAGGAGGCGCGGCGACCCTGGGCGCAGCAGTGCTTAGGGCTGGGCCCCGTGGCCCACTCCATGAACCCCAGGTGGGTCCACAGCACACAGCATCTGTGGGGAAAGACGAAGGAAATGAATAGAAAGGGATCACAGGGGGCCCCGCCTCCCACAAGGGGTTCATGCCTGTCATGAGCCCACAGTCACAGGCGACACCTCTCCCAGAGCCCTCCTCCTGACCATGCTGAGAGAATGACCCTTTTGGGTCTATTTCCTTATATGGGAGCACAAGGAAGCACGGCTCCTGCCAGGACTGACCCAGGGCCCAGAGGCGACAGGGTAGCCACCACACAGCCAGCAGGGCATGACGGAGGACAGAGGGGACAGGGATTTCAGGGACACACACACCCCCGAGGACATGATGAACCCCAGCACACAGATGACAGATCCCTCTGTGGGGACAGAGGCCGAGTTCCTAAGAAGCCTGAGCCTGGCCCCTGCCCACCTGCTGTGATCTGCGGAAACTCCACCCCAGGACAGCTGCCCTCTCCTCTTCCGATTCTCAGCCACTGTGAACATCTGAGCCCAGGTGTCTCTGGGTGGCCCATCCTCAGGGAATGGGGCCCAGGCACTCGGTCAGTGCTGCCAGCACAGGGAGGTGAGGGGCCTGGCCCCACACGCGGCCGTGGGCCACCCTAATCGCCTCTTGCTTTCTGCAGAAAGTCTCCTGCCTGTCAGCAGCCCCCTGTCCACCAGTGTCCCCCCGCCACTGTGTCTCCACTGCTCACACAGGTCTCAGCCAGGCTCGGGGATAAACAGGCCAGCTCTGCCCCTCCAGGAGCTCAGGGAGGCGGGGACAGAACACGCCAATGGGCCAGCCATCAGGCACACATGCCAAGGTGGTGACAGCACAGGTGGCCAGGAGTGGGTTCACACCATGACAGGGCCCTGAAGAGGGGAGGCGGCAGGGGGGGCCACAGCAACCCAAGGCACCTCCACGCCTGCCTCTCTCCCTTTCTGGGTCTCATGACCCCAAAGCTCCCAGGCAAAGGGGTTCCAGGAGCACGCAGCCCCCTTCCCTCTCTACGGAAGGGCTGGGAGGCCTTGAGCAAGGTGCCGGCCTCTTTGTTACCCCATGAGCACGATGAGGGGTGACACAAGTGACCCAAGCTGTATTTGGGCACTGCTGCTGAGGGGTCCCCGCACTGCTGGCCCTGGCTGTGACCCAGCTGTTAGCAGACTCTCCAGCCCCCTAGACTCAACCCAAGCCCGGCCCTGTCACTACTGCCTGCTACCCAAGGAAAGGCACTTCAGGGCCCCTCGCCCAGCAGAGCCCTCCATTCCCCAACCCACCCCCTCTCACCTGTGCCCCTGCCCCAGCCCCAGCACCCCCTTCCCAGCTGCCCACCAGGCAGGCTGGGCCCTTGGAGCTTCAGCCCAGGTGCAGGTAGGGCTTGAGGCCTGGGCCCCTGGACTCAGAGGGTGGCTACCTGGGACAGTGGGCTCCTCCCTGCCTGCCCTCCACACCCTGGGTGGCAGCCAGTGCTCATGGGCTCAGAGCAGCCGCCACACCTCAGGCTCTGTCCACTGCATGGTTCTGGGAAGGTTAAAATGGGCGGTGGGTGTCAGGCGCAGTGGCTCACTCCTGTAATCCCAGCATTTTGGGAGGCCAAGGCGGGCGGATCACCTGAGGTCAGGAGTTCAAGACCAGCCTGACCAACATGGAGAAACCCCATCTCTACTAAAAATAAAAAAATAAAAAATGAGCCAGGCATGGAAGTGCATGCCTGTAATCCCAGCTACTCGGGAGGCTGAGGCAGGAGAATCGCTTGAACCCTGGAGGCAGAGGTTGCAGTGAGCCGAGATCGCTCCATTGCCCTCTAGCCTGGGCAACAAGAGCAAAACTCCGTCTCAAAAAAAAAAAAAAAAACCGGTGGTGGGGTGGGACCCCCAGAAGGAGGTAAAGGTGGAGACAAGGATACTGTCCCTGGTCCCGCCAGTCCCCACCTTGCCCGACTGGAGGGAGCACAGGCTCTGAGTGTGGGTGAGGGAAGCCACCACGTGCTAACAGCACACAAACACCTGGGTCCCTCTTGGGGCAGCAGGATGTCCCTGTGTGTGTGCACACGGGAGCCGAGCTCATGTTTACAGAAAGAAAGGAAGAAAAGCACCAGAGAAACCACAGTATTGGGCCTCTCCCTGAGGGGCTGACCAACCCCTCACACCTACAGCTGCCAGGGACCCAGGAAGACCCCACAGGCACCAGCACGTGGCCTGGACCTGCTGCCTAGTGGCCCTGCACAGGTCCTCAGGGCTGCAGGCTACTGGGAGGGAGGAGGCTCCGAACCACCCCACACTACCCCCCACTGAAGGCCTAAGGATGCCACACATCTGCCGGAATCAGGGGGTTAGCCTGGGCTACGCTCAGGGGTCACAGCCCAGGCTAGAATGGGGTTAGGGGTCCAGGGAGAGGCTGGACCAGGGTCTTGCCACACATCCCACTTGTCTCTGCAGCCTAGGGCCCCTACCCCTGCCCCAGGTGAGAGCAAAGCAATGATGCCCTGGCACCACTATGTGGCTCTGCCCTGCCTGGTGGCTGTCCCCCAAGGGAGAAAACCCCTCCATAACCACACGCCCCCAGTGAGGTCACCAGGTAGGGCCCTGAGAGCAAGGGTTAAGGATCCCCAGGGATGGGCACTGAGAACTCCCTGAAGCCAAAGCCTCAGGCTTCCCATCTGCGAAATGGGGACAGGTTGCCCCTGCCTCCATGTGTCCTGAGTCGCTACCACCCCCACCAGGCCCGCGGCCCACAGCACGGGGACCCACTGGCAGCCGTGGCCCCTCTTTCCCTCCTGCTACCTCCTTCCCTCCTGCTACCAAGCCCTGCAGAACCCTTCCCAAGATCTGGCTCAGCCTCCTCGGGCCAGCAGGCCCAGAGCCCTCAGCTATTTCTCAAGACCCTTTAAGGGAGAGTCCATCCTTGTCCCTGTTTGCGAGATGAGGAAACAAGCCAGGGAGAGGGGAGAACATTCTCCACCAGGGCCACACCAGGCGTCCAGTTAACTGGGTTCTCTCTGGCTCAAATCTAGGAGGCAGGAACAACACGCAGCGCCCTGCACAGAAGAGGAAATCGAGGTTCAGGGAGGCTACCGCCCTCCTTCCCGATGGCACAGCAGCTTAAGAAGTTTGAATCCAGCCCCCGCTTCAGACAGGGCGCCCCCTGTGATTTTGGGGGAGGAGGCTGGAGGCCCGGGGCTCAGCGGGTCTCAGGAGAAGTAAGCTGCGCCGCGGTCAGGGCTGAGGCGGGCGCTCTGGGGAGTCCCGGGGAACCAGTCGCGGGTGGGGTCGTGGTAAGGGGCGCGGCCCCCTCCCTGGGTGCCAGCGGGGCTCCCGCCCAGCCCTCCGGAGGGCGCCACCTCCTCCCCGGCGGGGCTGGGGTCCCGGAAGGCCTGGGTCCGCCGCGTCCCCACCTGCCAGGCTCACCCGCGCCGCAGGCGTCCCACCGCCTCCATACGCGCCGGCCTGGCGGTGCCCACGGTGCTGGCCCTGGGTCGGGGCGCCGCCCCTCCGCCGCGGAGCCGGCTCCAGGCGCTGCCGCCACCGCCGCCTGCGGCTATTTATAGCGCCCGGGCGTCACGTGGGGGGCGTGACCGGCGGGCGACCCGGCTGCCGGGGGCTCCCACACCTGCCGCCTAAATATAGCCGCGCCCTGCCCGGGAAACAAAGGGGCCGCGCAGGGCGGGCGCGGGGAAGAGGAAGCCCAGCCAGGAAAGGGAAGTGCGGGGCGCGGCGAGGGCCGGGGGCGCTGCCGCCCGGGACCCCTCCTTCCTCCCGCCGGCCGGCCCGGCGCCCTCTCCCGGTGCGCGCCCTCCCTAGAACCTCGGAGCTCCCCCTGGCCCCCTCATGGGGCTGCACGGGCCTGTGGGCTGGGGGTCCGGAGGGCAGGAGCCGCCGGGCCGCGCTCCTGGTGGGGAGGCCTGGACAGAGCGCGCCCAGCTTTGGAAATGGAAATGCGGCCCCGCCGTGCAGGTGCTGTCCTGCACCCTGAGGAGGAGGGCGCCCGAGTCCCTCCAGTTCAGACCCCCTGCCCAGCCCACCAGCCCCACCGCCCGGGCACTCCTCCATGAATTTACTCAGCACCCACCGTGCCAGACACTGCTGTCCCCTCACTTAATCCTCACGACCCCGCTGTGGCTGGCTACGCTGGTCTCTCCTAGCGTACTGGTGAGGAAACTGAGGCACTGCAACGAGGAACACCCTGAGGTAACACCGGCAGGCAGGATTCAGCCAGGCGGCGGGCTCCACAAACTCTGAGGCTCGGCACTGATGCCCCCTCTTCCAGGAAGCCCTCCCAGACCCTCTCAAGCAAACGCCTCCCTGCGACTCCTGGCTCTGCCTCCTGGGAGCATTGTGCCGGGAACTCATGTGCTCCCCAGACTATGAACCCCAGGGATGCAGCTGGCATCACCACCCACTCTGTGCCCGCCCTGGCCACCCAGGGCCCTCAGAGCAGGGTGGAGCGGCAAGGGTGGTACCCCCAGCACAGGGTCCCTGGAGGTGTGGCCCTGCTTGCAGCTCTCAAACAACCTGGTCCCTGCAATCTGAGGTCATCAAGGGGCCCAGCTGAGAGCACGACCCCCCCTCCCCCTGCCAGGCTCTCCCCACCCACACTTCCAGAAAACATCACCATCAGCCTGGCCCAGCTGTGCCGGCAACCCTCGCCTCCTCCCACCTCCAGGTGGGCAAGCAGGCTGGGGAGCAGAGGACAGGAGGGCTGTGCCCAGTCTGAAGGGCCCCATGGGAGCCTCCACCCAAGGGCACACCAAGCCAGGTAGCCCTGCCTGCCAGCTCATGGACCCCCAAGGGTGTGAGCTCCCTGGCAAGGGCACCCACCCACGTGGGTGCACCCAGCTCCACAGGGAGACGCTAGGCTCTGACTCCTGCCCAGTGCTCTCAGCTCACCACTTCCAGCAGCGTCTCCCTGAAGGTTGAAGGCAAGAATGGGTCAGCTTCAGGGACTCTGCCCCACCAATCTCCAACCTCAGCCACTTTCTAAGGATACCAGGCTAGACACTGCATTCCACAAGCAAGACACACACCTGCCACACTGCACTGACAAACCATAACAGCACAGAGAAGCTGAGCAACCCTTCTGAGTCACACAGCCAGAAGGCAGAAAAACCACATTTGGAGCTGGGTCTTGCTGCCCCCGAGACCCTGCTTATCCCCACCCTAGCCCTCTGGGAGAGAGGACCTCTGGGGTAAGCTGCTCCTGCCCCCCAGCCTCAGTTTTCTTATCCATAAAAGGGGTCTCAGAGTGAAAGTTCCCATCAAGCTCTGTGATGCTACAACCAGACAGAGCCCGTCGCCTCTGGCGCTACAAAAGTGGACCCCAGCATCCTCATCACCCCCACCCGGGCTCCACCCCCTTGCCTGGGGCCCTCTGGCCGGGCCTGGGAGGCACCTGCTGCAGCTGGCACAGCCCCAGGCCTTTCGGAGAAGTCTATTTATAACCAGGCAGGAGCCGTTCCTGGAATCCTCCCAGAGCGGGCCCAAGTCCGCCCATTGCTAGGGGGGCCAGGAGGGGAGACCCAAGCAGGCCAAGCCCACGCTTGATGCACTAGGACGCCTTCCCGGAGTCCTCCAGGCCCCTGCACTCGGCAGCTCCAAGGGCCCAGCCTCCTCACTGCCACATCCCCCCATGCCATCCCATCCCCTCTCCCCACCCCACCCCACACCCTCTCCCCACCCCACCCCACACCCTCTCCCCACCCCACCCCACCCCAGTCCCCACCCCACCCCATCCCCTCTCCCCGCCACGCCCCCTACCCTTCACCACCCCTGCCCCCTGCCCCCCCGCCCCGCCCCCTGCCCCCCGCCCTCCGCGCACGTCAAAAGGGCCCACCCGGAGTCATGTGGGAGGCGGGGGCGCGGGGCTGGGCACTCCCCCGAAGGATCCCGGAACGCTCCGGCTGGGGCCTCGAATAGGGACCGGGGCCGCAGGGTCCCAGGGCTGCGGCGGGCACCCTGGTCCCGGCCAGAGGGCAGGAGGGTCCCTCCAGCGCTGGCCTGGGCTCTGGGGCCCACGGGGGACAGGGCGGTCCCTAGGGCCCTGTAACAGCGGGAGCGAGCGGGAGGGGGCGGGAGGGGGATGGCGCACGGAGACCCAGGCCCTGTAGTTGGGGTGGGGAAAGACTGGGGGCTGTCCAGGGCTCCGGCCTGTCTCCCCACTGCCTGCTGCAGGCTGGGAAGAGGGTCCCAGGGCCCGTTCCTTGCCGCGCTGGAGGGAGCCTCACTGCATCCCCACCACTTCCACCTGCCCACACAGAAGGGCCCGGACCCTGCAGCCTGCCCCGGCTTCACTCCCAGGTGGCAGCCCTGGGCTCAGCAGGCCCTCACTTCATCCTGTTGTCCCCATTTCCTCCAGGAGGAAGTGCAGGGAGACAGGGGAGGCGACTCAGTGGACCCCACCCAGGCCCCCCGCCACCCACACCCAACCCCCACCCCATATACACAACTTCTAACATAGTTCCTTCCGCAGGAAGTGGGAACTCCACCAGTGGAGGAGGGGCTGTTCCTGCAGTCCAGGGCCCGGGTCACTTGCCCCTCCCCCATCAGGATGCTGCCCTAGGCCTGGTGATATCAGGAGGGGGCGGAGCCCTCGTACCTCACCCTGGAAAGGATGAGGGGGCGTCTCTCAGGCCAGCCCAGCCCCCAGGACTCTACCTCCTGGGGCAGAGAGCGGTCACTAAGAAGTCCACCCTTATCCCTGCTCCCCCCAGCCACCAAGACAGCTGCGCCATAACTCACCACCCCCTGCCTAGGCACCCGATCCACCTGTGCCAGTCTGGGGCTGCCCAACAGTCCCTACCCCCCCCCCAGTCCAGGGCTCTTCCCAAGCTCAGTGCCCGCATTCTCCTCAGCCACCTGCCCGAACCTCTCCTGCTCCTCAAGACCCCGGCCAGGTGCAGAGACTCACACACCTGCCACCAGGCTGCTGCTCCCACGTGCCCTCTGTCTGGCTGCCCTTCTCTCTCCCTACCGGGCCACCTCTTCCAGCCTCCCAGTGAGTGAACCTCCCCTGCCCCAGCCACCTTCCACCACTACAGTCCCAGAAGCCAGGTCTACCCACCAGGCTGGGCCCCCAGACCCTAGGGCCACACTCGGCCCCTTTTGATCTCCCCATGGGAGGATACAAATCTCAGGGGATTATTGTACACAAATGGCCTAATGTCCAGCGAGTGGACAGGACAGCTCCACAATGGCAGGCCAAGTCGGTGGCTCAGACAGGACTCCCAGTCCAGTGCTCATGCCTTACCTCCCAGGATGACTGAGAAGCCAGTGTGGAAACCGCCCAATGGGAAGCTCTGGCAAGCACACACACTGACCTGCATACACAGAGATGTGTGCTCACGTGCACACACACACACACACACACACGCCACAGAAACAGATGACCAGATCAGATGCCTGTGCCGGGAAGATGGGGACCCCATTGCCCCGCAGCAGTCCAGCCCCACGACGCCCACCAGAGCCTCCAGGGACACCGTGAGCCCGAATCCTCCATGTCCTCCTGTCCACACAGCATCTTTACACCAAGAGCCCTGAATCCTCCATGTCCTCCTGTCCATACCGCATCTTTCATCTTGCCTGGAAGGCCTCTGCCCAGGCTGGAAGGAGGATGGCACAGCCACACCAGCTGTGGACCAGTCACTGCCCTCCCTGCGGCAACCCTGACCCATCTTGGAACAGACACAGCTGGACTCCTGAGTGTTTCCAAAGCCATGGCGTCTGTAACATGCAGGTTCCCAGGCCACACCCAGACCAGGTGCCCCACTCACATGCGCACACGTGGCCCCACCTTGCCCTGGGCAGGAGGGAGCCGTGTTCTGACGGCCCTAACCCTCCCTGCCCCCAGCCTCCCACCCCAGAGCTCTGTTATAACACACCTGCCAGCAGCAGCTTCCGTTAAGAGCCAGTCGCTCTGGAGTACGGGGTGTTGGGTCGGAAATTGTGCGGCTCCAGGATTCCAGACAGGAGGAAGCCCACATGAAGCCTGCCCTGGCCCTGGCATTAGGCCTGCATGCCCACGGTCCTGCTGCCTTCCTCCTGGGCCCCATTTAGCCAGTGCCATGCCACCCACATCCAAGGCCCCTGAAGGCCAGTACCCAGAAGTGGGCATGGTGTCCCGGAGGGCATGGAGTTTCATTCGGAGCTCACAGCCTCTGAGAAGGAGCCTCTCCCCGCCCCAGTCCCTGAGGCCCTGCCAAGAATGCAGAGGCCCCCAGCAGGCCCAGAGGAGGCCCCTGATCTGGCCTCCCGGAGAGTTCAGGGCCTCCCTGGCACACCAGGCACAGCCCCTACCCCTTCTGTGCCACACACCAGTGGACCCTCAGCAGACACAGCTGACTCCAGGGCAGGAACCGACCCCCAAGCTCTCCAAGGGTCCGCATGGCCTGATGGTCCCTCCTGCTGGCCGGAGGAGGCTGCCCAGGAAGGTCCTCACCCACCAGCATCAGCCAGAGGCCCCAAAGTGGTCCACAACAGGGGAAGGGCATGAGGCCAGCCCTGAGCCCACTGGGCCTGGCTAAGCCTCCACCCCAGGTGCCCCCTGGGAACTGCAAAACCGTCCCGTGCATGCTGTGTGCCTCTGGGCCCCTCTCCTGAGCTCCCAGACCTTGTTAGTCACCCACACAACATGAGAATTATGAACCCATCACCAGATGAGAATACACAGGAACTGCCCCTGGCAGTGCCCACAGAGTTGTCACAGAGGCTGAGAGGGCAGGGTGGGCAGTGGGCGAGCTCGCTGTGGGAGGGCTCAAGCTAAGCCTGCTCTGCAGAAAGGATCCAGAGTTTGGCTGAATTCCATGTGCCTGCCTGGATGGAGCCAGGCCTTGGGCCCACAGGGCCTCTCCACGGAGAAGAGGCCATGGCTCCTCCTCGGGACCCCTGGACCATCCAGGGGACAGGGCCCTGAGGGCCATGAGCATGCAGCCAGCACTAGGCAGGCAGGCAGCCCCTGCTTGCTGTTCCTGGCATGCCTGACCCCAAACCCAGGAGCAGACTCACACCCCACCCAGCACCTTCACGGGAACAGGAGTTCTGCCCTCTAGCAGGGGAGCCAATCCCTCACGCCCACCCAGCCACCCATGCTCACTTGGGAGGTGGGGAGCTGGGCCGGCCTGTTCCTCCACAGTGGGACCCTGTCAGCAGGGTGTCCAGGAAGCTTGTGGTCCCTGAGGGTGGCTGGACCTTGGGGCCACTTCCACCATACCCAGACGCCCTGGACAGGGCAGCAGGCATGTACACCTCTGCTGTGTCACAGAAAAGGAAGAGCCCACGCTTAGCCACTGCCCAGCGCAGCACCCCCATATACCCATGACGCCCCTCCCTGAACCCAGTGTCCAGTCCCATGGAAGGCGGAGAAGGCCCAAGAACCCCTCTGTGTAGTGGCCTCGCGTGGTGCCCTCAGCACAGGCAATGCCCATGTCCATCCTCAGAGCAGTCCTGGAAGGCGCCCATCACCCCATTTTGTGGATGAGTAAACCGAGGCTCAGGCTGTGCAGTCAGCGAGAGCTCTGAGAGGCTGAGACAGGATTCAGGGCCTACCCAGGGTGGGCACTTTCTCTGCATTTTCTTCTTAAAACAGCCAAGCCCTACACTCCATGTCAGCCCCAGCAGGCGCGGTCACCCTGTGCTCAGTCCCTGGGATCCCTTCCTCTGTGCCACCCAGGGCCCGTGGGGTCGGGGACAGGAAGGGGGATCGAGATCATGGAGCTAGCCAGGGCCACTGGCCGAGGCTCTAGTGGACGCACGTCAGAGGGGCCTGAGGAACCGCGGGAAAGAGCTCTGACCTGGCCTCGGGAGGCCACGTCCAAAATAGCCAGCCCTGCACGGTGAGGGGACTCAGCCGGCATGCACGTAGGCCTCTTGGCCCCAAGCGCTGCCAAGCTGGCTGCGGAAGGTCACAGCTATTTCTGGGCTGGCCCGATGGTGAGACGCAGCCTGGCACCCCCAGAGCCAGTGCACACGGCGCCACTGAGGCCCAGGGGGATAGGGCTACCCCCAGGACACATGGTGGAGGGGCTGGAGGGGCCCGCAGGTTCCCCATGGTGCCTAGATCCTACTGGGGGGACCAGTGCTGATGGCCTTTCCTCTCTGAGCCAGCTCCCTCCCAAAAAGCACGTGCAGTGCTATGAGTGGATTGGTTTCATAGTCACATCACTGGCTTTTACAGGCCACCACCATATGCCAAGCCTTGTGCTGGGCACTTGGGTTGACAAAGAACCAGACCTCGTCCCTGAAACAATCAAGAGGGGGCAGAAAAAGCGGGGCTCGGCCACTGTCTTCAGCTCCTGTGACCCTGGCATACAGGAGGAGGGTGGTTTGTGGCAGGGAGGCTGCTAGGCACACACAGGTCCACCCCATGCACACAGAGGTGCCCCACGCCTTGCCAGCCCACAACGCCAGTGCTGCCAGCACTGACTCAGGCTCCATCTACCCTGGGTCTTGGCCTTCCCCATCTGACAAATGGGGAACCTGAGGCTCAGAGAGGGTGCGAGACTCAGCCAGTGACCCCGGCTCAAAGCTCAGCTCAAAGCCAAGGCAGGTGGGTTCTCTGGGGTCCAGGGGAGGGGACAGCTCCTTTCCACCCGCAAGGCCTGGCCATTGCTCAGCCCATGGCCACTGTCCTCACACAGGGCTGTGTGACCTGGTTCCCCTCCTGGCTCCCCATTGTGAGCTGTGTGATGGGTACATCCCTCAACCTCGCTGTGCCTCAGTGTGCTCATCTGTAGGATGGGTTCGCTGGAAGGCTGTCCTCTGTGCCTCAGTGTGCTCGTCTGTAGGATGGGTTCGCTGGAAGGCTGTCCTTCATGGACCTGCCCTTGGTTTTCTCCTGGGATCTGAGGGACATTATTACCCTTTCCAAGAGGCCTCGCTTGAGTCCCTGGAACACTGGCACTTTGCCAGGTACCCACAGGGGCTGTGAGGACACCGAGCGCCCCAAGAAGACCACAGTTCCCAGCAGGTGCCTCAGAACCCTCAGGGGAGCCTGCGTGGATGGGGCTTCTTCCCCGCAGGGCTTCTTAAAGCCCCTGTTCCTCCACAGATGTGGGGACCTCAGAGCCAGGCAGGTGGCCAGCAGGGCATTTCTGGAATGTTTTTGAAACCAGGCACTAGCAACAATGGTGCCTCACCGAACCCCACCTTGGCAACTCCAGATTGGGCCAGCCCCACTCCCCCAGTCTGGCTGGGAGCCTGGGGGCCGGGGCCTCCCGACTCCTGCCCGTCTGTGTGGCTGTGGGCACTTCTGTGATCCTGGGGCCTCATCCATGACACAGAACCTCAGACAGCCCAGGCCATGGCATGAGGGGGTGGCAGGCAGGCCATGTGGGCTGTGACCGCGGTGACCGTCCGCAGCAGGGGCTGGGCAGAGCCAGGCCTGGTCACCTCCCCGACCCAGGCTGTATGTCCCCATGTTCGTCACAGCCGTGGTGACAGTGGCTTGAGGGTAGCAAGTTTAGCTCCCGGCTGCAGGCATTGGCTGCCATGACAACAGCCAAGGCCAGACTGGATGCCCAGCCCAGGTGGGTGGCAGGCAGGCACTGCCCCAGGGAGTGGGCCCCCGCAGGCACCGCTGGGCACCCAGCCACGGCCCCTCGCCAGCGCAAGCAGGGCAGGAGGGGGCCTGGGTCACATGGTGCATCCTGGGAGCTGGGCACGCTGGGCAGCCTGCACTGCCCGCTTTGAGCACCTGCCCAGCTCCCAGGAGAGAAGGAGGGGAACCATCAGAACCAGCGGACCTAAGGGAGACCTGCTCTCCCAGGCATCTGAAGGCTCAGCAGGCAGGTGGGGAACACACCAGGGAGGGGCCAGAAATCCACAGGCGCTTTCCAGAGGACCTCAGCTCAGAACACATCCTGCCAGCCTAGGGGCTATGTGGAGCCCTCTGCCATCTTATGCCCTGCCTGCACAGCCCCTCAGGGGCTCTGGGCATCGCCGTGGTGCCCAGAAGGGGTGGGCAGGAGGTCGGGCCACAATCACCAGGCCTGCAGGCAGACTGGGTGCCGGGTCCACAGATGGAGGCTCCCATCCCTCCCATCCCCCTGCCCCACCAGGAGCTGCCACCAAATAGCCCTGGACCTGAAGGGTGGATCTGGGGATGGAGGGAGCTCACAGGAGCTGATCCCTACCCCGCCAGCTCCAGGGCTCAGAGACAGCCCCGGGCCAGGAACTTTGCCCTGTCTGGCAGTGCTGTGGCCAGGCCATTCACACGGGCCTGTTGGATGCTGCAGCTCCCAGGCCTCCCCTAGCAGGGCCCAGGGAGGACTCGGGAAAGGCAGCGGTGGGTCAGCACCTTGGGGACTGAGAGGCCCTCAGGCCACACTGCCTTCATGTTGGGGCCAGGGATCCCCAGGGAACCATGCAGACTGGAACCCCACCCTCCAGAATCAAATGCCCCACCAGTCCACCCAGATGAGCAAAGAAAACAGGTTATACACATCAGGGCGTGGTGACACTACACGGCAGCGTGGGTACCTCACAACCTTGTCTGTGCCTTCACTCAACTCCCCAGTGGCAAGGCACTCTGTGAGGGCCGGGGAAGGGCCTTCTCACTCTAGTCTCTAGCGCACACCAAGCTCCTGCCCTGCCCTGAGCCCTGGGTGGGTGCCAGCATCCCTCTGTTCCCCAGCAGCTGGTGACGTCCCCACAGCACTGGGAACCCGGGGGCAGGGCAACGACACTTTCACCCTATTTTACGGACTTCTGAGAGCTGCTCAGGACAGAGTCTGTGTAGGCGGGGGTGCTATCCTAATTTATTTTTTGAGATAAAATTCATAACACATGAAATCCACCATTTTAGTCTTTTTTTTTTTTTTCAGACAGAGTCTCGCTCTGTTACCCAGGCTGGAGTGCAGTGGCACGACCTCAGCTCACTGCAACCTCCGCCCCCGGGTTCAAGCAATTCTCCTGCCTCAGCCTCCCAAGTAGCTGGAATTACGGGCGCCCATGACCACAACCGGCTAATTTTTGTATTTTTAGTAGAGACAGGGTTTCGCCATGTTGGCCAGGCTGGTCCCAAACTCCTGACCTCAGGTGATCCGCCCACCTTGGCCTCCCAAAGTGCTGGGATTACAGGCGTGAGCCACCAGGCCCAGTCATTTTAGCCATCTTAAAGTGTAACCTTCAGTGTTTTTAATATATTCACAGTGCTGTGTAATCATCACCACTAATTCCAGAACACTTCCATCGCCCCCTCCCACCAGCAGTCACTCCACCCCTCCTCCCCCAGCCCCTGGCAACCACAAGTCTGCTTTCTGTCTCTGTGGACTTGCCTGTTCAGGACATTTGCTGTGAATGGCCTCACACACCACGTGGCCCTCTGCGCCTGGTTCCTTTCGCTTCTCCTGGCGTCGTAAAGGCTCAGCCACGGCGCAGCCTGAGTCTGTGCCCGCTCCACCTGTTGGCCGCCTATATTCTACTGCAGGAGTGTGCAATCTTTTGGCTTCCCTGGGCCACGCTGGAAGAATTGTTTAGGACCACACATAAAATACACTAACGCTAATGATGGCTGATGAACAACAACAACAACAAAAAACCTCATGATGTTTTAAGAAAGTTTACAAATTTGGCCAGGCACGGTGGCTCACGCCTGTCATCTTACCACTTTGGGAGGCTGAGGCAGGTGGATCACTTGAGGTCAGGAGTTTGAAACCAGCCTGGCCAACATGGCAAAACCCCATCTCTACTAAAAATACAAAAATTAGCTGGGTGTGGTGGCGGGCACCTGTAATCCCATCTACTTGGGAGGCTGAAGCAGGAGAATCACTTAAACCCAGGAGGTGGAGGTTGCAGTGAGCCAAGATCCCACCACTGCACTCCAGCCTGGGCAACAGAGTGAGACTCCATCTCAAAAAAAAAAAAAAAATAGAAAGTTTATGAATGTGTGTTGGGCCACATTCAAAGCCGTCCTGGGCCGCGCTGCTGGCTGGGCAAGCTTGTTCTACTCTGTGGGCCTGCCACATTTCGTTTATCCTCAGCTGATGGACATTTGGGTCATTTCCAGCTCTGTCTGAATTTTACCCTCAGGGACTGAGCCAGGGGGCTGTGCAAGGTTGGGAAGAGGGCTACACCTTAACCATCACCCACAACTTCTGTTCTCCCAAGACCCCATTGGGTACGGGAGGTTGAGGTCCTACCAGATGCACCCTTACAGAAGCCCCAGCTTTGTGCCCACGTGTGTGAAGGAATGGAGAGGGCAGGAGAGGGACTGGAGGTGGGGAGGCCTGAGAGTCCAGGCCAGCATGTGGACTGTGGGGACACAGGGCAGGCAGGCAGAATCCACACCTTCTAGGTTCTGTCCGGGCTGTGCCAGGCTGCCAAGGGAGGATGCTGGGCAGGTCAGGGAGGAAGAGAGGTCCCAGTGGCCAGGGGAGTTGGGGAGGGACTCTCCAGGATCCCCAGCAGAGAGGGCAAAGGGTACCTCCCAAGGGCCTGACCTCCTCCCCTGGAGAGAATCCAGAAGGTGAAGGTGGCATCAGAGATGGGCCCTAGAGGACAGGAAAGATTTCTGAGCGCATTTTTGGAAGTTCAAAGCATAACCTGCATGACCTTGCACATACAGTGGGCACAGGGCAAAGACTTATTTAATTCGCTCAGTGGGAACAGCAGGAGGCAAAGCCGGCTCAGAGGAGGATTCAGGGCGAAGTGCCTACAGCCCTTGAGAGCTGGCAAGATGGATTAAGATGGAAAGAAGAGGCGGGCTGTCGGTGGCATGCAGGCAACACAGCCGTCACCACTCGCCATCTTCTGTGCCACACAGAATCCACTTGCACCTCTACCAAAACTGTAGTTCACGCAGGATGTCAATGAGTCTGGGCCCCGTTTGATCACAAACACTGGGGTCACATATCCCCAGAGTTGGCCTAATTGGTCCAACAGAGCAGAGTGGAAGAAGTGGGCATCCAGATGGGGGCGCGGCTTGAGCAAGGGCCAGAGGCAGGAGGGCAGGACTTCCCAGGGGGACACCCCAGGGAACTGCTCTCCGGAAAGGGCGGGCTCTGGGTGGCAGCAGAAAGAGGACGGCAGGACTTCCCAGGGGAAACCCCAGGGAACTGCTCCCCGGCTTCTCAGAAGTGCTTCAGGGCACGGACAGGCCTCCACAATCCCCAGTCCAGGCACATCACAGAATCAAGTGCAAGGTGAGGAAATGGAAAGTCCCCGGAATCCCCAGATGGGGCAGGAAGCAGCCGTGGGTGGCCGACAAGTGAAATGGTGACACCTGAGCCCAGATGCCTAAAGCCACCGCCCAGAGGGGCTACCGAGGGTCACCAAGAATCTGGGATACCCATCTGGCATCCTGGGTATCCCCACCACTGCCCCCACCAGTGTCCTCGACCTAAGTCAGATCATAGCCCCCTCCGCTCAAAGCCTCCAGTGGTGCCCGCGTCACTCAGGAAAGCCAAAAATCCTTATCGCCCTAAAGGCCCCACGCGAGCTGCTCCCTGCCCTCTGACCTCCTACCACTCCCCTCTCCTCATCTGCTGTAGCCTCACCTGCCTCCCAGCTGTTCCTGCAACTTGCCAAGCACAGTCCTGCCTCCGAGCCCTTGCACTGCCTGTGCTGGAGGCCAGGAGCATGCTCTGTCCCCACATCGTCCGGTGCTGGCCCCTTCTTACCACTCGGATCTCAGGTTCAGCATCCTCCTGTTCCTCCTGCTAGCCACCGAGACCTGTCCTCTGTCCCCCACACACAGTAGGGATCATCTGTCCCCCTTCTGGCAAAGCTTGTCAGCCTCTCTCCCCACGCAGGACAAGAGACCGGCCACAGCTCCACCCTCGGCTCCCTGGTTCTCAATGGGCACCGTACACAGCAGGTGCTGGCTCAGTGGATGTGTGAACATATTCGACTGTCCTGTGAGTGGGAGTAAGGCAGAGACAAGCATCCTCAGTGATGGATGAGGATGCTGAGGATGAAGAAAGGAAGACCCGCCCGCAGCCATTCCTTCTCACCCAAGCACTCCCAGCAACACAGTGACCAGGGCATCTGTGGGTGGACCCAAAGTCACTGCTTGGGTGGTCTTGGGGAAAACTGGCTCCGACCTCAGGGACCCGGAGGTTGGGGGGCCTGGAGGAAGGAGCGTCTGCTGGGTGTCTAGCCAAAATTGCCTGGGGAGCCCCCAAGGAAGACTGGACATGCCAAGCACCCAGAAAGAACTGGGGGCCACTTCTGCATGGGGCCCACAGGATCAGGAGCCAGGCATGCAAGGCCCAAGGGACCTGGGTCCCCACAGCCTCGCTGCTCCCTCACCAGGGGGCCAAAGCCCTAAACAGTCCCAGAGAGGTCCTGCTCATTCCTGGGTCAGCCCCTGCAGCCCTGTTCGTGACTTGTCTGTCCCTGTCATGGACTGTGGGCGGCAGACAGGGAGCGTTGACTGACCCATGCCAGGTCCCCAGGATCAGGCACAGGGTCAGGCCCAAAGCAGGTGTCAGTTAATGCCGTGGGATGAGGATTTCTGGCAGTTTAAATTACTTCTTGAACACTCCTGGCAATGTAGACAGTCAGTGCCCAATGAGTGCTGCCAGTTGGTGGTACTGGCAGCCTGAGTGCCAGGCGCTGCTCCATGCCCTTTATATGTAAAGGCTGTGTGGCCCCCACAGTGGAGACAGGTAGGTGCGGGAGGGAGCTCAGAGCTGGGACAAGCTGACTCAGAGCTGCCACTCCTACTTCCCCACGCACCCCATGGCTGCCTCCTCCTGGAGGCCCTCAGGGGGTCCTTGAGGATGGAGCCCCTGCCTCTGCAGAGATGCTCTGCCCCCAAGCCTCTGCTGACTCAGTACCACCTCCCAAGGACCCGTCCATTCTGTCCATCCAAATCCCACCTCCCTGGAGGCCCATTCACCAGCCCACACTTACTGGGCACCTACTGAATACCATGGCTATACTGTGGGTGCAAGAGAGCTCACGAGGAGAAAGGCTTAGTTCCTGGCATGACAGCAAACTTGGCAGAGCAATCAGGAGCTGGACTCATGGGGGCCAGAGACCCCAGGACCCCAGGACAGGGGGAGAGAGGCCCTCAGCTGCTGGGGGGCCCTGCCCCAATGGACCCTCCAATCCTATGAGAGTCCCCTATCCTTGATCCAGTTTCTACCCCAACCCCCTGAAAGGGGGAGAGGCGCAGAGGCCCCGAAGAGGGCCCACCTTGTCCTGCACCATCCGTCAAGTACAGCAGCTCCTCAAATAACACTGTTGCTTTCAACGTGGTTTTGTGATAACGCTGACGAGAAAAAAAAATCGCTTCCCTTTCAGGGCCATTGCGTGGCATGTGCACGAGCTCCCCAGGTCTGTGTGGGTTTTCTCCCTGTCCTCCGGCTCCCCCATACCCCAGTGCTGTGCACATCCGGTGAACAGGCGTGTCGCCGTGGCCCTGGCTGAGTGGGTGTGGCTGTGCATGGGAGTGTGCCCCGAGAGGGGATGGTGTCCTGAGCAGAGTCAGGTCCCACCTTGTGCCCAGAGCTGCTGAGACAGGCTCAGCCACTCATGACCCTGCACTGGAATTAGTGGGTTGGAAAATGAATGAATAAATGAATAAAAATTATTGCAAAATAAAAATTCGTCAAATAGACATAGTCAGACGAATGCGTGGCAATACAGGAAGCCGCCACGTTTGTGATCGTTTGATTTTGAAGTGCGTGGTGGCAGGAGGAGCTCCCGACCATGGTTGCCGTGAGATGTGTGTTCCGTTACCACTCACTGGCCCACGGAAAGCTGGGGAAGCAATTCTCTTCCCTGTTTAATTCACTTTTCTTACATGTATGTGTAGCTCACATTTACTTCAGTGTTTAATGTTAGAAGTGTTTGGGGTCTTCATTGGAAGCCTGGTGACGTTTTTGTGACCAGAAATACCTGGCAGGAACTTAACTCTTATCTATCTCTATCAACTTATGGGAACACTAGTGTCCTTAAACCAATTTTCACTTAAAACTGGCATCGTTTTGCTTAAAGCCGCAGCTTCCAAGAACTTATGGATGATGTGATGTGAGGACTTACTGTACACCATGCCCAGGAAAAAAGTCTGGGGTGCCCCTGTGGCCAGCCTGGGCCCAGCCAGGCCATCTCCCCAGGCTCGGGACTCTCAGACCAGAGCCTCCCCCAGAATCCCACAACATTCTCCCATCTCAGCAGCATCAGCAACACCAGGGAGGGCAGTGCCACGGCACACACGGTGCCCAGCCTCCTTGGCCCCGCGCGAGGCCGCTGCAGCCTTCCTCTGGGGCTGCGTGCTGGTTGCATGCCCTCTTTCACTTACTATCTTGAATGAGTCAGGAAGGAGAGGCTGATGGGGCTCATCCTGGGGTTGGCCCAGGGCTCTGCGTCTCTGACCTGGGGAGCTGGCTAACCCTAAGTCCCGTCACTCCCTCCGAATCAGAGGCACCCACACCCCAGGGCTGCTGGGAGGCTGGACGGAAGAACAGCGGCCCTGGTGCACACAGGAGGTGCTTGGGACCAGCCAGGGACCCTCCTGAGACATCTATTCCTGCTCTGGACCGGCCCGCTGGCCAGGCACCCAACAAACAAGCCCCCGGGCTGCCCGCAGGCACCTGGATCCGCCAAAGGCCCGGTTCTCACGCTCACTTCCTCTTCAGGGGAGGCTGGGGATGCTTGCCAGGCCCGAAACCCCAAGACACTCTCAGGGAGGGCTTTACTCAAGACGATCATGAGTAGGCACCTTCTAAAGGGATGAGAAAGCGGAAGCAGGGGGGAGGGGTGGGGGGAAAGTGAGGAAAAAGGGGAGCAGGAGGTATGGGGGAGGGGAAGAGGGGTAGCCAGAGGCGGAAGGGCCAATCCTCAGCCTCCCCATGTGGGCGGGGGCAGGGCTGCCTGCCCCCACTCCACCCAGCTCCCGAAGGCAGGAGGCCGGGACAGGCGCGAGGCCGCCAAGAACACAGGGCGCAAGGCCCCACGGAGGTCAAAGATCCCCCTAGGGCCAGGTAGTCCCTGCTGGCAGTGTCTGTGGGAAAGGCCCTGGGCCTAGCCAGCTACACTCAGGCCTGTCAGTGGGCACTGGGGCTGCCACAAATGCCGGGGCAGCTGGACCCATCCTGTGGAGTGGAAACCCAGGCCCCTGAGCCCACTCCAGGAGGGTCCAGACCTACAGGGTTATCTGGGGGAGCCCTCCCTGAGCAGGGCGCCAGAGGGCTGGAGGAGGTGGTGGAGAGAGGGGTTCTGCAGGGCCACAAGTACCCCGACTGGTCCCATCCATGCCTTCAGCCCCTGCCAGCTGTGCCTGCCCACCTCTCCCTTCACCTGCTCCACCCACACCTTGCAGCCTCAGACCCGTCACCCAGGGCGGCCTCCAATGTTTCTAGAGGCTGCACCCTCTGCTGGCACCCCTCTCCCCAACTCCCTTCTCCTGGACACCCCAGCTGCTGCCCAGGTCTCCTCCTCCAGCCCCGACCCAGGGTGGCTTGTGTGATATCAGGGGAGGTGTGGGATCCCGGGAGCTGGAGGAATGGCCCTGGCATCACGGGGCCCCCCTGGGCTGAAGCTGGAGTGGCCTCGTCCATGCCTTGAGACTGTGAGCTTCATGGGACTGGGCCCTGCTGGGGCCACAGCGGGGGAGGGGTAGGTGACTGTGTGGATGGACAGATGGATGCGCTCGGTAAATGGTTCTGTCCATGCTCCGGCCCACGTGCTCCAGTGCCTTGGAGCCCCGCTCCACCTGCTGTTCTCTGAGCTCCCTGCCCCCGCATGCTATCCTGGGACTCCACAGCACAGACCTCTGAGCCGATGGCTGTCCTCACAGGCCCGGGGCCCCTCGGGACGGCCCTTCCGGTGACTTCCTGCCAGGGAGGCCAGGGGGAGGGGTAAACAAGGCCTCCAGATGGCTTCCTGTGGCTGGGCAGCCGTGGGAACAGCCCGGCCCAGGGAGGCTACCAAAGGAGGGGAGGGTGGGAGCAGGGGCCAGCCAGCAGCATCCGTCAGCAGAGCATCTGCTGAGATGGACCCGCTGCCCTCTCGGAGCCTCCGACATGGCCGGGGGGACGTCACACCCTGTTTACAGAGGGGGACACTGAAGCACAGGCAGGCAAGTTACCCCAGGGCCAGCCCACCAAACCCAGTGCCCTCCCCTCCACACCAGAGACTCCCGTCTCTCTGGCCTCATCTGCAAAGGAGCAGATGAGCTGGCTGGCTAGAGGTCACCTCAACGACAGGACGTGCAGATGTGCAGGTGCCAGCTTGTCTGTCTTCCATCCCAGCACTGCCACTCCCCAACTGTGCTACCTAGCAGAGTGCCAGCCTCAGACACCAGCTTCCCTCCCTGGGAAACAGGACGACCATGGCAGCTGCCACCAGGGGACCCTGAGGTTTAAGGATGTGCCCTGGGTGAGCTCCGGCTGCTGGCCCAGAAGAGGCTCGCGACGGTGCCATTAAGAGTGATGCCGTTCCGTCAGGTCCTGGGTCCCCAGGAGGAGCCTGTCCTCACCCGGCTTGCCCCTTCCTGGTGCCTCGTGCATGACTCCCTCCGTACTGTGATGCCATCTCCTCCCAAAAGCCCACCCTGACTACCTGCTTCCTGCCCCACCACGACCTCTAAGTCTTGGGGACACATGCTCCAGGGAGGGAACTGCCATCTCCTACAAGTCCTACTCACCCATGGGATTTCTCTGGGGTCAGGACCGCCCCTCTCTGCCTACTGCCATCCCCACGGGGCCAGTGTGGACCCGGGCAGCCCCCCAAGAGTTATGGGGAGGCAGGAGCTACACAGCAGCCAGGATAGGGATGAAGGGGCTGGCAGACACACAGCCGGGCACCAACAACCCTCCCATCTGACCCAGGGTTCTGCCAGCGGGCCAAGAAAGACTCACCCCGGTGCCGAGACGCACATCCTGGCTGTCCATGGCCTCACTTAGGAGAGCCCATCATGGGGGTGGGGGGATGGCTGGTTAATAAACAAGCATCTGACCAGACCCAGAGACCAGGGTCCAAGGGTGCCATCGGGAGAGGACCCCAGTCAACACCCAGGGAAATTTCAAGTGACACTGTAAAACAGCACCCGAGGCCGGCACGGTTCTTGTGAAATGAAGCAGAAGCCCAGAGCTACTGCAGCCGTGTATTTCCCAGGCTGTTTGAATTTTTATAATGAACATCACCAAATGTGTGTCTAAAACAATAACCACGTTTGCGCCTGGCACAGTGGTGGGCCGGGCACAGATGTGGGCCGGGCACAGTGGTGGGCAAGGTGCAGAGGCGGGCCAGGCGCAGAGGTGGGCCAGGCGCAGAGGCAGGCCAGGCACAGTGGTGGGCCGGGCGCAGTGGCTCACACTGTAATCCCAGCACTTTGGGAGGCTGGGGCAGGAGGATCACTTGAGTCCAGGAGAAGCAGCCCGGCTAACATGGTGAAATGCCATCTCTACAAAAAATAGCTGGGCATAGTGGCGCATGCCTGTGGTCCCAGCTACTCAGGAGGCTGAGTCAGGAGAATCGCTTGTGCCTGGGAAGCGGAGGTTTGCAGTGAGCTGAGATCGTGCCACTGTATTCCAGCCTGGACAACAGGGTGAGACTCCGTCTCAAAAAAGAGAAAACAATAACTACATGTTTGAAGCGTTGTTCAAATGTCGCCTCTCCCCCATGTGAGCTCCTTGTGGGTCCCGCAGTGCTGCCATTGCACGTCCCCAGCCTGCCCCAAGAACACAACCTGGCAGGTAGGGAAACTGAGGCACCCATGGACAGCCCTCCCCCAGGTCACAGGCCTGGAAGAGAGTAAAGGGCATGCCACCAGGACCCCGTCCATCCATTGCAGTCACCGACTCAGAAGCAAGCAGCCTGGCTCAGGTGGCTGGAGCTCAGCTGCCAGGCCTTTGTCCTGATCCCACCCATCTGCTGTGGGGGCCGGGGTCTCCCCCAGGCTCCCCATTCTCCAGACACAAAAACGGAGGCCCAGAAAGGGCAGGAGCAGGGAGAGTCGGCAGAGCCAGGGCCAGGCCTTGTAGCTCCCCAGGGCCATGCGGAGGGGACAGGGAGGCCACCGAGGGGAGGGGCAGCCGGGAGCCCCGGGCACCCCCAGGGACCCCCTGAGCTCCACACGGCAATTCCCAGCAGATGGGCCTCTGGGCAGCTGGCCAGAGGGAAGCAAAGCCCGGGAGGAAGGGCCTCTGCGGCTGACCCAGGACGGGGAGATTAAAGGAGAAGATGTTTGCCTTGGCAGGGGCCCCAGGACCAGGCGAGCCAGAGGAGGGGGCCAGCGTTCCAGGCATCAGTAGAAGATGCCAGAGTGGGGGTGCCAGGAGTAAGAGGCACCGGCTCTAGGGGCAAGGGCGGAGTGGATGAGCAGGTAAAGCACACCGTGTGCCACAGGAGGGGTGGTGACAGGGACCTGAGGCAGGCGGGCAGAAACCCTGGGTGGGGTGGCGGGGAATCCTCCGAGCCCTCCCGAGCCTCTTCCAGGAAGCCTGAGTCACAGGAGGGACCCAGGGCCAGGAGAGCAGCCGGGAGCACCGGTCCCGTGGGAAGGGGACTGAGATGGGGACAGGGACAGGGCAGGGCCACCCGTCACCTCCTCTAGCTGGGCCAGGCCTGGCTTCGAGGTCTCCGTGGCGGGTGAGGACGAGGCCGTGGGAACAGGCTCCTGCAGCTCCCCAGAGGGACTAGGGGGTGGTAGAGCTAGACAGAGTGGGTCCAGCCCATCCTGCAGAAGGGGAAACTGAGGTCCAAGAGAAAAGCCTCCTGGACAATGACGTCATCAACTGAAGTGTCCCCTGGGCAGCCCAGGCCTGGACACTGGGGAGAACAAGGCAAGAGTCTCCCCAGCCAGGCCCTGAGCACCCTCATCCGGGGGTCTTCAGGTTCCAGAGTCCAGTTCTAGCACATCCACCCTCAGCCATGGACCCGAGACCCTCCAACTCCCAGGGTTAGAGACTTCCTCTTGATGCCCTATTTCCAGGACCCCACCCCAGGGAAATCTGATCCCCGCAGGCCCTGCTCCACCTCACCACCTCACTCTAGAACATTCCCTGGTTCCTGCCACTCCATGCCCCAGGATGGGAGTCAGGGACTTGAACCCTAGTATGCTGAGTCTGGGGTGTTCCCAGACGCCCGTCTGCCCACATCAGCAACGCTGGCTCCTGCAGGGGTGCTGGAATCTCTGGGAGTTGGAGGCTGTGCCTCAAGCAGAACCAAGCAATCAGGGAGTGCTTCCCAACTTATAACCACTCAAATGGTCCAGCCTCTTATTGGCAAGTGCAGAGCAGAGACTCCAAGGGATGTTATGCCCACCTCTGAGGGTCACCTAGCAGGAGACCTGGGCCCCACTGGCCCACTCCACCCCTCATCCAGCAAATAAACCCTGAGCACTGGCTAGGCCAAGCCCTGGGCAGAAGGCACAGGGGCCCTCTTCTTGGCCATCCCAACACCACTGGGCCCTGACCACATCTTCCAGGGCCAAGGGCTCCAGCCTGGGCACCTCCAAGCAGGCCTCAGGCAGACGCCTCCCTCCCTGCTCCGCCTGCGCTGACTGTCCAGGGTCCTGCATCCAGGTCTCGGCCCGTCCAGGACTGAGCCACACACAGCGAGGCTCACACATGATAAAGGCAGGAGCCGGGCCGACCCTGGACAGAGAGCGGGCTAGTGGTGCCAAGCCCTCAGAACCAGGGGCAGCAGGAGGAGCAATGCCCAACTCAGGTCCAATTTCTGCAAAACATTTTGTTCAACTCCCTTCCAGCTCTGATGGGCAAAGATAACAGAATCTCTCTGAACTATCCAGAAAGATCACTGCCTTTTATGGACAAGAACACTGGTCCCAAAGAGGTCGAAACCAGGCTCCACAGCCACCGAGGCACTCAGGCCCCAAGGCAGGGTTCTCATGACCAATACCCGCCCCGCCACCTGCCTTGTGAGGGTCTGCAGGGGACGTGCACCCCACCTTCACCTCCTGACTCACTGGACTCCCAACTGAGGCCAGCGGGGAGCATGTGCCCAGCGTGGGGCAGCCAGGTGGCGGAGTTGTCATTGTTCTGTACTTGTGGTAGGAGCTGGGCATGGCAGAGGCCCTTCCCAGCAGGACTCCTGCCCTCTCCCACCCAACCCCAACCCAGGACAGGCCTTACAGGCAGAAGTTTCAGCCCACCCGGGGGCTCCATTCAGGTCACTGGGACCTCCTTCAGAGAGCCCCCCACTGCCTGGAGCCTGTGTGACCTCATGAAGTGACAGAGCATCAGCCTCTCATTGTACAATGGGCAGGCAGCCTGTCCTGTTGTCACAGGGACCCACCAGGATGAGGTTGGCACAGCCCTGCACACCCTGGCAGCCACCTTCCCCGAGCCCCGGCTTCCCTGCGTGTAACACAGCTCTCACTCCGGCTCCAGGAGCCGCTCTGGCCCTGAGGAGGTGGCTAGAGCCAAATTCAACACAGATCAACCTGTGTTCATCCCCCTAGCCCTCTGGGGTCTTCCAGCCTGGCTTCCTCCCTGGCCGGGAAAACAGCAAGGGAGGAGAGGCTGTGGGCTCCAGGCCCCCAGCCAGCCCGGCTACCCTCCCACAGGAGTACCTGGCTCAAGGGCAGGTCCCAGAGAGCACAGCCCAGGCTGTTTCCTTCCCTGGATCGTTCATCCACTGTGTCTGGAACCCCAGCGGGCTCAGTGCACTCAGGACCCGCACGTCAGCTTGTCGGCTCCACACATGCAGCCCCTCGGGTTATGCGTGGTCTTGTCCCACGTGAGAAGGGAACACTGAGACTCAGAAGGTGACATGACCAAGCTGGCGTGGCCAAGCTAGCCCTTCCCGAGGCCACCGTCTCCCCACCCTGTAGCCCCCATCCCCACCTCATCTCTTCCTGGCCAAATCATCAGCGGTGCCCTTTGTCCCCCGTGTGCCTGTGGTGCAGCTGCTCCACTTGGCGCCAGCTCCTCGGGGCAGGGCTCGGGACTGTCCTGTTCCCAGTGGGCCAGAGCAGGCACACAGTAGGTGCTCCAGGGCTGTGGGCTCGGTGAGAGAGGAATGCTGGACGGGCTGCCCGGGGCCAGATTCCATACCACCTGATGACCTGGAGCTGCTCACCCCACTGGCACCATCACCCAAATGACCAGCACCCTCCCCTGCCCATTTACTGACCTTTCCCCAAAAAGGAGGCATGGCCAGCGTTCAAATTCCTGCTCTCCTCCCAGCAGTGACCCTGGCACGTCACTTCTCCCCTAGGGTCCTTCCCTGGCTCTAGGGCAGGACGGTAATATGAACACTTACCCGCCAGAGGTCTCAATCCTCTAGGATGAAGGGAGTTAAAATGCATCAAGTTTTACGTATGAGTCCATCACGGTCCTGACCAATGGCACCCACAGCCCAGATAATGGGGCCGGTTCTGGCTGTACCGCAATCACCAGGCACTGCCAAGGAGCCCCACCTTCACATGGCACGGGGTTACAGTCACGGCAGGGGTGGGGGTTACACATCAGGTTAGGCCTGCTTCCTCTGAGCCAGTGGCAGGGTTGGCGGGGGCAGGTGGCCAGGACAGGGTGGGAGAGGGGAGGCAGCCCCATCTGTCCCCAGCCAGGGTGGCCCTTGGCAGGCAACAGCAATGACTGTGCTGCATTTCCACTCCTTCTAGAAGCATAAGCCCTGACATGAGGGCACCCCTACATCTGGGGAAGACACCAGGAGAGGAGCCGGGGGGCATGGGAGCACCCCTACATCCCGGGAAGATGCCAGGAGAGGAGCCAGGGGACATCCCCACTGGGTAGATGAACGGGGGCTGCAGGAGGGAGGGGTGGCCCACGCACCTACCCCGGGTAGATGAACGGGGGCTGCAGGAGGGAGGGGTGGCCCACGCACCTTCCCCAGGTAGATGAACGGGGGCTGCAGGAGGGAGGGGTGGCCCATGCACCTATCCTGGGTAGATGAACGGGGGCTGCAGGAGGGAGGGGTGGCCCACGCACCTAAGGGGAAGTGGGGGTGCACTGGGCAATGGCCCCCAGTTCCCCTCCAGGAGGAAGGTAAACCTGAGGGCCCACTCTCAGGACCCCAGCTGAGCCCTGAGCCATGTGGTCATCCCTGACCCTCAGTTCCGCTTCCAAACCAGGAGGCTGCCACTAAAGCAGCCCAAGACTGAGTGGCACGTGCCTGGCGGGAAGCGATGCCCCACCTAGGGGTCCTTAGGGCCACACCCTTGGCTGGGAGGAACAGCCTGTCCTTATTTTCTGAACTGTCTTTTGTACAACAGCCTTGGCGCAGCTCAAAGGATAAGTGAGGTTCTCAGGGTCCTGACCTGAGGCGCCCCAAGGAGGGGAGACACGCGCACACTCTCTGCCAGGTGAACGCCTACTGGGCCATCGGAACCCACAGCTCGTGCCCCACCCACACTGGCACGGGCTGTGTCCACGTAGCCCTGATCCCGCTCGGCTAAAGAGCGCAGCTCTCAGCTGCCGTAGGTAGCTGCCAGGACCCTCCACCCTCTGCTCAGGCTCCTGGGTGGAAGGAAGCACCCGTCCCTGTCCCCGTCCCACCTTGGGGAGGCCCCCCTCTCTCCAGGGAGGCTGGCCTACCCGACTGGCAGGCGTGGGGCACACTCTGGGCCGCCCCCAACCGCACACACCCAACTCGCGGGGCGCCGAAGTCAGGCGGCGGCGATGCCAACCCGACCACGTAACTGTGCGAAGTGCAGTACCTCCTCCTGCAGCCCACAGCCACTCCCACCCAACTCTGAACTGTGCAGAGAGGACGGGGCTCATCGGCCCTCGGACCTTGCCCAGGTCCCTGCCTATGGGTCCTGCGAGCCGGTCCAGGTCAGAAGGAGGGATGGGAAGTCTTTTTTACCTCACACATGTTCACCCGTGTGACCAAGCTTCACCACTGTCCTGCCAGGAAGACCTGTCATTGCTCCCATTTTACAGGTGTGGAAACGGAGGGGCAAGAAACCAAGTATCCAGCAAGACACTGGGAGGCCAGGCCCTCCTGCCTCTAGCCCAGCCTCGGGCTGCTGCACTTGCTAGGAAACACCACTGCAGGCAGGGAGGGGTGCCAGGGACCAGAGGGAGTAGGTGACAGCAAGGGCGGCCAGGGTGGAGGTGGGGAGAAACGGTGCTCTCGAGGTGAGAAAGCGCCCTGGGGTGGTCTGGGACAGTGACCATCTGGTTACAGCCTTTGGTCAGATTTGGGACCTTCATGGAACAAGGCAAGCCCAAGGTCTTGGGGGGCGAAAAATCACCACTATCTGCCAGCCCCAGGCCCAGGAGCTCCCAGCTCAGCCCCTCTGGCCAAATGCCACCTGGACACCAGCCTGGTACACTTTCCACTTAACTCACCCTTTCGCCAGGACCTGCCAACCAGGGAGAGGCCTCCCCAAGCTGTATCACCGCCATCTGGATGTAAGTCCCTAAGGAGGTCACGTGCATAGGCATTGGGCACCAGCGGACACTCTGCCCACCCTGGCGGTGAGAGGGAGGGCTCACACCAGCTTATGCCCCCCTCTCAGTCTGACTGTGTGCACCTCTGCCCAAGTCCTCAGCCAGTAAAGTCACGTCTGTGTAGCTTGGGAGTAGTTACACCACAGAAATTGGCCAATGCCAATTCAGGATTTGGTTAAGCATCTGTTAAGCATGCCCTCATGTCATCTTTGAGCCCAGCCACCCATGGTGCCTCCAAGACCTCCTCGCCATCCAAACTGCCCACTTGTCTGAGAAAGCTGCCCACCTCCCGGCCTTCCTCCTGCCTCCCATGTCCAGTGCCTGACTGCATCAGCCAGCCACCCTCACCATGTTCTGGGCTGTTACTTGGGACAGAGAGGGGACCAGCTGAGGCCCCCAGCCTTACTCCAGTGGTCAGCGCAAGCTTCCGGGAGGAGGGCAAAGGCAGAGAGGAGCAGGCAGCTGAGGAAACCACCTGGAGGCTGCATCTCATCCCCGCCTGCATTTTCTCCCATCACGCCGACTGCCTGCGGGGGCCTGTCCGCAACCTGCCCCGCTCAGCCAGCCAGCCATGCCCCATCTCCAGGTCCAGCATTGGGCCTGGCACAGAGTAAGTGCTTGGAGAACACGTTGGGGGTGTTGAGGGGTGACCAGCTCCCTAGCGGGGCTATTTGGAAACAGCCCAGGAATTCCTACACAGGGCAGCTTCTCCTCCTTCGTAACCACAGTGAGGGGGGCCGGCGTGGTGATGGGGAGATCCCCAATGCCTAATTCCACTCAGGTGACAGGTTCGGGGCCCATTTACAGCAGCTCCAACGCCCCCTTTGCAGATGGGGACAACAAGGCTCTGCTTAGCCCCGCAGGCTAGGGGCTGCACCAACTCCACCTTTGTGGGCCTCAGTCTCCTCATCTGAGAAATGGGGTTAACGAACTTCTTGGGAGGATTGCAGGAACTCAGTGAAGCACGGCTCTGCACAGGGCTGCCAGGCGGCTTCTGTCTGTGCAAGGCCACAGGCACCCTGTGTTCAGTGACCTCCTCTGGTCTGCAGCCGAGGACACTGCTCCAACCTGGGAGCAGGGCCCCCAGGGTCCACAGACTAGGTGGATGCCCAACACCCACCATCGTGTGCGGGGCACACCCCAGAGCCCGCAGGCAGAGAGAGGGGGTGCAGCACGTGCCTTTCTGTCTTGGCTGAGGGTGCCCGGGCACACACTGTGACCAGCTAGCCTGGACCTCACGCTGCCCTTGGAGCCGCTATCACAGAGGGCCAGGGAAGCCTCCCTCATAAAGGGCTTCCCTCCGGGAACCGGCAGGGTGAAACTGCTCTGCCCACTTGGAGCTAAGCATGCCACCACCCCACCCCTGGGCCACCAGCTGCCCAGGGGCGTGTCAGGAGTCACCCGTTTAATCCCTGAGGCACGTGGATCAAGGCTGCTGACCTGATTCTACCGGGGTGTGCTTGGAGGGCTGAGGCGCCGCCCGAGTCCCAACACTGGTATGGTCTGAGGCGGACTCCACCCGGCCTGAGACCTGACGCTCTGCTTTCCCCTGACCTCCACTGACATCTACGACCCGCCCTGGAGGCACGGAAGGCTGTGGGGTTCCAGCCCCCCAAACTGTGCAGCTGAGGAAAATGAGCCGTGAATGGGGGCAGAGCCAGATCCTGGGCGGGACCCTGCGCAGGATGAACTCAGGGTAGGAGGTCTCCCGCGCACCCAGAAACGGGAGCGGGTCACCCCCTTCCAGCCAGGGGTGTTCTGTGGCTCGCCTGGGGAAACAGCGGCCTCCTGAGGCTCGGCCCCGGCACGTGGCAGCCTCCAGGCCCACGTTCCCGCCGGATCGGCCGCCAGGCGCAGGGTCCCGGGACGCGCGGGCAGGGGGAAGGCGGCGGCCCTCCCGGCTGCGCGGCCCCGAAGCCGTGCCCGGAGCGGGCGGCGGGCTCGCGCGCGGACGGCCCCCCACGCGCCTCCACAAAGCGCCGCGCGCCCCCGCCCCGAGCGGGCGCGGAGGAGACTGACCTGGCGGTCCGGGCGGCGCCGGCACGACGGGTGGAGGGCTCGGGACGCGCGCGCCCTCGCGCACAGGCGCGGCCGCGGCTCCACCGGCTTAGGGCGCGCGCCGGACCCGCTGGGTCACGTGGGGGCACGGCCCAATGGGAGCGCTCCCCACGCCGCGGCCGCGCGCCCGCCGCCCCCGAGGCCGCCCCTGGGCTGGGAGGAGGCGGCTCCGGTCGCGCGGGCGGCCTCGGGGACTGACCTTGGCTCCTGTGCCTGCCGGGCGCCTAGGCCAGGTCGGCCTGGGGCAGGCGGGCGTCGGAGGGGCAGTTTTGAAGCCCGAGCGAAGAGGCAGAGGGCGGGATGCGGACGAAGCCAGGGAGTTCACGAAACTTCTGGAGTTCTCAGTTTCCCCCTAAGTCGACTGGGGCTAGGTCCCGTGCCGCCAGGCGGGCTGGCTGAGGGGATGGGCTGGGGCGACAAGACGGCAGCCGCCTGGCCCGGGTACTTGGGGTCAGACCGGCTTCGAGGCCCCCGGACCGCCGTGTTATCAGGACGGGTAGGGAGCCCACGGGACGCGTGGTGCTCAGAAGAGCGGGGAGGCGTGTGGACGGGGCCTGCCCGAGCTGCACCACCGCCTGCCTCCAGGCTGCGAGGCCCGCCCAGGCGAAGGCGGCATCTCAGCCTCTAGCCCTTGGGGACCTTGAGGACGTCCTCTTATGGGTCAGCCGTTCCTAGGGAGGCTTGTGGCTCCAGTTACTGGAAAAACCAGTGCTGGTTCACGCAGGAGGCCCCAGTACAGGGGGAAACAGAGGCAAGCTGGGGTCTCCCAGGCGGCCTCACCCACCCAGCCCTGTTCCATGCCAGTCCCTGGACCCTTGGCCCAGTCAGATGTTCAACTGCTCCAGCCCTGCCTCCACTTCCCTGAAAGATGCTTTTCCACCCATCCACCCTCAGCAGCCAGAGGGACCCCGGGAAGATGGGAGTGAGAGCTGCCTTCGTCTGCAAAAGTCTCCAGACACCACCTCACTGGTGAAGGCCAGAGACCCTAAACTGTCCCAAGACCACCTGACTGGGCTGCCTCCCTGCCACCTGGCTGCCAGCCTCTCTCAGAGCGCCTGCAAGCTATTCCTCCAACCCAGAGTTTCCTTCCCAGCTAAAGGCCTTTGCACCTGCTGTTCCTTCTGCCTGGAAGTTCACCGCAGACTATCCCAGGGCCTCCATCCTTCCCATTGCATGGTCCCCATCAGCTGCCGCCGCCTCTGAGAGCTCAGTCTCCACTGGCCATCCTGTCTCTCAGCCCACTGCACTCTCCACTCTGCCAGAAAGTCCCCCAATCAGTGACAACACAGGTCACGGTCCACACCTCACCTGGTTTGTCCCCAGTGCCCAGCATCTGGCACCGAGCAGGTGCGTGCAAATCCTGGACAGGTGGGCAAGCTGATGGTGTCCAGAGGCCCCTGGTCCTTAAGGGCAGGGGTGGGGATGGCTCAGAGGACATAACCTTGCAGACCCGGGTTCAAATCTGGGCTCCTCAGCTCATTTGGTCCTCACACAGCCCATGTTGGGAGAGCTAGTGTTCTCCCTGTTTTGCTGATGAGACACAGAGAAGGTCAGCAACTCCCGAAGATTGCCCAGCAAGTTGGGAGTAAAGCTGGTGCAATTCCCACGTTTAGCTGCTAAACAGGGTGTCCTGTACTTGGTGTGTTCAAGCAGAAATCCACACATGGGAAGGTCAAGGCAACATCCCTGGTACTCCAGCTTTGAGGTCCTAGGAAAAAGGGAACCTCCCATTAAATGCTTCTATTGCCGGGAAGTTCAGCACCTGTAAAAGCAGCCCCTTCCCGTTTCACTGTGGCTGCATTTTAATTCTTATTTTTTAAATGTTTAGCTTAAGGCCGGGCACAGTGACTCACACTATAATCCCAGCAATTTGGGAGGCTGAGGCGGGAGGATCACTTGAGCCTAGGAATTCAAGACCAGCCTAGGTAACATAGTGGGACCCTATCTCTACAAAAAATAAAAAATTAGCCAGTCATGGTGGCATGCTCCTATAGTCCCAGCTTGGAGATTGAGGTGGGAGGATCACCTGAGCCTAAGAGGACAAGGCTAGAGTAAGCCCTGATCCCGCCAGCACCCCAGCCTAAGTGAAAGAGCGAGAGCCTGTCTCAAAAAAGATAAAAAAAAAAAAAGCATTAATAAATAAATGTTTGGCTTCATCTAGCCTGAGCAGCACCAACACCCCCTGCCTGTTTCATGCTATTTTCCTCCTCTCCTGCCCAAAATCTCAGAGAGGTTTCTATCCCAGCCACCCAAATTTGCTGGGGTGAGTGGGCTCCCGAGAGGCTGGAGCCTCCTTCCTCCCCACGCTCTTACCATCCTGCAGGGAGTCGGGAGCAAAGGAGGAGGCTCCTCCATGCTGGATTCATTTCAGTTCTCAGACATTCACCGAGTGCTGACCACATGCCAGGGACTTACACCCACCCACCAAGTCCACACTGAGCCCTGCAGAGGAATCCCTGACACCCCCATTTTGCAGATTAGGAAGCAGAAGCTAAGCGAAAGCAGAATCAAGATTCAAACCCAGGCACGGTGAAACCAGAGCTGTCCAACTGCTGTGAGTGGAATGGGCCGGGCATGAACAGGCTTGGGGAGAATCCTGGGATTTCATAGCCGGAAGAGAGCTCAAAGTGATCGTGTTTTACAGAGGAGAAAACGGGGCCTCAGAGATGATGGCTGAGCCGTGAAAAGGTGGGGTCAGAAGCCAGGCCCAGTCTCCTGAATTCCAGACTCCAGAATCTCCCCCAGGATTGAGGAATGTTCCACAGAAAGAATCCCAGCTCCACCTACCCCAGTCACTGGACCTGCCCAGCCCTGGAGGCATGGCCAGGAGGAGGCCCCCGCAGGTGGGGGATTGTTGGAGAGGGATGCCAACCATGCAGGACGATCTAGACAGTGGTGAGGCCCACTGGGGCTGGCAGGATTAGCAGATTAGCTCCAAGGAGGACAAAGACGAGGTCAGCGTTAAGTGGATTTCTGGAAAGCCTCCTCCAGCCCAGCAGGGCCCTACAGGAGGGGCCCAGGCTGGGGGACCTAGATCCAGCCACGGAGGGCATGGGTGGGCTAATGGCACCAGCAGCAGCTCTTGAGCCCCCATCACTGGGCTGCACACTTTGACCTCTCCTGGCCTCAGTTTCCCCATCTATAAATGTCATAGTAATAGCTCCAACCTCACAGGGCTCTTGGGAAGACCCACAAGATGGTGGCTGTCAAGTGCTGCGTTGCTTCTGCCTGCGCAGAAGTAGATGTCTTTATGACTGTCCTTTTGAATCCTCCTCAAGCCCTGAGCGTCAAACAAAATAAAAAAGAGCTTGTTGTTCAGTGGTTAGTTAGGTAAACAGGAGCGGGGTGCAGGAGTATACATCTAGGAAGAGAGTAAGTGTGCGGAACGATGCTCTCTGGGCCACTTCACGTCCCCTCTGTTCCCTGATTTCAGTGGCAGTGGCCCATTCTGAGCGAGCTTGGACCCTCCTCCTCAGTGCCTGCCTTCCGTGTGTACCAAGCCCTGAAGGGCAGAGGAGGGCCAGCCCTCCGCAGTGTGGCAGGGCTCTGGCGGATACACCTGCCTCCCATCTGCAGAAGGACCTTCCTCAGGTGTCCGGCACACTTCTCAGGAGGTCCTGAAACCAGCTGAGACCTCCATAACACACCTGTGTTGGCTCCCTCACCTGGTCATCACAAATAAACCACCTGCACCAATGTCCCTATCTCAGGCTCTGCTATCGAGGGAACCAGCGTAAGCAGCCACGCCCCTGATGCGAAGAGGAAGCAGGGCTTGAGGGAGGCCAGGACTCGGGGGATTGGCGTGCAGGAGCTGGGAAAGTCATTTTCATTTCCCTCCTTCCCCTAGTTTCGTTAATGCAGCCACGCTACTGTGATGGTGACATTTTCATTTGTGTATTAGTTGTGCCTGTAAAACCTGCTCTCTCTCCGCGTCTGTGGTCAAGAGTTCTGAGTGGCTGGGCGGGGCGGTTCTCTGGCTGGGGTCTCATGAGATGCAGTCAGATGGCCAGGGTTCCAGACATGCAAGGGCCCGACTGCGGCTGGGGGATCCCCTTCGGAACCCTCTCACTGTCCCAGCTGGCCAGGCCATGCAGGTTATTAGCTGCTGCTTCAGAGTCTTCCTCAAGACGCCCCTCTGTAGGGATGCTTGGGTGTCCTCCCAGTGCTGGGGCTGGCCTCCCCCACAAGGAGCTACCCAGGAGAGCAAGACACGTGTGATCTGACCTCAGAGGCCACCCAGTGCCACCTCACTGTGTTCTGTGGGGCACCCAGGCCTGCCCTGACTTGGTGTGGGCAGGGTGGGGCGGCTTCCCAAGCCTGCAGCTGGTGCCACCTACAAGGATGAGGGAAGGCCACTGCAGGCTGAGCTCCGGCCCCTTGGGGGCTGGGGTGGAGGTATGGCAGTGCCTGACCTGGACTTCTGAGACCACCAGTGAGGTAGGGTGTGGGAGTTTGGTGGGACACTGAGCTGGGACCTTTGCAGCAGTGGGGCTACCCTAAGCCTGGATGCTCTAGCTGTGTCGCCCATTGGCAGCTGAAAGCGCTCCTGGCTCCCCCTGCCCCTGAGTTTGGCAAACTTTCATTGAGCACCTGTGCCAGGCATCACTGGGACCTGCAGCGGGAGCCCCCCTAGACAGTGCTGCAGCTACTGTCGTGGGGGCATCCAGGAGGCACGTCCCAGGCACTGCATCTGAGCAGGGACCTGCCGGCCAAGCGTTCTTCCTGGAGGAAAGAGGCTGGAGCTCAGCAGGCAGGAGGGGCGCCTTGGCGGAGGGAGGATGGGGGAGTCAGCAGGGACCCTGTGGCCTGGTGCTGGGGTCCCAGGCAAGAGCTAGGGTGTCTCCTGGGGATGACGGGGCCTCCCTGGGGGTGACCGTGGCCAGGTGTCCCACCACACACAGCCCTGCTGGCCTCAGCCCCATCTGGCACCTGCCATTGCACTTGTGACCCCCAGCTCCTGGAGGACCACCGTCCATAGATGCTTCCGCCAGTGAGGAGGCCGGGACACCCACGCTGCGGCATTGAGGATGCCGGGAGGGTCGGGGCAGGCAAGCTTGCGAGGAGCGGGCCTCAGGCACGCCACACGGGCGCCCCCTCGTGGGGCCTGTGGGGCAGGGCCGCTGCACTGGGTACGAGCTGGGCACAGGTCACGGGCACCACCCTCAGCCCGGTTGAATGCTCTGCTGTTGCTGTAGGGCGACGTTGAACATTTTTGAATGAGAGGCCTGCATTTCCACTTTGCCCCAGGGCCCTGAAATTCTGTATCAGGTCCTGCCTGCGGGTCCCTACCTGGCTTCCTCATCTGCTGGGATTCAGGGGATACTCCAGCAAAAAGCGTCCACATGCCAGCCCTGCAGCACCCCATTCAGGGCAAGAGGCAGAGCCGCAGCCGGGGTCTGCTCCTCACCCCACAATCCCGGTGAAGGAGGATGCGATCTGCAAGCGCGGGGCCCTCCGCTCAGTCCTTTGAGGCTGAGTGTGTTCACAGCTTGACTGAGGCTCCCGCACACATGGCATGGCCAAAGGGAGACCTCTCGTGCGTCTGATGTGCCCCCATCCTGTGGCCCATCAAGGTGGGGTCCAGCTCCGTCCTCTCTGCACTGCAGGGTCCAGCAGAGCCGGCCTGGAGCGGCTGGTGGGGAAAGTAGAACCGTGCTCCCTGTCCGCCCCAAGAGCAGGGCTTTGGGACACCACAGCTGGGTGTGGCCTCAAGGGTGGTGGAGGGATCGGGGACTCTCAGAGCAGGCCTGGCAGCTGGTGGGTGTCGGGGGCTGGCCCAGCCACCACCCCCTACTTCCATCCATGGAGACTATGGCCCTGGGAGAGGCCTCCTCAGCACCCAGGGCTCCCAGGGGTCAGGACCCTCCCCCAGAGATCAGCCTGGAAGGGCCTGTCCTTTCACCCCCACCAATGCAGGGAGAGCCTGCTCCATGAGTTGCCCCCACCAGGTCCTGAGACCCAGAGCAGAAGCCCTCCCCAGCTGCAGCCCAGACCACTGGCAAGTGGGGAGTGACAGGCTGGTCTGCAGGAAGACCCCCAGCTGGGCCTCAGCAAGCCCGCCCCTCAGTGTGACTTAGGAAAACCTGTATCTTCAGAGGGGGAGACCCCACGGGAGGTCTCCAGGGAGAGTGGGGAGTGGCCTTCCACCGGGGCCTGCCCAACCCCCCGACCCACACAGGTTCAGAACGCCGCTCTCCCCTGTACCCCTGGCCCACCAGGGACCCAGGAGTGAGGCTCCTGCCTCCTGTCCTGAAGCCCTCACGTGTACCTCTGGGCAAGGGTATTGACAGAAGGCTTTCATCCCACCTTGTTTTCTGGGGACCTCTTAGACCCTGGAGGGGCCCACAGGGCTCAGAGACCCTTGCCAAACCAGGAAAATGACACTGTTTCTGGCATTGAAGTTCCCAACCCTCAATCCAAGAACAATTTGGAGAATTTGTGATGAGGCTGTTTCTCCTGTTTTTTCCAGATTCAGTGAAGGTCCCTGAGCTGAGGACGAGAGAGGAGAGATGATGAGGAAGGCAAAGAGGAGACAGGGGGAGGAGAGCGAGGAACAGAAGGAAGAAGGGGAGGAGGGAGAAGGGAAAAAGAGGGAGGGAGGGGGAAGGGAAAGAGAGAGAGGGAGGGAGAAAGGAGGGAGGAGGTGAAGGGGAAGATGAGAAGGGGAGGAGGCAGAAGATGTTCTGGGAAGGGACAAGAGACGGGCCTGGTGCCTGGGCCCCACGCCTCCCGTTCCTCAGCAGATGAGGCCTGTTGGGAGGCTGAGGAAGGGAGATTGGTGTCCCCACAGGGAGCAGAGCAGGGCTGAATCTAGGGATGCAACAATGCAGAGGGTCCAAATGTCCCCACCAGGCCCAGAAGAGGGCGGGGGCAGCTGGCCCCACCCAGGGACCCAGGCTCAGGCAGGCTGTGCACTGCCCAGCAGCAGGGAACGTGGGGCCAGGGCCTCCATGCCTGATGTGTGCTGAGCCTGCATGCTGAGCCCTCCATGGGGAGCCTGGTGGGGGACAGAGGGCAGCCACAGAACAAGTGACCCTCCCTGGAGGTCGTGGGGCCCAAACACTGGATGCTGCCCAAGACACGGCAGGTCCAGGCTGAGGAACCTGAGGTCCCGACCCTCTCACGTGGGACAGGGCCTGCAGGAGGCAGCCTCCAGGCCCCCCGAACCTGACAACCCCTCATCCTCCTGGCGTGTGGGTCTGTCTTCTCCACTGGCCTGGGATCCATCCACAGTTGCCATCTCCCTCGTCCCCACCAGTGGGCACTCAGGGACAGGAGTTGAGTGAGGCTCCATGTGAGATGCAGGGAACACAGGCACTGGTGGGGGCAGCACAGCTTGCTGGAGTCCCAGCTTCCTGGCCGCTCTGGAGTCAAGGAAGGCTGTGGGTCTCATACCACGTCCTCAGGGCTGCTGACCACCCTCCACGGGGGCCTTTATCCCAGGAAAAATCCCTCATTCCCGGGAAGCTACCATTGCCAAAAATATGGCCTGACAGGCACCCGTCTGACAGGTGCTCCTCAAGCACCCATCCGCGGACACATGCTGAACCCATACGATGCTCTAAACGGGGCGTGCACACTGCAGCCCTCTCAGCACAGGGGCCATGCACCACCAGTTACCAGGATAATCCCTGTGGATGTCGGATTACAGCCTGCTGGGCTGGAGAAGTGGCTGCCCTCAGCAGGGCGCGTGCCTCCCCAGTCATCCCAGTCCCCCTCTGCAATGACAGAGCCCCAGGGAGCTGCAGAGAAGGGGATTTCTTCTTGCAAACAAAACCCCACAGGGAGCCCCAAGATCTAGCTCTAGTTTATTCCTCTATCCAGCAAGCATCAGTCAGACACCTTCTGCCTGCCAGGCCTGTGCCAGGACAAGGCGACACCAGACCCTGTCCTCCGGCCACATCAGGGAGGGGTTGGCGAACAAGGGAAGGAACAACAGGAAGGTGCCAGTGGAGAGGCCAGGCGCGTGCCATGGCGGTGGCAGTCCTCCTTCCTGCAGATCACCCAAAGCCAAACAGCAAGGAAATGCAGGCGCGGGGAAGCAAAGCCAGGAGCCCCTGATGCCCATGCTGTTAGCCACCCATCCACCTGGGTGCAGAAGATGCTCTCGGGGTTCACACTGAGAGACAGGCTGGAGCTGGGCGATGGCCCAAGTGAGTTCGGAACAGGCTGTGGGGCAGGGGCACTCCCACATCTCCAGCAGGGCTTAGAGAACAGGCAAAAGTGGATTCCGATCTCGGCAAGGCAGCGAGTATCCCCTCCTTGGAGGATAACCGAGCCTCTCTGGGGAACTCCTGGGGTGGTAGACGGGAGAGGAGATTTCTCACCGGAGGGGAGACCAGCCTGCTGTCCTGGGCTCGGGAGCAGCTGAAACTCCTTTTGGGGAATGCTCTTGGGAGCTGATTTATAAGGCACAGGAAGAGCCCCGTGTGGTGCAGCCCCACCCCGCTTGTGTCCAAACACAGCCTGTTGCTGTGGACACCCTCACCTCGCTCCTGGCCCAGGGAGGGGCGACTTGCCAGGGCACACAGAGCCCCCTACCAGGAGCCAGCCTGATCCCTGACCTCTGACCCTGGGAGCATGTGGGAGGTGCTGGCTGAGGAAGCAAAACTGCCAGTGTGGCGTCCATCACACTTTCCACATGTTTTAGCAGCAGGGTGTTTGTTTGTTTGTTTGTTTGTTTGTTTAAGAGACAGGGTCTGGCTCTGTTGCCCAGGCTGGAGTGCAGCGGTGCGAGCATGGCTCACTGCAGCCTTAAACTCCCGGGCTCAAGCGCTCCTCCTGCCTCAGCCTCCAGAGTAGCTAGGACTGTGGCATGTGCCTCCACAGCTGGCTTAGCAGCAGATTTTTTCTTGCAAACAAAACCTCACAGGGAGGAACTCCAGGTTAGAGAACTAGCTTATTCCTATACTAGCAAGCATCAGCCAAACACCTTCTACGTGTCAGGCCTGCACAGGACAAGGTGATACCAGGCCCCGTCCTCCGGCCACATCAGGGAGGGGTCAGTGAACAAGTCAAGGAGCGACGGGAAGATGCTGTGAGCATGGCCAGGCGCGTGCAGGGGCAGCGGCTGCTTCCCCTCCCTGCAGAACACACCACCTAAGAGAGACACTGCTCATAACTGGAGATCAGCAACATGCCCAGTTCACAGAGAGGGAAACAGAGGCACGTTGGGAGCAAGTAACTGCGGAGGGGGATCAGTTATAGAAGGAATGCAATGGGATGAGGCCCAGGTATCTACCCAAAAGAATTAAAAGCCAGGACTTGGCTGGGTGTGGTGGCTCACGCCTGTAATCCCAGCACTTTGGGAGGCCGAGGTGGGTGGATCACGAGGTCAGGGGTTCGAGACCAGCCTGACCAACATGGTGAAACCCTGTCTCTACTAAAAATACAAAAATTAGCTGGGCGTGGTGTTGGGCGCCTGTAGTCCCAGCTACTCAGGAGGCTGAGGCAGGGGAATTGCTTGAACCAGGGAGGCGGAGCTTGCATTGAGCCGAGATCGCGCCACTGCACTCCAGCCTGGGTGACAGAGCGAGACTCCATCTCAAAAAAAAAAAAAAAAAAAAAAGCCAGGACTCAAACAAAAACTTGTATGTGAACACGCGTAGCAGTGCTGTTCACAATGACCAAAGCCAGGAAACACTCAAATGTCCGTCAACCATCACTGGATGAACAGACAAAGAAAAGGTGGCACATCTCAGCAGTGGAATAGCATGCAGCCATGAAAAGGAAGGACACTCTGATCCAGGCTGCAGTGTGGACGATTCTTGAGAAAATGAGGCTGAGTGAAAGAAGCCAGACACGACAGACTGTATATCACATGATTCCATTTATACAAAATGCCCAGAGTGGGCACATCATAGAGATGAGCACAGATTGTTGGTTGCCAGGGCTCGGCGGGAGGAATGGGGTTTCCCATTTCGGGTGATGGAAATGTTTTGGAAGCAGAGGTGATGGGGCTCCACCCTGTGAATGAAGGCGGGTTGCATACTTTAACATGGTGAATTTTGTGTTATGTGCATTTTTTCCCGAATAAGAACAGGACGCCGCTGTGGAGGGGAGAGACCGCTCACGGGGACTGGATGGCCAGGAAGCCACTGCTGTGTGCCAGGCCCCTTCCAGGCTTGGGGTCATGCCCCCTCATATTAGGCATGGCCACCACCACTGACTGTGGTCCTTGGAATGCGAGTAGAAGAGATGAATGTGATGGACACTTCAGGGACAAAGCTTTTAGGAACTGGTGCCCTGTTCTTCCACTCTCCCCCACCACAGGGGACCTGAGGCCTTGTGTTGAGACAGCACCGGCTGCAGGCAATGGCGGAGCCTCTGTCATTCAGGTCCCCGAGCCACCAAGGAGCAAGAGACCCATCCCCCACCACACCGACCAGCAATTCATGGCGTGAGCGAGACCCACACCTCCATCAATAAGGCCACAGAAGAATCAGGGGTGTGTGTGGCTGCAGCAAACCCAGATGGTCCTGGCCACCCACCTGCCCTGAGGGGCCAACATTTGAGCTCGGCCCTCAATGAGGTGAGCAGTGACCGGCCTAAAGGAAGAATGCTCCTGGCCAAGGGAGGAGCAGCGCGAAGGCCCCACAGCAGATGTGTGCCTGGTGTGTTCAAGGACAGTCAGGGGCCGGCAGAACCCGCAGTGGGAGGCACAGGCTATGGGGTGAAGCACTGTGCTTCCTCATCAAGGGGTGGGAGCCCCTGACGGTTTTCAGCAGGGAGGGATGCAATCAGATGTGGGCTCTAGGAGGACACTCTGCCATGTGGACACTGGGTACTTTGAGAAGCAAGTGACAGAATCCCAGGCTTCCCAGTGAGGAAATTTAGGAACTCACATAACGGGAAGTGCAGAGGGACTGTGGGCTCCAGGACAGGGTGACCACACCCAGCTGTGCCTCTCTAAGATTTTCCCCACCATCATTCTCAGGCAGGTTCCCCTCATGCTCACAAAAAGGCTGCCTGTCTATCCGGGGACAGGAGGGAGCTCAGAACCCACAATAAGCCTCTGGTCACCTGTCATTGGCCCAAAGCTGGCTAGGCTAACCCACCCTAAACCAATCACTGGCCAGGAGGAAGGGTAGCCAATCTGTGATTGGTCAGCAGTGACAATATAAAAGCCTCACAACCCAGCCATACAGAAAAGGCTTTGGGAGCTCAGACCCTCAGAAAGCCCAGCTCCAGCACTATTCAACCACTCGCCATAACTCCCCACTGCCTATAGGGCAGAGCACAAACTCCTGAGTATGGTATTCTAGGCTCTGTGTCTCTAGATGATTTCACCCTTGCAATGACCCTGAGAAGTTAATATGATTACTCCCTTGAGAGATGAGGCAACCGAGGTATGGGGAAGTTAAGTAACGTGCCCAAGGTCACTCAGCCATCAGGTGGTGGTGGCAGGACTCACACTCAGGCAGTGGCCCAGAGCCTCCTCTGCCCACACCGCCAGCATCTGACCAGCCCCCTCCATGGACGGCCATGGTATTTCAAGCCGCTGCCTGAGGTTTTCCCTGCGGGTCCTGCCGTTCACTCCATGGCAGGCACGTTTGCTCCCTGGTCTTCACAGAAAACCAATTCGGGCGTCCCCCACTCAAAAAGCCTTCCTGGGCTCACTCCACTTAGCAGCCTGAGGCCTCGCCTCAGCACTTCCCCTGTCCTGAGTGACCTCCAAGGCCTCGCCTGTGGGAACGAGAACGAGGACGAGGCTGGGAACAGGGCGACCTGAGACACTGTGTGGAAAGGACGCCCTGAAACCCCCATGGTCCCTGCCCTGTCTCCAGCCTCCCTGCCGCACCTGCAGTTTCTGCTGATGGCCCCAGTGTAAACACACCAAGGCGCGGGGAGAAGAAGTGTCAGCCCAGCCTTAAACAAACCTGCTCAGCCGGAGATGGGGAGCAGGCTCGCAGGCAGCATGGGCTCTGGCTGGAGGGATTTGGATGGGATTTAAGCAGGACTTGGTTTACAGAGGGAAAAAATAATTATCTACAAGGCCTCGGATAAAGTAAAGCCCATTTGTTCCTGAGTGAATGAAGGAACACGTGGAAACTGACGATGTCTACCTGGGACTGGGCTCAGACAGTTACTCAATGTGAGCCCAACTGGAGGCTGGCCGTGGGAAACAAGTGGGCTGACCCCCTGTATCCACTCGAACCGGCATCTCAGTGTGTGCGCAAGAGCCAAAGGCCGGCTCAGGCACAGCCACCCTGGCAGCACATCAGAATCATGGCAGAGTCCTTAAAATGCTGTGACCGGCCGGGCACGGTGGCTCACGCCTGTAATCCCAGCACTTTGGGAGGCCGAGGCAGGCAGATCATGAGGTCAGGAGTTCGAGACCAGCCTGGCAAACATGGTGAAACCCTATCTCTACTAAAAATACAAAAATTAGCCAGGCATAGTAGCGGGCACCTGTAATTCCAGCTACTCAGGAGGCTGAGGCAGGAGAATTGCTTGAACCCTGGAGGCGGAGGTTGCAGTGAGCCAAGATCACGCCACTGCACTCCAGCCTGGGAGACAGAATGAGACTCTGTCTCGGAAAAAAAAAAAAAAAAAAGTGCTGATGACCAGGTCTCTGCCCAGACCATTAAAGTCAGCCTCCCTGGGCCAGGCCCGGATGTCTGTGTTTGATGGGAACTCCCGGTGATTCTGATGCACAGGCAGCCATGGGCACACACGGGCTCACTTGACCCCACACAGCCACGGACCAGACCCAAACCACAACTGTTGCCTCATTTACTCCTCACACGGCCCCAAACATTGCTGTCCTCACTATGCAGATGGGGAAACTGAGGCACAGGGAGGCTAAGTAACTGCTTCTGGTGGGAGGCGGTGGGGCCCGGGTTGAGATCCAAATTTGCCATCCCAAAATGTCCCCATCACCCCGTTGATGAGTCATTTTTTGTTGCCTCCTCCCTCAGATCAGGGTCCCCAGGGCAGATACTGTCCTCATCAGACCTGCAGTCCTCAAGGCTGTGTCCTGCCTCCTGACTTGCTCCACAGGCGCCTGTGGGGAAGGGGCTGTGTGCTGGCATGGGTGGTCCTGGGTCTGAGTCCGGACTCTGCCCCCTGCCAGCTAGGTGGTCGGGGGTCCGCATCCCACGCCTCTGAGCTACAACCCCTGGGCCCCTTGGTAAGGGCTGGGTCCTGGCAGGCTTCAGGGTGGGGCGGGGGCTGGTTCCTGGGTCTGGGACTCTGGGGGAGGCAGCTCTGGTGGGCAGGGAGGTGTTTCACCCCTGCCCTGCCCCTGCCCAGGTGGAGGACATGACACATTAAGTATTCCCCCGGACGGTGGACAGTGCTGGGAGGCTTCCCTCACCCTGCCTGGCAGTCCCAACCAGATGGACCCAAATGCAGAGTGAGGAAGTGCAGAGCCCATGGCCCAGCTCCCAGCAGGAAGAACACTGAGCCAGGGGCAGCCTGGCCCTGAACACTTGTGGGACTTTGGCAATTACTATGCCTCTGGGCTTCAGGTTCTTCATGGATAAATTAAGGAGTCTGGACCCAATCCAGTCGGGGCCATGTTGCCTGCTCTGCTGGTCCACTGGGCCGGTTGCCCAGAGGGCCGGGGAGGGGGTGTCCATCCAGGCTCCTGGGGAGCAAGAGCCTCATTGATTGGTGACGCCTGCCCAGGACCAGCCAGGGATGAGGCAGGCGTGCGCCAGGGCTTCTCTCCTCCTGTCACCCTGCACCCACAACCTGGGAAGGGAAGTTGGCATTAAGCTACACATTTCTGCCTCTACTGATGTACAGGCCTGATGGTGATATGCAAGTGACTGAACAATTAGAGAGCAGAGGGGTTTCTGTATTAAAATTTTTAAATAAATTAATAATAAATACAAATCAGTGGAAAGAAGAAATTAACAGTCACCTGCTTTCTCCCGCCCAGAACTAATCCTTGCTAATGTCCTGCGAGGGTTGCTTCCAGTCACTCCAGGCAACTTTTTGCTGTTCTTTAAGGAAGAAAAGGACGTATGTTTATAGAACGGCACGAGCTCACCGTAAAGATGTCAAACACGGCCAGGATGTACAAAGGTGAAGGATGAAAGCCACCGGGACGCTGCTGCCTGGAACTAACCCCACACGGTGGTGGCCGGCCCCCCGGCAGCCTTCTCTGCCAGGGTCCTGGAGAAGGACAGATAGACACATGGTCAGCTGGACAAGTGAGGCGGATCTTCCACAATCCATTTCTCTTTGGATGTTGATGGGGCTCATCTGAGGCCCATCCCAGTCTCTCTGACAGAAATCTGCCCCTGAAGGAGGGTCTGGGGCATGGGGGCAGAGAAGCCCTTCCCAACAGCTGACCTGGCTCTAACTCTCCAACTCTCAGCGTGGCTTTGGGGGCTGCCTGCCCCATCTGCACTGAACGGGGCCGGACCACACCGTGGTTCTAACCCACGTGGGTTTTCAGACCCTTCACAGTCCCAATGGACCCTCATGGCACACACATGGGCAGTTGCACACACACAAAGTCTAGGGGTTCGTGAAGCCATTGGAGCTGCCCAGGACCCCAGATCCAAAACTCTGAATCAAAGGATGTTGCCCCCCCACCCACCCCAGCTAAAGGGACGAAAGATTCTAAGAGCTTCCTCTTGGAGAATATTTTCAAATGACCTGACTGTCCACCTGTCCCACACACAGGTGTCTGGTAGAAACAGAGGCTGGACTGGTGGCCAGGACCCCAGGGTCTTTGCTGGGTCTGAGAGGGCCACACCCCCTTCCCTACCCATGACCATGCCCAGTCTGCCCACTCCCCAGACACCCACAGGCGGGACACAGCAACCATCTGCTTCTAGACACGATCCCTCAGTAGCCCATCCCCAGCTGTCCTGCCCCTGCCCGCAGTGATAGGAGGCCCCACCCAGAACTGGCCTTTAGCCGTGACTCCCGCCTGAGACCTGCTGCCCCTCCCACCACCCACCAGTGGGGTCTCTCCTCCCTCCCCTCCAGGAAGCCCCACCTGCTCCTCCACCGACCGCCAACCTTAATCCCACCTGCCACACCAAGCAGGGCCTTTGGAGACGGGGCTCCCCCAGGTCTGGCTGGGGTCTGCAGAGTTTCTCACTTGCAGCCCTTGCACCCCATGGCCGGCCCTTGTGAGGAACAGCACAAGGTGGCTCCGTGCCCTGCTGCGGGGCCACTGTCATGAAGATACTGCCGTCACCACCATCGCTATCATGACGGCCAATTGTCCCTTTGTGTTTGTGGATCTGCTACCTAGTTTCCTGCCAGGCTCAAGGCTCTCACGCCCCCCACAGAGAAGGGCCTGAGTCGCAGGGTCAGGGAAGGCGCCCAGTCTGGGCACAAGGCTCATTTCCTGAGAGCAGGGTGGGGGGCGGGGGGAGTGGGGACTGGAGCCCAGAGTCCAGCTCATCAGAGGGAACACAGGGCCCAAAATCCAGACGTTCACCATGACCCTCTTCAAAAGCAGAGGCCCGAGCAGGATGGGAACCGGGGAGCTGGCCATCCAAAAGCACCCCGGCCATGGGCAGCCACCCTGCAGCCTGAGAACGTGCTTGCCCTACCCAGCCTCCCTCACCTCTTCCCTGAGCTTCAGCCGCTCCCAGGAATGTGCCTGCCCTACCCAGGCTCCCTCACCTCTTCCTGAGCTTCGGCGGCTCCCAGCCGCCCCCACCAGCTAAGCACCTTCCGGGCCTGCTCTCTGTCCTTCTGACACGCCTCATAAGCAGGAAGTGGCCTGGGGCCCTGCACGGGCAGGCCTGCTGGATCCCAGACCCCAGCAGCTCTACTGTGAGAAAGATGTGGGGAGAGCCTGGGAGGGGATGTGGGGAGCGCCTGGGAGGGGACTTTGAGCACCTCCCTATTCCTCACTGGAAAGAGGACCGCCAACCCCACCCCGGGACAAGGCGCAGAGGTCATGAGAAATGCCCTACGTAGGGCCACCTGGTCTATGAGAGGCCTTCTTAAGGGGGCCAGAGTAGATGGGGGGTAACCTGCATCGGGTTGAGTACCCTGACTGCTGACTCCAGCCAGAGGATGAGCCCTGATCTCGCTCGCACACTGAGCCCTGATCCCGCTTATGCACTGAGCCCTGATCCCGCTCACACACTGAGCCCTGATCCTGGCCACACACTGGTCCCCTACCCTGGTCACACACTGATCCTTGGTTCTAGTCACAGCCTGAGCCCTGATCCTGGTCACACAGTGAACTCTGACCCTGGTCACAGGCTGAGCCCTGACCCAGGCCTCACACTTGACCCCCCATATGGCCCCACGAGTTGGTCAGGACAGAGTCCAATGCTCTTGACTCCAAGTGAGCCAGCTGAGGCTCTGAGCCACGAAACCCTGGCCTTGGTCAGGGGCCATGCTGGGACCTGAGCCCGGGGCTTAGACTTTGAGCCTAGTTCTCACTCCCACCTCCAAAGCACCTGAGGACCTGGCCTCAGCTGGTACCCTGGAGGAGCAGTGACAGAGTTGGAGGAGGTAGCCCCTCCTGGATCAGCACCCATGGGGCTGGAGGCAGAGAGGGTCTGTGCCCCAGACAGTGAACAACAGCCGGTAGGGGTTCAGAACTAGGCAGAGCCAGGGCTGCCAGTGGGGGCTGAGCTCCCCTGGGAGGCCTCCAGGAAGACCGCTCAGGACAGAACAGGCCGATTTTAGGGGGTAGCAGAGACAGGGAAGGTACTTCCTTAGTGAGAGACTCCATAGCTCTTGGGACAACCTCAAACTGGGCCCCACCAGCAAGGGCTGGAATTCCGATCCCAAGGAGTCCTCGTCTCAGCCCCCAGGGCAGGTCCCGGCCACCCGCTGGTCCCTTCTCCAAGTCTCAGGTTTCTCGTCTGTAAAATGCAGGAGACAATCAGGTTCACAGTGGCTTGTAGAAACTTTTGAGGCTGTGTGCATTTCAGGGTCTGGCTCAGATTTTAGAAAGACAGTGAGATGCACCTAGCGGAGGTCACATACACCCCATGGGGTCTGGGAAGCACCTCCACCACACACACTGATACTTCTGCCACGAGCCTTATTGGTATGCCCACCGGGAGGGATAAATGGATGCTGAATACCCTCGGGTTGGGTCCAGTCAGTTTACGCGGCTGAGTGAGCTTGTGTCAAACCTACCTAAATGCTTCCCTGTCTCAGAGAAGTTTGGATTTCGGGGTCCTGGGCTGGGGCCTCAGCAGAGGCACGTGAGATCTGGTCTGCAGCCCCCGCCAGGGCCCCGCCTACCCTGTTGGGACCGCCCATTGGCGGGTGCCATCCACTCCCCTTTGCTCGGTTCCCAGCGCCCTCCCCCGCTTGCCAACCGGGAGAGTTGGCACCAGCCTTCCGGAACGTAACCTACCCCGCCAACAACAGCTTCCCTCCTCCCATTCCCGCGCACTCCTCCAGGGCGGCAGGCAGTCGGCAGAGGCAGCAGGCCTCTATAAATAGTGGCCCTGACTCCTCCACCGCCTCGCTGGGGTTGTACCCCCACTGCCCAGATGGACAGACCCAGGTCGGGAAGGAGACAGGCTGGGACTTGCCCAGGGCTCCCCTGGGAGGTAGGGGTCAGCCCTGGTGAGTAGGGGAGGAACCCACTGCAGGAGGGTCTCCGCACAGGGAAATGTGAGGCTCACAGCCATGGGAGCCAGTCCGAGGCCCTGGGCTCACCTGAATGGTTCAAATCCTGGCTCCACCTCTCAGTAGCTGGGTGGTTCCTCAGAGCTTAGTTTCCTTGCTTATGACAGTGGAGGTAACATCAGCGGTCCATCCCACTGCCGCCATCCCCCAGGACCACTGCATCCCTTTCACTTACTAAGAGATGGTCTCCTGGCCCCTAGGAGGAGAGGGCAGGGTGAGCAGGTCCAGCTCTTAGGAGCCAGAATGAGATGAAGCTGCTGCAGGAAGGACTAAGGTTAGAAACGGGAAAGAACTTCCTGTTCGTAAGAGCAGTGTGTGCCACCCCGGAAGGCTCTGTGGGAAAGTTTATACAGGCAGAAAAGGGGCCCAAGTGCCTGCAATGGGGCCATGGCAGCCTGGAGCCCTGCCCTTCCCACCCATTTTTAAAATGAGTAGGCATTTGCATTTATTGAGCTTCTACTATATACCTCCCCACATGCTCAGCAACAGAAAGGAGGAAGAAACCAGCGAAACGTTGGCCGTGTCTCAGAGGAGTCAAACATTTGGCTGGAGACAAACTTGGCCCAGGAAAATCCCAGCAATTGATCCAGGCCCAGACTGCCCTCAGAATTCAGGGCTAAGACAAACCAGTCAGGGCAGGCTTCCTGGAAGAGGTGGCCTTGTGGCTAGAGGCTGGTTTGGATCCGTGGGAAAGGCCTTCTAGGTGGAGAGAACAGTGGGGCAGAGTTGTGCAGGTGGGAAGGCTCTCAGGCTTCTGCAGAGACAGTGAGGAGAGACCTTGGGGTCACATTCTCGGTCCTGAGCTTGTGACCAGTGCTTGGGAGGGCTTGTCCCAGAAACCCTGAACCCAAGCAACTTCCTAAAAGTTGTTCTCAGAGCCAGAGAGTTCAGAGCCTGGGTCTCCACGTCCTGCTCCTTAGAGGTCACCAGTTTCCCTGCCCACCGGTGCCAGATGTCCAGCCAGTAGCTTTTAGCCTGTGCTGGCCTAGGCCATTTTGGCCACTCACAGTGACCAAAGCTCATTGCTATGAGGGAAGGTGGAGGGGTTGGGCAGAGAACAGCAGCTGCCACTGCAGCGTCCCCACACGGACACTACCCCTGGACATCCATGCTCCCTGCTCCTGGGCCAACGAGGAAGCCAAGGTCAGGAGAACCCGGGTACCCGGGGCCGCTCCTCTGAGGCCTGCCGAGCAGACAGACACAGACAGACACAGCTATTCCTGTCCCAAGGGGCCATCGGGGGCTGGGAAGTGCTGAAATAGAAAGCAGGTCCCGAGCCCTGCTGGGGACGTGGCCTGTTCTTGACCTGGGTGGACTGGGCCAACTCTAGAGGGAGTTGCAGCTCAGCCCAGCCTGGCCAGTTTGTGGTGGCTGGCCTGGGCCACCCCGGGCAGGCGCCTGGGCCCAGGAGGGATCTTAGACCTCACACTCTCTCCCCTGGGGTTCCCGGGCTGTGGGGTCCTTGTCACAGTTCCCCAGGTGATGGGTTCCTGGAGCTTCCAGAGAGAAAGCTCTGGCAATTTGGGGGCTTTGTAAGGGCTGAGAGACTCCAGGCCTGGTCCCAGCTCCACCCTCCTAGCTGCATGACCTTGGGCAAGTGACTTTGCCTCTCTGAGCCTCCCTTTCCTCTTCTGAAGATGGGAACAGGATGCCCCATTATAAGATTATTTGGGGGAATTAATAGACCTGAAGTGCTTCCCCTGTGCCTGGCCCGCCAGAAGCTCTCAGTGAGCGGCAGCTGTTATAGACTTGTCTCGGTGAGCGCTGCATGTTGAGTGACTGACCTGCTAGACCAGGGGTTTCAACCCTTGGATCACATCCCAGGAGGGCTCCACGCAGCAGTGCCTCATACTCTGCCCTGTTTTGTGTTCCAGTGCCTGGGATAAGAGGTGCCAAGCAGGGCCCGCATGGCCACCACCCCCGGCCACCAAGCCTGCTGGACCTGTGCTTGCTCTGGCACCTGTGCTGATCCCACTAGAGCCCCTCCCTGGCTGGGCCAAGTGTCAGAGGAGGCTGTGGAGAGAGGGAGCAGGGCCAGGCCCCTGAGAGGGTCCCGGGGCTTCCCCTCTCCCTCTCCCTGGGGAGTCTATTGCCACAGCAGCCCCAACGTGGGTCAGACCCCAAAGGCTCGGCCGCCTCCTCAAACCCCAAGTGGAAGGTCCCGGGGTGGTGGGAGCCCAGTGGCCTGGCCTCTGAGCTCCCAGGTTCCTGCCTGACTCTTCAGGGGCCCAGCTGTGTGAGCCCGAGGGAGGGAAGGGACTTAGTCCCCTTGCTCTCTGTGAGGACCCTCACCAGGAGGTGGGCGGGATGAGAAGTGCTGGTCCAGGCACAGGCCAGGTGGAACGGGACACACGGGAAGCCCCCCACGGTGGCAATCCTCTTCCTGCTGTCTCTGCCCTGGGGGAACCCACCACTCACCCAGCACCTCCTGGGCTGGCCCTGGGTGGGCCTGGAGACCCAGATGGTGGGAACTGCACCCCTGCCCAGCTGCCAGCTGTAACCTGGCTGGCCACAAGAAGGCCAGGGCGTGAAGGGGCACCCCTGCCCAGGTGGCAGGAAGGCTGGCATGGAGCTGAGCTGCCTCGGAGCTTCGATAGCTGAAGCCCCTCTCCGGCCTTCATCTCCACATGTATAAAAGGTGGGGCCAACTTGGCGGGTTCCAAGGTCCTCTGGTCCCAGTGTTCCCCCTGAGGCCCTGCTGCCCCATTCTGTAAGCTAAGACTCAGCTAGCCCCACACGCATTCCACACTCCACACTCAGACCTCACCCCAGGCTCCTGGACCCATGGCAAGGCCAGGCAGAGCCAGTGTGAATCCTGGGAGAGCCTGCAAGGCTGGTCACCAGACCTCCTCCACCAGCAATCCCTCCCGGATTGGGTCTTAGGAGCCTGGGGCTTTCCCTCTGCTTTCTCACCAATAAGCCCCGCGCTGCTGTCCCCCGCCATTCCCTGCGGGGACCCTCCCTGGGCTCCATGGGGCTCAAGGCTGCAGCTTCTTCCGTGTGGGCCCCTTCAGCAGTACCAGCCCACACTGAGTCTCACCACCTTGTGCCAGCTGTGGCCAGGGCCACAGCCCTGCCAGACCCCATGATGAGGCAGTGTTCTGTGGGTGCCCCTTCCCACAGTCCATGAGACTGGGTTTAACAGAAGGGTACTGGGGGGCTGCAAGCCAGGCATGGTTCCAGCCAGGGTCTGCATGCCCCATTTGCTGTGTGACTTTGGACAGGCCTTCCTCCCTTTCTGGGCCTCAGTTTCCCTGTGTGTAAGAGCAGATGTTGAGACAAGATGCCCTGGGGGGAACCCTCAGTGTTGAGCAGGCATAAGGGGGTGCCTTGGGGCACCGAGGGGGCCAGCCCAGAGGGTAGCAGTCCCAGCAGCCACCCTAGGATGACTCCCTAGAGCCCCAGAGCCGCGCGCTAACTGTGCACCAGGCACAGCACCAGGTACCCTGGACGTCCCCAGTTGTGGCTGAGTTCCAGGCATTCAGCCAAGACTGGCCTGGATGATCCCGGACTCTGGGTACTTCCCCACCCACCTCTCAAAGGCTCTGCCCTGCAGGGTCTCATAGCCTGCCCTGGTTCTTCTAGCCTCCACCCCTGGAGCCCCGACATGCTCTGCTACCGTGGGGTCCGCGTCTTCCCCTCAGATAGGAGGAGGCCGCAGACTGGGCCCAGGCTGCCCCTCACTGCTGTGGGCCTTGGGGCTGGTCCTGTCCCTGTACCCCCAGCCCAGTTTCCTTGGTTCCCACTGTGGGGCTGAGCCTCCCTGTGGAGCTGTGATGTGGCCGGCAGGACCCAGCGCTTCCTGAGAGGAGGGACGCCCCTTCCCAGCCGTGAGCACAGGCCACAGGGCCAAGGCTGAGGATCAGAGCAGACAAGGGAGGCGCCAGGCTGGGCTTGAACCCAGGGCTGCACAAGGGGCCCCCACATTCCCTGGACATGCAGGCTCACCTCTCCCTGGGGCAGAGAAAGGCTCCTGCCCACCCCAGCTCAATGGCAGGTGCCTGCCCGCTACCCAGCAAGTCCAGAGTGCAGGAGAGGGCCTGTGGGCACTGGACCCCCCAGGAAGGAGCCTGCAGGTCTCCCGATCACCCCTCATCTGGAAGCTCTGCACTCCCCCTCTGCCCCTCCTCCATAGCTCTGGCCTCTCGAGTAGGTGGGAGTCCTGCAGAGCTGGCTGGCATCACCCCACCTTCGCAGGCCCCCTTGGGAGGACCTCACCCCTGGACACATGGCAGAAAACGGCTGCCAGCCTCCCGGGGCTGTTTACATCCTCGAGTGGCACCAAGACGAGGGTCTCTCAGGAGGACAGACGAGGTCTGCGGTGTCAGGCACCAGCAGGGGTGGCAGAACCCGCCTGTCACCACCATCTGCTGTTCCCCATTATCCTGAGCCCTCTCCACCCCGGGGACTGCTCAGTGGCCCGTTGTTGGCTTCATCCCTCAGGATGGGGACCCTACAGTGCCAGCACTGCCCATGATGGGCGGGGCTTGTCAGTCTTGATTGCAGCGTTATGGGATTCCCAACTGCAGCTGCCACAGCGAGAGGGCCTTGGCGTCACAGGCCAAGGGTGGAGGACAGGAGCCATGGGTCCACCTGGCTCCCATGGAGGTTCACAAGGGGCCACTTCTGCCTCCTGCCCAGGGTGGCCTGGTAGCCCTGCTGGCGGCTCATGTGGAGATATCATTGTGGCGCTTCCCTGCACCCTGTCCCTTGGGGAAGGAGGAATGGTAGGCTGCTGATGCCTCACCGCTGGCAGGGCCTCCAAGGATGCTTCCATGGGCTTGAGAGGGCTCTCCACCAGGCCCAGTTCCCTACAGTGTCTGCCCAAGGGGCCCCTCCCACCCTGCAAAGTGTGCCAGAGCCCAGGATGAGCAGTCCTGCCCTGCGAAGGGCCAGTCAGACACACCTGAAGGGGTCCTGACCCTGGGCACAGCCACTCTCTGACCTCTGACCCCTGACCCCAGTCACAGACAGCCTGGCCTGACCTGCCAGCCTGATAAAGATGACAAGGAGGAAATTGTCCCTGTGCCCTGTCTCCTCTGAGGGTTGTGGAGTGTTGGCCCTGAGCTCGGGACCCCCATCCCTGGTGTCCCCCCAAGAGGATCCCTGGGTCCTGCTGAGAAGAGTCTCCCTGGGGGAGGAGTCAGGGAGGCTGGCGTGGGCTGTGACCCCTCCCCAGGCAGTTCCCCGCTGTTTGCTGGGGGACCGTCTCTGAGATTTCTCTGAGAACAAGCCTGAGAGTGCAAGGCTGGAGCCCCAGGCCCTCAGAGGTGGGCATGAGGCCTGGCACTGGTGCGGTGACTCAGCCACCCTCGCCTGCTCAGGAAATCTGAGCCTCCTCTGGCTCCAGCCCTGCCCAATCTGGGCTGCCTCCAGGCCACCCCCACACAAAAATGACATTGCATCCACCCCCACCTTCCACAAGCCCGGTGAAACCCTGCCTGCCAGGAGCCAGTCCTGGTCCAGAGAGGTGCAAGAGGCTGGTGGCCAGAGACTCCTGTGCCTCTCTGGGCCTCAGTTTCCCCAGCTAAAACAGACACAACGATGTTCTAAAGGAGATAATTGCAGCCTGTGGGCTCAGCCCTGCAGCCGCAGGGAGGCTGCTCCAGAGTGAAGAAACCATCCTCTCCCAGAACTTTCAATGGCTCCCTGTTGCAGCACTCTGGTACCCATAGAGGCTGCTGAGACTCAGTGTAGAAGTCCCCTGCCCACTCCCAGCTTTGCTCCCCAGGAAATATTCTGATGGCCTCCTGTCCCTCTGCCCATCTGGGCTGCCTGCCTCCTGTTATACCTCCCTCTGCCCCTTCCAGGAAGCCTTCCCAGACGGCATCCCTCCCCAGCAGGCTGGGTCAGGACCCTAGGGCCCACCTACTCTCTCCTGTTGGTCTGCATTACAACCAGCCTGAGCTCGGGAAGGCCCAGCCCCTCCCTTGGGGAGCCTTCCCTGAGTCTCCGGTGTGCAGTACAACCCACTCAGCAGGGCCTCGGCACTCAGGCGGCTGGAAGGTTAAAGTGTGAGTATCAGCAGAAGCACACGGGATGGGAACAAGAGGAGATGGTGCTCTCGGCAGAGGAGACACTAACTAAATGGCCCCAACCGCTCCCCGACAACCCCCGCTGCCACCCCAGGCTGGCCACAAGGCCTCCTGGCTCTGAAGCTGTCTGGGGAGAGTGGCCCTCCAGCAGCCCTCTGGGATCAAGCCTGTTGATGAGCTCACGCTTCCTCCAGCACTGAGGTCCGGGTCCCACACGCTCTCCCCACCTGCTGGCCTGGGTCACGTCCAGGTCTTTCCCACACACCTGACCCCACATGCCACATGCCACCGGTGCATGGGTGCAAACAGAGGCCCAGATGCCAGGTGTGCAGGCTGTCGGTCATGGGTACACACAGACACAGCCAAACCCAGGACACATGCAAAACAGAGAGCCATGCAGGAACCCAGGCTTGCGTGGGCTGAAGCTACCATGCACATGCCCCCTCCCGGGAAGGAAATTGGGCTTTCGTGTGCTCCCACCTCCTGTCCCGCACACAGCACGCACAAGTGCCAGCCACCATCTCCTGGATGGTGCAGCTGAGACTCAGCCCCTCCGTGCCTCAGTTTCCCCCTCCTGCCCCCCACACAGCACACACAAGTGCCAGCCACCGTCTCCTGGATGGTGCAGCTGAGACTCAGCCCCTCTGTGCCTCAGTTTTCCCCTCCTGCCCCGCACACAGCACGCACAAGTGCCAGCCACCATCTCCTGGATGGTGCAGCTGAGACTCAGCCCCTCCGTGCCTCAGTTTCCCCCTCCTGCCCCGCACACAGCACACACAAGTGCCAGCCACTGTCTCCTGGATGGTGCAGCTGAGGCTTAGCCCCTCCGTGCCTCAGTTTCCCACCTCCTGCCCTGCACACGGCACACACAAGTGCCAGCCACCACCTCCTGGATGGTGCAGCTGAGGCTCAGCTCCTCGGTGCCTCAGTTTCCCCCTCTGTCTCCAGTGGGTGTGGGGACTCTGGTGCCCCAGGCCCCTCTGTGCCTCGGTTTCTTCTTCTGTCTCCAGTGGGTGTGGGGACTCTGGTGCCCCAGGCACCGTCCCTCAGGCTCTGAGCCTTGACTCCTCCTGGGGGCGGGGAAGGAGCCTGCCCCGCCCCCACCCTGCCTTTGCCCAAAAGGAGCCCCAAGCGCTGGCCTGACGTCAGGCCGTAGGAAGGCGAGGTCCGGGCTGCATGCAGAGCTGAGAGCTGAGGACTCCCATCTCCAGCCTGCCCGGGTGAAGCGCGGTAAGTTCCCCTGTGGGCTGGCCCCAGCCTCCCTCTCCCCAGCTTCCCTAGATAGGAGGCTCCTGAGCTGCTCCCTGCAGGGGTTCTCACCCCCAGCCAAGCAGGAGTGGGAAGGGCAGGGCAGAGAAACTGCCTCCAGATCCGGGCTGGGGAGAGCTCAGAGCAGGTCCTGCTGGACAGGGAGCCATTTCTCAGATGAGAAAACAGAGACCTGAGGGAGAACATGGGCGTGAGTTGGGCTGGCTGCATAAGGGGGAGCTGCGCTGCTAGGTGCCCACCCAACTCTGGATTTCATTCATTCACTCATTCATCCCTCCGTTCAACACTCACCGAGCATCTGCTGGGTGCCCAGAGCTGGGTCTTGGTTTCCCCACCTGGCAAGGCAGCAGGGTGGCCCACAGGCCAAGCCAGGGACAGAGTTGGGGGACCCCAGAGGCACTTGGCAGGCTCTGGGGCCTCAGCCACCACCACCCCGCAGCTGGGGCAGGGCCATGGTGAGGGCTTTGTGGGCATGGGCTCCAAGCGCCATGCTCCCTCTTCAGAGTGCCCGTCCTGCCATCCCACAGCTCAGGCCCTCTGCAGTAGCCTTGGTGCTGTCTCTACCCCTTAGGGGTGGGGAAACTGAGTCCCAGGGAAGGCTTGCTTGCCAGCCCTCAGTGTGGACCTAGAAGCTGGCTCCAGCCCCGCGAAGCTCGCACTGGGACTGCGCTGTGAGAAGGCGGCAGGACAGGGTCCCGAGGGGGCAGCGGGCTGGGAACTGGCCAGCAGCCAGGGTGCTGGCGGGGCAGACGTGGAGCAGCTGGCGACCTCGCAGGACGGGGAATGCACCCCGCAGGAGGCTGGGCCTGTCCACTTGCCCTGTCTTCTTCCTTCAACAGCTGGTCATCCTGGGTCTTCCCTCCCCTCTCCCCCCAGGACTCATCCAGTCGCTGGGCTCCAGGGCGGTCTGCTGAGTGGCCGTGGCAAGTCGCTGCCCCTCTCTGAGCCACACGGTGTGGGCCCATCAGCAAAGGCGGGGTCTGCGGCTGGAGAGCCGGGCGTGGGGGCCATGCAGTTTGGACCATTTCTGAGCAGCTCCTGGAGCCCACGGGGTGGCTTCATTGTCTTCTTGTTAAGTGGTATTAGCATCTCCTCTTTATAGATGAGGAAACTGAGGCTCAAGGAGATCAGAGGGGTATTCTAAAATCATCCACTCCATCACTCAGCAGTGACTCAGTGACTCAGAGGGGCCAGCCAAGGCCAGGGCCCCTGAGGCACTCCAGTTCAGTGAGGGAAGCACAGCGAACAGGAAAGCAGGGACATAGGGAACTGCGCGTGGCAGGGCACTGCGAAGGAAGCCAGGCGGTGCAGGCGTGCGGGGCTGTGGGCTCTGGAGGGCCTCCCTGAGGAGGGGCGTCAGGGCCCAAAGAACCTTAAGTTGATCCCCTCACCATACGTCCCAAAGCCCTCCCCACGCCCCCGGTGTCTCACAGAGCCCTGAACACAGACTCTCCTTCCCACCTCTGGCCCTTCATGCTCACTGTGCCCTTCCTGCTGCCGGGAGCGCTCTTCCCTCTGATTGTCCTGAGGCCCATCCCGGCCGTGACCAGCCACCTCCCACCCTACCCTGAGCTGTCAGCTCGGAAAGGTGGGGCCAGGTCTGCCTGGGACCCATTTGTGCCCGCAGTGCTGGGGTCTAAGTCCTGGTCTGACACCTCCAAACTGCACGGGGCTGTGTGGCCTGGGGCCTCTGATTCCCTCCACACACAGGGCTGGGTGCCGCAGAAGGCTGATCCCAGGCACTGGGACAAAGTGCCAGCAGGCAGATTGAGGCAGAGCTCAGCCCCTCCTGCACCCCAGCTGGGTGAGCCCGGACACATGACTTAGCCCCTCTGTATTGGTTCCCCACAGGCACAGTGGGGCCAGAAACACCCACCCAGGGGCATCTTGAGGGAAGTCAATAAGACCCTGGGAAGGATGAGCCCAGCGGGTGCCCTTCAGATTGTGGGATCATAGCTCTCCCCCTGGGGCAGGGGCATCCAGGGCACTAGGGCATCAGAGGGGCTCAGGGAGAGCTCTGTGGAACAATGACTGTGGGTGCCCGGAGCCTTCACCAGGTGGCACAGGGAGAGAAACAGCATTCCGGGCAGAAGGAACAGCACATGCAGAGGGAAGAGGCTGAGAGGACCAGGCTGAGGAGCTTCAGGCGGAAGGACCAGGCTGAGGCCAGGCAGGTGCACATGACAGAATGCCTGTCCCAGCAGCTCCTGGAGAGGCTGAGGTTGGGGAGGGGTTTCAGGAGCTGCTGCAGCTACGGCTATCCCAGCTAGAGGTGAGCAATGAACTCGGTGATGGGGAGGAAAGGAGGGGCTGGTGGGTGACACGCAGGACCTCCAACTGGCCATGCCCCTCCCAGAGACACCCAGCTAGAGGTGAGCAATGAACCCAATGATGGGGAGGCAGGGAGGGGCTGGCAGGTGACATGCAGGACCTCCAACTGGCTATGCCCCTCCCAGAGACACTGGTGTTTCCGTTAGAGCCGCAGTCTCAGCAAGAGGGCTCTTAGCTGGTGGAACTGAGGCAGAGTCGGGTCAGATGGGGCCCAGGTGTCCTTCCCCACAGAGCTCAGTCTGTGCCCACCAGTGACGTCTCTCTCTGCACTGGGGTGGAGGGAGCCCTGGCCTGTGGGCGTGGGGGACAGGGAGAAAGACTTGGCTTCTGGCCAGGGTCACCTGGGACTTGCTAGGTGACCTGGGGTGAGTCTGACCCCATTTGGAGAGCTCAGCAAGCACCCACCTGCCTCTTGGTGGAAGAAACGGAGGCTCAGACTTATCAAAAACAGCAGATGATATTCAAAAGCAGATGCTGTGAAACCAAGAATAATCATAAAAATAAACAGGCAGACAGTTCCCCGAATCATGGCTATTTTAGCCCTGGAAGGCCATGAGGGCCACGCCGTCTGGGGTGCAGGCTCAAGCACACACAGACCCGTGGTCACACATGCGGCCTCAGGGCCCGGAGAATCCCCTTGTGCACAAACTCCCGGTCCAGAGATGCCTAATCCAGCCCCTCTGCTCCCCAGCCCGCACTCTGCTCCACTCCGGCCTGTGCCGGGTCCTGCCAGTGGACCTGGGTCTGATTCCCAGCCCCACCAGCTCCATGCTGGGTAACCGTGAGGACACCACTCACCCCTCTGGGCCTCCGGTTCCTCATCTGTAAAACCTGGGATTGCTGTGTGGATGCAAAGCGCCCTTAGCAGGTGCTCAGAGCCCCTCTGTGGGGAAAAGGCTGGGCCCGTCCTCCACACGTCCACAGACAGCACACAGGGTCCTGAGCCAGACCCCCAGGCAGGCTCAACAGCCACCCTGGGCCATCTGCTGCCCTGGGGCCGGGGCCACTCTGCTGCCTGGTCTCACATGTGGCAGGACAGAGGCAGACAGGCTGCTGGGCAGCCAAGAGAGAACTCCCAGGTTGGTGGGGTGGGTTTGAGAGGAGCCCAGGGAAGAGAGGACATAGCCCTCCCCACCCACCGGCCAAGGACGGAGGCCGGCATGACCCTGGTGCCCCGCTGGAGGCCTCTGGGCAGGTGCCAGCACCCCAAGCCCAGGGGTCTGGCCTTCCATGGCCGGGTGCCCAGCAGAAATTCAACAAGCTGTGGGTGAGGGCAGGGAGGCAGCAGCCCCCATCAGTGCTCTGGGCATGGACTAGTGGTGTGGCCATTGGGATGGATGGAGCAGGAACCCCCAGGGAGGGGACAGGGTCAAATAGCTTCCATGCTCGATGCTCGCTCCCACCCCTTGGAAGTTCCCAGGACCGTGAGTTTCACAAAGGCTCTGAGAAGTCCTGCACTGAGCACACGTGTTGGCCCTGGCCTCTCCCCACGTGTGAGCGGGCTGGTCCACACAGGGCCCCATCCAGGTGCCAAAACCAGGAGCCTCCCGTGCTCTTATATCGCACGCCTCCCATGTTGGGGGTGTCTGCAGTATTTCTCACTTAGTCCAGCCACCCTGCCTGATTTCATTCATTCATTCAACAAATATGGTTCCCAAAGTCCCAGGTGAGGGAACTGAGGCTCCCAGTGATGAAATGATTTGCCCGAGGCCTCGAAGGTGGCGGGTGGTAGAGCTGGCCTGCAAACCAAAGACCATTGCTATCAAGAGTGGTGATGGGGCCGGGCGCAGTAGCTCACGCCTGTAATCCCAGTAGTTTGGGAGGCCAAGGTGGGCAAACCACTTGAGGCCAGGAGTTTGAGACTACCTTGGCCAACATGGTGAAACCCCATCTGTACCAAAAATACAAAAATTACCCAGGTGTGGCACGGGCACCTGTAATCCCAGCTACTCCAGAGGCTGAGGCATGAGACTCACTTGAACCCAGGAAGTGGAGGTTGCAGTGAGCCGACATTTCGCCACAGCACTCCGTCTCAAAAAAAAAAAAGAAAGAAAGAAAGAGTGGTGATGGGAGATAGAGGGTGGGAAGGAATGTAAGTGTGGACACAATGGTCAGAGTGATTAGGACGGGCTTCCGGGAGGAGGTGTCAGCCTTGCTCGGCTGGGAGGACTCATGGGTAGTGACGATGGGGCTGGGGGTGGAAGCCAATTCCAGACCAGTACCAAGACACTGGGTAGGCAGGTTTCAGAGGGGGCCAGGCCAGGTGGCATTCACCCTGAATGCCAGGTTGAGAAACCAGGCCACACCTTGCCAGCCCTGATGAGGCTTGCTCAGGGCGTTCATTCAGACAAGGGGGAAGACGGGTGCTGCTCTCTGCCAGGCCAATCTGGGTGCTGGGCTGGTGGAACAGATGGGAGCTCAGCCCCCACCCACAGCCCCGCCTCAAGATGCTCAGAGTCCAACAGGGAAGCCTGCAGCACATAGCAGCGCCGTGGGATGAACCCTGGGATTGAGGAAGCGCAGGGTGCCCTGGGAGGATGCACCAGAGAGAGGCAGCCCAGGGAGGAAGAAGGCTTCCTTAAGGAGGCAAGTCCAGGGGGAAGTCCTAAAAATGGGCATGAATAAGCCGAAAGGGAGAGAGCAGGAACAGCTTGGGGTTGGGCCTGGAGGGCGCATGGAGTGTTTAGGCCCCGCTAGTAGTTTCGCCTGCAGAAGCATCAGTCAGGTGCAGTGACTGGAGAGGCACATCCCCAGCCCTGCCCAGCAGTCCAGGCCTCAGGCCCCTCCCAGGGAGAACCCCCAACCCAGCGGCAGCCCCGCCTAGGACGGCTGTTTTGTGATGTGATACCTACGGGGAGGGCATGAGGGACATCCTCCTTCACCCTCTGCCCCCTCCCCTGGAGGAGCTCAGCGAAGCCTTGAAAGGCCGGGGCTCTGGGAGGTGTGCCCACCTGGAGGGGTGGGGGCTCTGGGGGTCTGCCCACCCGGAAGGGTGGGCCAGAAACAGAAAAGAAAGAGATGCCGCAGCACACCTGCCCCTGCCCCGCCACACCTGCAGCAGGTGCTCTGTTCAGCCAAGGCCCAAGACAGCCATGCAGGGCAGCGTGTCCGGCCATTCCCACTTCACAGGAGGAGACACTGAGGCTCAGAGAGGACCCACCCAGGTCAGAGCCCTCCCTCCAGGCTGGCGGGGGCAGTGAGTAGTGTGGGAGCTGGACCTGGTCTAGGCTGCACACCCAGGTTGGAGCAGAGCTCGCCCCCTCGCCCTCTGGGTCCCCCGCTGGCAGCTTGTCCCATACTTTCATCACTTCCTGTGTCTGAGCCCCTACTCTGGGCTGGCACATCAGGACAAGAACCCCCAGGGGAGATTCTATTTTGCCCACTCTACAGATGAGGAAACTGAGGCTCAGAGACTGTAAGGCCACATAGTCCGTTCAGAGATGGAGCCAGGCTTTGGCAGGGCCATCCAGGCCAGAGCCAGGGCTCCATGGCCACACTCCAGGTCCCTACCCTGCTGGGTCTCCACTCACTGACTCTCAGCCCTGGAGAGCAGGCCCTCGTTCCCTCTGTTCTGTCCCCAAGGAAGTACCTGTGTGTGGGTGGGGAGCAGAGCTGGCCTGGGCCAGTGGAAAAGAGAAACCTCCCAGCCCTGGCACAGCCTCCAGGCCCTGAGCCCCAACACCATGTCAGCACGATCAGGACACGGTGCCAGTCCCTGCCCATGAGACTCTGGCCAGTTGGCCCCCGCCATGGAGTCTGCTGTCTCAGACAGACCCAGGGTGCCTGCCAGGAAAGAGGGAGGAGACAGGACCATCTCCCCCACACCCAGGTTTGGCTTAGGGAAACTAGGCTTGGGGACAGGGCCCTGCCTCCCCTCTCCGGCCGGCTCTGAGGGTAAAACCATGCCTCTCCCCTCAGTCCAGGCTACCAGGGCGAGGCAGAGCTGTGGAAGGCACGAGTGACCCCATTCAGCAGATGAGGACGGCCAGCCTACTGACCAGGCCCAGGTCTCAGCTGAGGGAGTGGCAGGGCTGGACTCAAACCCGGGTCTCTGTGCTGGTGACTGCTCATCACCCGGGCCCTCCGGAGAGCAGAGTCTGTGCCTCTCCCACAGGCAGAGCCAGGCTGTCCCAGGAGGGGCGGAACCTTCTCCTTTCCCCAGGCACTCGCCAGGGAGCCACTTCCATGGGCCCCTGCAGGGTCTAGAGTCCCCGCTTGCATTCCTCCTCCTTCTGAACAAAGAGGGTGGTGAGTGGGAGCCCCAGAGAGGCCCCGTAATAATCGAATCGGGACATCCGTCGCTGTGGGAGGCAGGTGGGGGTTGACAATATGGAGACAGAGACAGCCAGACGAAGCTGGGAGAGGAGGGCAGAGACAGGGACAGAAGGTCCGGGCTGAGGGCCCAGGTCGTGGCTGGGATCAGGGCTCAGAGCGCCACAGGAATCAACGCCCATTGTGCTATTAGGATTGGGGTCAGTGTGTGACCAGGGTCAGGGCTCAGAGTGGGACAGGGATCGAGGTTCATCACATTACTGGGATCATGGCTCAGTGTGTGACCAAGATGAGGGTTCAGCTTTGTTTGAGATCAGGGTCAGACCCTTAGTGCGGGGAATCAGAGCATGCTTTGCTAGCTCCCTCTCCTCTCCGGTCTGGCCTCTGGGGTGTCCAGCACATTCTGCCCATCCCCCCAGCTCCAGAGACCGCAGAGCCCCCACATCCCTAGCCAGGACCCCAGCACCGCAGCGTTGCTGGTGAGCCTGCTGGGCTGGCCCTGGGGAGTTTTCTGGGACAGCAGAATTCCCAGGGGCCAGCATCACCCTGGGACTCACTCCCACAGGAAACGTTCTGTGTTGTTTATGATTTGTCTCTGATTGGGACACTAATATAGGCCCCGTGCAGACAAATTGGAAAAGCAAAAGGCACATAGAAAGGAATCCCAAAATACTTTTTTGGCCATGCAGTCCCTCAGTCCAGCTGCAAAGCCGCCTCGACCTTTTCTGAGAGCGTTTCATCCACAGCAGGGGAGGGACGCATCTCTTTCGGGGGGACCTTCTGGGGCTCCTGAAGCCCACAGCCCTGAGACGCCAGGTTCCCAGCCCCCATGTGCCCAGCCTCCTCTCCTCCCCTGGCTGCCTGCTGTGCCCCCAAATCCCGTCTCTGGTGGCACACCTGGGCTGAGGGAGGACAGACCTATTCATCCAACAAATGCACCCATCAATGCCCGCGTGTCAGGGCCTGGAGATAGAGAGCTTGCTTGCAGTCGGGGGGAGCTGGGAGCTGAGCCTGGGCCCTTGTGTGGTGGGGGTGGCAGGAGGGGCTGGGCACAGGCCTGGGCAGCACTTGACTCCTCCCAGCAGCCTCCAGGGTAGCACGCACCCAGGGCTGGGGTCCCAGAGGCAGAGGGCATGCTGGGTGACCTCATGCAGGCACTGACCTCTCTGACTCTGAGGAAGAAGGTGGCCGCCGACTGGAGGGACCTGGCCCTCTGAAAGCAAGAGTTCTTTTGCTGCCCTGAGCCAGGCCAGGGGCTGTTTGAAGGCAGGGCTCATTGTTCCCCAGGGGTGGGATGGGGCCACGCACTGGTCAGAGGGAGTGGCGGGGCACAGCCTGTTTACAGCAGGGGCCACCAGGAGGGGAAGGGGTAAGTGTCCTCCCTTCTCCAGCAGGTGGGGGAGGGGCGCTGTGCAGAAGAAACGGCCCACGAGCCTCCCCACCCTGCTGGCCCCAAAGACTTCTCCTTTCTCCTGAAAAAGCCAGAAATGCCCTTATTTGGAGGGTCAGCCCAGCTGTAGGGTGGGGGTAGGGCCGTTAACCCTTCATTTATAAATAGAGGGATAAATCACTGCCGAGTTAAACACGCCAGGGCAGGAACATAAACAGAGTGGGTGGCTCCGGCACAGCCCCTCGCCCGCCCCCCACCCTGGCCCCCCTGCCCAGGCCAGACGGGAGCTCGGTGTTTATTTGACTCACACTCTGGCTCCAGGCTTCAGCCCCAACCAGCCACCCCACAGGGGCCTCTGTCTCCTTTTCTGTAGTTTGGGGGGATCATAGGGGTGCCCGCCTCTCAGGGCCAGTAGGAGCCTGGGGTGCCCAGTGAGACTGGTCCTTGGCTCCCATGCAGCCCCACTGGACAGCCTAATTCCCTTTGTAAAGGTCCCTCATGAGGACCCCCATCCAGGGCATTGACCTGATGCTGGCCTAGGAGGAGGGGAGAACAGATGGGTGGTCCCGGAGGATGGGGGCCATGACGGTGGGTGTGGGGACAGGGGAGTGGGCAGGGCAGTCAGAGGTCCCCACCATGAACAAGGCTCTGTCCCAGCAGAACTGGGTCATCAGCCACCAACTCTGCTGGCGCTGCCGTGCTGACCCGCTTGCTTAGTCACCCCAGCAGCAACGCGATCCCAGTGACATGGATTAGGAAGCAGGTAGAGAGGTTAAGTGGCCTACCCGAGCAAGCACACTAGTCAGTGGCACAGCTGGGGCTGGAGCCAGGCCCTGGAACTGCACACTGGAGCCCCGTGGTCTTGCCCTTATCAGCTCTCCATCCCGAGGACAGCCCTGCACCGCACGTGTTTCCGCCTCCCCCTCGTGCCAGGACGGTCGCAGAAACCTCCGTATTTTGTCGAGTCTCCACGCTGGCAAGTGCCAGTCCTGGAATTTGAACACGCGTCTGACTCTGAAAGCCTGTGCCTTTTCTGCTGCTGTCCGAGGCTCCCTCTGGGTAGAGCCAAGGGAGCAGGCATTTGAGGCCCCAGCCAGGCGAGGGCATGGAGAAGGGGGATGCTGGGCGTGCAGGGGCAGACGGGCCAGCTGAGTTCTGGGCCTCAGGGCAGGGCTTAAGGCCAGGCTGGCGCCTGGGGTGACCTGGTCTCCTTGCTTCCAGGCCTGGGGTGTGCTGGCTGCCGTCATGCCCTCTGTGTCTCCAGCGGGGCCCTCGGCCGGGGCAGTCCCCAATGCCACCGCAGTGACAACAGTGCGGACCAATGCCAGCGGGCTGGAGGTGCCCCTGTTCCACCTGTTTGCCCGGCTGGACGAGGAGCTGCATGGCACCTTCCCAGGCCTGTGGCTGGCGCTGATGGCGGTGCACGGAGCCATCTTCCTGGCAGGGCTGGTGCTCAACGGGCTGGCGCTGTACGTCTTCTGCTGCCGCACCCGGGCCAAGACACCCTCAGTCATCTACACCATCAACCTGGTGGTGACCGATCTACTGGTAGGGCTGTCCCTGCCCACGCGCTTCGCTGTGTACTACGGCGCCAGGGGCTGCCTGCGCTGTGCCTTCCCGCACGTCCTCGGTTACTTCCTCAACATGCACTGCTCCATCCTCTTCCTCACCTGCATCTGCGTGGACCGCTACCTGGCCATCGTGCGGCCCGAAGGCTCCCGCCGCTGCCGCCAGCCTGCCTGTGCCAGGGCCGTGTGCGCCTTCGTGTGGCTGGCCGCCGGTGCCGTCACCCTGTCGGTGCTGGGCGTGACAGGCAGCCGGCCCTGCTGCCGTGTCTTTGCGCTGACTGTCCTGGAGTTCCTGCTGCCCCTGCTGGTCATCAGCGTGTTTACCGGCCGCATCATGTGTGCACTGTCGCGGCCGGGTCTGCTCCACCAGGGTCGCCAGCGCCGCGTGCGGGCCATGCAGCTCCTGCTCACGGTGCTCATCATCTTTCTCGTCTGCTTCACGCCCTTCCACGCCCGCCAAGTGGCCGTGGCGCTGTGGCCCGACATGCCACACCACACGAGCCTCGTGGTCTACCACGTGGCCGTGACCCTCAGCAGCCTCAACAGCTGCATGGACCCCATCGTCTACTGCTTCGTCACCAGTGGCTTCCAGGCCACCGTCCGAGGCCTCTTCGGCCAGCACGGAGAGCGTGAGCCCAGCAGCGGTGACGTGGTCAGCATGCACAGGAGCTCCAAGGGCTCAGGCCGTCATCACATCCTCAGTGCCGGCCCTCACGCCCTCACCCAGGCCCTGGCTAATGGGCCCGAGGCTTAGTCAGCAGGGCTCTGCCAGGGGCCGAAGGTCAGGACTCATCTGGGCATGCCAGCGTGGACACCCACCATGCCAGGGGTGGCAATCGGTTCCATCTCGATTGATTGGTGATGGCTACCCAGAGCACCGCATTGAGCGTCTAAGGCCACTGTGCTGTGGTTGATTAGCAATGTCTGCCACTGGCTCCGATGGGATGTGGTGGCCTGAATGCCGGTGATTTGCTGTTCCTGGGGTATAGCACGTCCACTGAAAACTCACAGGGGTAGCCGGGAGCTGCTCCTCACTTTGGCCAGTTTGTCTCCAGAAGGAGTTCCTCAGAAAAAAGGGCACAGTGGATTCCATTGATTAGAAGGATGAGATGAAAAAGAAAAAAGAAAAAAGGACAAAGATTATTTAGGTGCTGGGAATTCCCAAGAGAGTTAAGAAACAACCTGAATTCCCGAGAGAGCTAACAACAACAATGCTCCCTCCAACACACACACAGGAGGAAGGACAAGGACAGAAAGAAAAGGCCAGGGAGCATTCGTGTTGCATTAATGGAGGTGGGGGGGGGTGCATGTCTCTGCAAGACCCCCCCACCTGAGGCCTCCGTGAATTGCACGATAAAACGGCAGACACCCACAGGCCGCTCTGCTGTGAGCAAGCACTGTGATATCTAGGTTGACACTTGAACCCACAACAACCCACAAAGGAGACGCTACTTTTCATCCATTTCTTGGTGCTGGAGGGGTCAAGTGACACACACAGGGGCCACAGCTGGGAAATGGCAGGGTCAGAATGAAAACCAGCCCCACCTCCTCCAGTGCCCTTGCACCTCCTTCCACAGAGAGTGCACGATCATCCCAAAGCCCCCACTCTAGGAATGGCCTCAGAATGGCTCACCTGCTGCCCCAGGTAGAGGCAGTGTTCACAGCCCCATCCTATGGATAAGAAAACCAAGAACAAAGTCACGCAGCAGTGAACCCAGGCATGCCGGGTTGTGGCCACCATCTCCCCATGCAAACAGCCATTTTCCTCCCCCCGGGGGCAGAGAGGACGTGACCAGCTGCTCTGGCCCAGCTCACTATGAGTCCCCATGCCTTCACTAGGGAGGGAGCTTTTCTCTGGCTGGGGCCTCTGATCATCTCCTCAGAGCTGGACTCCAGGATTTCCTCCCACGTGCCTTCTGCCGAGCGTCCAAGCTCCCAGCCCTTTCAGGACTGGTAATGGGGAAGGGAGCCTGTGGTGAGGAAGAGGAGTGTGGGGCATCCCTGGCACTTCCGGCTCTGAGGCCCTGCCATCAGACCTGGCCATAGCCACTGAAGCAGGCGAGATGGGCTCAGGTCCTCAGGCCAGGCCTTTGGCTACAGAGAAGTCCTACACACTCAGGGTGACCGTGGCCTGTGTGGCTGGGAGCAGGAGGGGGAGGAGGAGGAAAAGGCCGGGGCTCCCCGATTCAGCTCGAGGCAGAGTCTCCTGACCCCAGTTTAGGGTCCTGGACTTTATATCCCCATGTTACAAATGAAGAAACTGAGGCTCAGAGGGAGAAAGGGGCTTGCCAAGGTCATAGAGTGAGTGCCTGAGTCATCCAAGGCCAGTATTGTCCTCACCAACCCCAGCTGTGGCCATGTGGAGCAGCTGGGGTGGGGGGCACCGGCCCAGAGGAGTCAGAGGCGTGCCCCGCAAGGTGGTGGAACTGGGAGTGCTGCCAGGGTTACTTCCTCCCTGGGTCCGGATGCCCGAGAAGCAGTGGGTATCACCATGGCCGCCAGCATTCTTGATACTTACCAGGCACCAGGCACAATTCTGGAACCTTCCCCCAGCCCCCAGCTCTCGGGTGCTGCTCAGAGAGGGGCCGTGGCTTACCAGGGATGCAGGGTTCCACAAGGCAGAGGGGCCCAGCGTTCAGGAAAGGACGTGGCTGGGGGACAGGGCTGTGCATGCAGAAAAACCCCGCTGACCACAGGTGCAGCATTCACGGCGACTTTCAGGCAAGCAGGCACCAACAGCCAGCGAGCCATCATTCCCAGGGCTGCGAGCTGGCACCCACGTGGTCACATGCCTAGAGCTGAGGAGTGAGGGGTCAGGGCTCAGGTGTCCTGCCCAGCCCAAGCCATGAGCTTCTTCCAGGCTCATGTGGCCCAGCAGTCCCTGAATGGCCTTGCTTACCTGGGACCCCTCCACCCACGCTCACAAGTCATCCAGGGCCAGGGACTCTGGACTCCATTCCTCCAGGAGCTGTGGATCCTCTTGCTCCATCTTAGGGGGCGCCCCAAGCCCCAGAGACTACCTGCCGGCTCCCACTCCCGCCCCTCAAGCAAGCTCTGCACGTGGCCTAGAGTATGACACCCCTCTGCCCTTGGTCCCGCACTGTACTGTGAAGACCTCTCCAGCCCAGGGCTGCAAGGAGGCAGGGGCCAGCGGGAAGGAGTGCTAAGATGAGGGGGAATGGCCTGGGCAAAGGTAAGGCCAAGCGCCCGCCTCGCTGGGGCCAGTGAAGGGCCTTCCATGCAGCTTCCCAGCCCCTCCCCTCCCCTACCAGTCTTCCCGGCCCCTTCCCCGCCAGTCTTCCCTGCCCCTCCTCCACCGGTGTTACGTGCCCCTCGGGCCTTTGGCCTCCCCATCAATGACCCCCAGCCTGGCTCCATTCCTGGTTGTCACTCTAATTCACGCTAAAGAGTGAATGGCTGACACTTGAGGATTGCTGTGCTTGAAGAGGCAGGGCTTGCAATTTTTCTGGAACAATCCCTTTCTTCAGGAGGAGGGGTCTCTAAGGCAGGTGAGCCAGGTCCCCTCCTTGTCCCCACATCTGAAATCCAATCATTCAACTTGGGTTCCTCGGGCCTCAGAGGCTTCTCAGACTGTAAGAGGCCGGGAGGGGAAGGACATCCTGTCCGAAGCGGCAAGTGCGTCCACTACCACTCATGCTGGAGAGGACAGGCCGCCTGTCTTCTGTGGCCAGGGACACAGGCTTGGGGCCCACCCTCAGACCTCTGAGAACTGCCTGCCAGCCCCCGATGCAGAACCCTTGATAGGCAAGCCTCAGTTTCTCCACACCCCACTCCTCTTTCTCCTCTCCTCAGCCTTACAGCTGGAGGGCAGGGGGCTGGGGAAGGGGGTCACCCCAATGCCCTGGACTGGGCCCCACAGCTCCCCCGGCTGCTTGCTTCCTTCTCCTGACGGCCGGCTCCTTCCCACTTCAGCCTCCTCTGTGGGCACCGAGGCCCAGGAGCTTCAAAAGTCAGACCAAGACTGTCCTTGGTCCCACAGGGGCAGAGGTGAGATCTGTGCGTGCCCCCTCTCCACACTCACGGGGACAGGGCGTGAGATCTTTGCGCCCCCTCCCCATGATCTCCCTTTCCAGATTTTCAAAACGCCCAAGTGACGTGAAATGGTGTGTGTATTTATATCCGACGTAAACAATCTCCTTCACGAGATGTCCTCGTCTGGAATTAAAGCTGTTTATTCTATTCTTGCCCACGACTCTGGTCCTGGGCTGGTGGGGGACATGGAGCTGGCGGAGGGTATGGAGCAGGGTGGCAGCCCTACGCACGCCCCAACTCTGTGTCCTGCGGACCAGCAGGGCTCCACAGGGAGGCAGCGGCAGTGGTTTTGTGGTTTTGTCATCCCTGCTGGGAGGCAGATTTAGGGGCCTTGAGCCCTGCCCAGCTCTGATGGGCAGGGGATGGAGGGGGCACAAGTGGCTGACTTGCCAGCAGGGTGTGGGCACAGCAGCTGGGTGGGGGGCATGGACCAGCAGAACAAGGCGCTCCATCCCTGATCCCGAACCTGCCTACCCAGGGCAAGGACGTGGAGGTGGGCGAGGCAGCCAGACCACCCACAGCCACTGAGTCCTATCATATCAGCAGAGATATGGCCTAGAGGGAGAGGGAGGGGATAGGACAGCTGGTCCAACACACCAGGGAGAGGGAGCACTGGCCTCCCTGTGGGCCTACTAAGTGCCACTGAGTGGCCCCTTCACTGAACCTGGGAGGGTGAGATGACCACCTCCATTCCTAGAGGAGAAACTTAGGCTTTGGGGGTGGTCAGGGAGGGGGCTCAAACCAGGGCCCCCAGGTGCCCAGTTCTCGGTCTCTGGTCTGGCCCAGCAGAGCTCTGGGTGGGGAGGCGCTGTCTGGGGGCTCATCACTCCCACAGTCTGGCACCCGCGGCAGCCGGAGGCGTCTGGATGTAAATATTAGGGCCTGTTTAGATTAAAGCTCCATTAATAGCAGGAAATGTCGCCTGGGTGCCTGCCCCAGCTTCCTGGAGGCCTGAAGGCATGGAGCGGGGTGGGGGTGCACTATCTGCGCTGGAGACCCCCACCGTGTGCCCTATTGGAGCTGGACACCCCCTATCTCCACACCCGCACACCCTGCTTGCCACCTGGCTTAGCAGTTCTGACTCCAGCCTCCCTGCCTCTTCACACACAGCCCCTCCTCTCTCCTTCAGGGCCTCTGCAGCCCAGCGCTCTGTGCTCCCCACCCCTCACGGGATGAGAGGGGACCCACGTGGCCACATCCGCCCACCCTCCAGAGCTGGGCCCCCACCCGAAGGGGTCTGTGCACCCAATTCACAGCGGAGAAAACTGAGGCTTAGAGACATCATGGGACCAACCCAGCGTTCCCAGGCGCCACCTCAAAAAGGAGCTGGAATTCCCCTCCCAGCCCTGCCTGACTCCAGGGTCAAGGCCACCCCCTACATCCTGACCCCCCACCAGAAAGCTGTGGGCCAGGGAGAGGGGGCAGTCAAGCTCAGCGTCTGCAGAACGTCTCTGGCTGTGGAGGGGCGGGCCCAGGTGCAGGAGGGAGTGGAGGGGTGAGTAGGAAAGGTGGGAGGAGATAGAGGGGCCGAGGGGAGGGGCTGCGGCTGGAGGGCCAGGACAGGCCTGGGGAAGTGGCTCCGCCCATGAGACCACACTCTCCTGCTCCCAGTCCTGTCCCCTGCCATTCCCTCCCCCTGGATGGTCCCTCACCCCATCTCCTCGGACCACCTGCTCCATGACTCCTGGCCCCCGCCCCACTGGCCCAGCAGCCTGTGCCCAGCCCCAGCCAGGGCCTTCCGCTTGTCAAGTCCCACCCCCTCCTCTGCCCCTACTCTTCCTGGGGCTGCCTCTTGAAACTGATTCCTCCCCACCCCCACCCCAGGACAGGCCACAAGGCCCAGCCTCACCCTCCAGACTGGACCCTGCCCCACCTTTCCTCGGCCTCACTGAGCCCTCAAGGACTCAGCACGGATGACCCCTTCACCATCCCTCGGCTAGTTCTGGGCCTCCAGGTGTGTCTACCTAACTCTCCCCTGCAGCACCTCTCCAGAACTCAGCTGGAGCTGAGGCCAGGCCCCCTGCAGAGCCCTGGGGAGTCCTGTGCTCTCGTGGCTCAGCTGCAGGGGTGCTCAGATCCTACCCCCACGTGGCCAGCCCCAGGGAGAACAGTCACGTGTTGGGCACAGGACGGGGTCACCCAGGAGGGCTCCAATGAGGAAGAGGTGCTCGACGTCATTCCCTCCTGGTCCTCTCTTTGCCCACCTGGGCCAGGAGGGACTTCTTCCAGATGACTCCCAGCTGGGCCTCTCCTGGAGGGTGTGGTGCTGGGAGCGCCAAGTGCCGCGCAGACCTGGACAGGCTGGCAGGGCCAGGGGTGTCGCACCCCCGTTTTACAGATGAGCTCACCTGCTGCAACCACACACCCTCCTGCCTAGTCCAGCTCGGCCCCTGATTCGCTGATTCCAGGTCACCTCTGAGCCTGGGCTTTGCCCCTGTAGGTGGGAGCCTAACACCAAACCGCAGGTGCCCCTCACACCCGCCCAAGGGAGGCAGCGGAGGCCTGGCTGCTCAGGGGTCCCCCGAGACCTCAGCCATGTCCCTGCCCCTCTCTGGGCCTCAGTTTCCCCATCTGTAATCCAGAGCTTAGAACAAATGGTTCCCTAGCCCTGGTGTGCGAGGCACCCACCCAGTGCCTCTGGGCCCTGCCCACCTCCTCTGCTGCCCCGGCCCTCAGCACAGCCTCTGCCTATCACGCCTGCATGGGGACGCCCTCACAAGTTGACGCCAAGGGCTGACGTGGGAAAAGCTCTTGTGTTTATAAGCCAGCCCCAGGCTCTGAGTCTGTCCTTCTCCTACAGCCCCCCAGCTTCCCAGGGCACCAGCGTGGGAGTCCTGGACAGAGAGGGGAACTCGCCCGGCACCACAACCCAGGGAGGCCTCGGGACACTCTGCTGAGATGGAGTGGGGGTGGGGCATGAACCTGGGGGGAGGAGTGGGCCAGGTGGGCTGTCACTTGTCCTGCACTGGAACATCAGGGACCCGGGTGCCTCCCTGGCGTGTCACAGCATCGAGGGGCCCCTGGGTGTCCAGCGTGCTGTCTGACCACCCGGTGAGAGCTGCCCTTCGGACTACCACTTGACCCCAAGGGCCAGTCGGGAAATGCCACATCATCTATGTGCTCACTATTTCAATGACATTATAGCATCACTGGGTTTTGGGAATCCTCGGTGTTTTACATAATGGGAGTCCACAGGCATCTTCAGCCACCAAGAGTTCCTGGGGGAACAGGCACTGACCATCTGAACCTGGTGTGCCTGGGTGGGGCTCCCAGGGGACTGGGAGGGCTGGGGCCACCACTCTCCTGGTACCTGCCCTACTGTCCATGAGAGGCTCATCCCCTCCCAAATGCATTGCACATTTTACAAACTATTCTGCTTGGAAACTCAGCAAATGAGCTACCTGTGGGGGAAGGGGGCAGCACGGGGGCCCAACACCCATCAGACTTCACATCGGGGCCAGCCTGGGGGCTGAAGGACATCGGATCCCCTGTGTACTGCAGGCATCCAGGCGGTACCAGTGGCCTGGGGTCAGGGTCCTCCACTCACCCCCACGGGTGCCCCTCTTAGTGGCCTGGTGGGGGTGCAGGGTTGAGGTCCAGGAGTCTGAATCCCCCACCTCAACCATCCTCTCCAGAACAAAGCTATGGAAGGGTTTTGGGGAGCTCCCAGAACCCTAACTCGGGAGATCACAGAGAGGCTGCCACAGCCCAACCCAGAGCAGGCCCTCCAGAATACAGCCCAGGTAACAGGATGGCCCAGCCGCCAGGCCCCTGTATCACACTAGCCCCTCAGCAAGTTACGTGTCTTTCCTAAGCCTCAGTTTCCTCCTCTGTCAAGGGGAGATTGCGGACACCCTCTGCCTTAAGGCAAGGTTGCGAGAATTAAGTGAGTGTGTGTGGATCTGTGTGTAGGCACATGTTATGCATGCCTGCGTGTCTGTGTGTCTACATGTACGCAGGCATTCATGTGTACATGCAGGAATGTGTGTGTGTGTGTGTGTGTGTGTGTGTGTGTGTGTCTCAGTCTACTTTCTGTTGCTATAACCACATGTGCAGAACACCACAAACTGGCTAATTCCTAATGACTAGGAATTAATTGGCTCAACAAATTCTGGAGGCTGGGAAGTCCAAGATGGAGGGGCCCCATGTGGTGAAGGCGAGACAGATAGAGAGACAGACAGAGACAGAGAGTGTGCCAAACTTGTCCTTTCCCAAGGAACCCACTCCCAGGATGATGAACCATTCCCTGCTTTTACCTTTTGTTGCTTTGGGGGAAAAAGAACCATTCCTGAGATAACGTATTAATCCATTCATGAGGGTGGTGCCCGCATGACTCAAACACCTCCCAGTGGCCCCTCATCCCAACACTGTCACACTGGTGATCGAGTTTCTGACATGTGAACCTAGGGGCACCCGTGCAAACTGCAGCAGTGTGCATGTGTGAGTGTGTGTGTCCATGTACCTATGTACAGTCATGCGTCACTCACTGACAAGACACATTCTGAGAAATGCATCATTAGACCATTTCCTCATTAGGGGACCGTCACAGACTGTCCTTACACAAACCCAGATGGAATGGCCTCCAGCACCCCTCGGCTCTACACCGTAGCCTTTGCTCCTAGGCTGCAAACCTGTACCGCGTGTTACTGTACTGAGTCCTGTGGGCGACTGTAACACGGTGATAAGTATGTGTGCAACTAAACAAATCCACACATAGAAAAGGTAACGCACTGTGCCACAGTGTTACGATGGCTGGGACATCACTGGGCAACAGCCATTTTTCAGCTATTTGGAATCTGACAGGACCACTGTCATATACGCAGCCCATCACTGACTGAAACGATGTTATGTGGAGCATGGTTGTATATGTGTCTGCGTATCTGTGTGTATGTACGTGTATATGTATGCGAGTCTGTGTGTACATTGTGTATGTATGTGCATGTGTATGTATGTGTATATGCATGTGAGTCTGTGTGTGTGTTTGTGAGTCTGTGTATGTATTGTATATGTGATGTGTGTATGTGCGTGTGTGTACGTACGTGTGTGTACGTGAGTCGCTGTGTGTGTCTGTGTATGCACGTGTGTGTATGTTTGTGTTTGTATGTATACGTACATGTGTGTATGTGTGTATGTGAGTCTGTATATGTGTGTGTACATGTATTTACATTTGTGAGTGTGTGTATGTACCTATGTATATGTATATGTGCATGAGTCTGTGTGTACATGAGTCTGTGTGTGTGTGTGAGTCTGTGTGTGTCTGTGTGTGTCTGTGTGTGTGTCTGTGTGTGTATGTGAATCTGTGTGTGTCTATGTGTATGTGAGTCTGTATGTGTGTGTATGAGTGTGTGTGTATGTGAGTCTGTGTGTGTATTTGAGTCTGTGTGTGTCTGTGTGTATGTGAGTCTCTGTGTATGTGAGTCTGTGTATATGTGAGTCTGTATGTGTGTGTGTCTGTGTGTATGTAAGTCTGTGTGTGTCTGTGTATGTGAGTGTGTGTGTGTATGTGAGTCTGTGTGTGTATGTATATGTGTGTGTATGTGAGTCTGTGTGTGTGTGTGAGTCTGTGTGTGTCTGTGTGTGTGTGTCTGTGTGTGTATGTGAATCTGTGTGTGTCTATGTGTATGTGAGTCTGTATGTGTGTGTATGAGTGTGTGTGTATGTGAGTCTGTGTGTGTATTTGAGTCTGTGTGTGTCTGTGAGTATGTGAGTCTGTGTATTTGAGTGTGTGTGTGTCTGTGTGTATGTGAGTCTCTGTGTATGTGAGTCTGTGTATATGTGAGTCTGTATGTGTGTGTGTGTCTGTGTGTATGTAAGTCTGTGTGTGTCTGTGTATGTGAGTCTGTGTGTGTGTGTATGTGAGTCTGTATGTGTGTGTATGTATGTGTATGTGTGTGTGTATGTGAGTCTGTGTGTGTATGTGAGTCTGTATGTGTGTGTATGTGAGTATGTGTATGTGTGTGTGTATGTGAACCCTGTCTCTTCTTTTGGTGTGTGTGTGTGTGTGTGTGTGTGTGTCCTCCCATGGTGTTTGGCACTCAATCAGTGATTGAACTGAGCTAATGAAAGGAGCAGGGCTGTCCTCTGGACAGTCCCCAGCACGTTCATTCATTAATTCAATCAACAGTTTATCTACCCACCCTGTGCCAGGTATAACTGAGGGTCTCACTCCCAACAAAACGTCTGCCTCCCCATACACACACTTACATCCATGCACCATGATCACAGTGGCCGACCCCTCCAATGGGGCTCATTCCCCTGGGGCCAACCCTATTTTCTCTGGGCTTTCCCTGGAACTTGCACACACATAGGGGTGGGCAGAGCTAAGGGGGCACATTCTGGGCCCCAGCCCAGCCTGGGCGAGCCCCTCCAGCTGGCCCCAGCCCCTCCACTGATCCGCTGGGAATGCCGGCAGGATTGAAGTGCCTGGGGCATATGACCACCAGGTGGCGCTGCTGGCCTGGGAGCTGCTGCAGAGGCACCAGGACCCTCCGACCTTCCTCTGCCGCCTGTCTCTCCAGGCGTCGTCCCCAGAGCTGAGCAATCCTGGAAGAATGCTCAGAGGATCTGTGACTTCCTGACCGGCCTGGGAGAGGTTCTCAGACTGGACCTCGTTCCAGACTGCCCCTCCCTCTAGGTCTCTTTCCCCACCTAGGGGAGGGCTTGTGCTCAGGGGTCACAGCCTCGAGAGAATGTCTGCACTCCTCCTTACCTGAGTGGCCTTGCAGGTTCCTTTGCCTTCCCAACTTGGGGACAAGTGAGGGCGTCTTCACTGTGTGCCTGCCCCATGCCAGCCTTGCAGATGGAGTGCAGATGGAGTCGGGTACAAGTGCCCTCCACCCTCCACCCTCCACCCTCCACGCACAGGCAGGCTAGCTCCTCCCTCCTCTGTATACCCGGACAGGAGGGGTTCTTATAATGCCCTCCTCCCAAGCAGAAGGAGGCTGAGGCTCAGCGAAGTGAGCCCTCACTCTGCCCGGGGCACACAGCTCGGGGCAGAGCCCACTCCTCACCTTCGCCTTCTCTCCAGGTCCCGAGGTGGTGTGCTGCCTTGCAGAGCGAAACTGTTTTCCCTGTTGTAGAGATGGGTGGGGAGCATGCAGGGAGACAGAAAATGCCCTGTCTGGAGTCACCCCAGCGAAGAGCAGTGGGGCTGGGGCTGGGCAGCTGTGTAGGGGTCAGGGGGCAGCTGGGGAGCTGCCTCTCCTTCTGGATGACAGGCTGCACTTGCACTTGTCGGGGGAGCCAAGAGCCCCCACGGCCATCCATGGTCCTCAGGTTAAAAACCTCATTCATCACCTGTGAGCCCAGAGAGGTCAGAGCCCCCCACCCCGAGTCACACAGCCTGGCAGCCGAGACCGCTGTGTGGGCAGGAGTGAGAAACCAGCCTGAGGGCTCAGATGTCCTGACAGGCAGTCCTGAGCATTGCCAACCAGATCACTGGCACCTGCCCCAAAGCCGGTGGCAAGGGAGAGAGTGCTTGGGTGTGTGTCACTCGGCGGTCTCTGGCCCCTTGGGTCAGGCAGAGGGGACAGGCCCCACCTGTAGGGACAGAGGGAGACAGTGACAGTGTCCAGTAGACCCTGGCCCGACAGCTGGGCCACGCCCCTGCCTGTGTATCCATCTGCCCCACTGTGGTTCAGCTGAGGGTGGACTGGCCTGGCAGGTGGGCACAAGGCCCGGGCCCCAGATTCCTGGAGAGGTCGGTGGGAACTCCTGTCAGGGGGCCCCAGGGAGCGGGCAGTGTGGCCACTGGGCCCTGACACCCTCTGGGGAGCCAAGGCAGGGCCAGGCCAGGGGTCTTTCCAGCCCACTCCCGCTCCCGGGCTCCGAGTCGCCTGCCAGCTGTCTCACTTCCTTCCTGTCCACTGGCCCGCAGGCCACCTGCTGCCACCTTCTCCAGCACTTGCTCTGCCTCACCCATAGGCCTTTGCTGGACTGCGGGAGGCCGGAAAGATGGAAACAACTCCAGAACCCCAGAACCTTGATTCTTTTTGTTTGTTTTTAGTTTTGAGGCAGGGTCTTGCTCTGTCGCCCAGGCTGGAGTGCAGTGGTGCAATCACAGCTCACTGCAGCCTTGACCTCCTGGGCTCAAGCGACAGCCACCCTCACCCCAATGCCCACAGTAGCTGGGACTACAGGCACATGGAACCATAGTCAGATCTTTTTTTTTTTTTTTTTTTTTTTTTTTACTTTTAGTAGAAATGGGGTCTCAACATGTTGCCCAGGCTGGTCTCCAATTCCTGGGTTCAAGGGATCCTCCTGCCTCAGCCTCCTAAAGTGCTATAATTATAGGCATGAGCCACTGTGCCTGGCTGATTCTTTAAACCAGGATTTGAAATCCTTTCTTCATATCTTGTCCCTGCAATAGCTAATAGTTCTAGAACCTTCTATCCATTCACTTCCCTCTTCCCCTGTGGCATGACCCCCACAAGTCTCTCACAGAGGAAGCCTCAGGCCACAGTGCTTACCAACGACCCCTCTAAGGGGACAAGTTGGGGGCCAGCCTGAGGGAAGGGGCTCCCACTGTGTCTGTGTGGGAGCCCTTGGGAGACGATGCTGGCCCAGCAGGGTGGGTTCTGGGCCTGTGGGGGAAGGTGGAGATGCCACACCTGAGAGCCAGCCCAGGGGTCCGTGGGGCCACAGGTGCAGGGGAAGGTGGACAGGACGAGTGGTCAGATACACTGCCCACCCCTAGGGCCTACCTGAGCCCATGCTAGGTACGTAGTGGGGCTGTGTTTGCGGGGCTGGGACCAAATCCCAGGTCCAGCCCTTGACTGTTGTGTGACCTTGGAGCAGGTGAGTTCACCTCTGTAAGCCTGTTTGCTCCTTAGTAAAACAGCCATACTCACGCTAAATTCTTGGGTGGTTGAGATGAAATTGTGGGAAAGGGACAAGGCATTCAACTTAGCACCACACACAGCCCATCTATCATTCAGCAAGCATTTATTGAGCACCTACTATAAGCCTTGGCATGGAATCAGGATGAATGAGGGACAATCCCTGCCCTCAAGGAGCCCGCAGCTGCAATCCCGGGCAGTGAGGGCCTGTCGGAAATGTAAGCTGGGCTCAACTGCCTGCTAGAGAGGTGGGGAAGGCTTTCCGGAGGAAGTGACATTTAGCTGGGTTTTGAAGGATGCGTAGGAGTTTGCATCTGGAAGGGCATCTGCTGCAGCAGGAACTGTCGGGGCAGAAGTGGAGATGCGGCTGTGTAGTGGAAGCACAGAGGCACAGGGGTCACAGGGCCTGGCCGGCTGGCAGAGGAACCTCAGGAAGGTCACCTCCCCTCTCTGGGCCGCAGTTTCCCTGTCTCTAAATGAGGATAAGCGCGCCCGCCTCCCAAATGGGACAGTGGCTGTGGCAAGCGCGGGGTGAATGCTAATGTTCCCTATTTAATTTTCCATGTTCTGTTTTGAGGCCAGTCAGGGTTATTTCTGTCCACACTCAACTATTTCCAGGCCCAGAGTCCTCCTTTCCCACAGAGGACAGCGCTGGGCCTGCCCCAGCCCACTATCTACTCCCAGGCCGTGGTGGGAGGCCAAGGGCAGGGGGCACCTGGAGAAGAAATGCAGACTCAGGATGGATCAGAGGCAGGGTGGGGACCCAGCCACCCCAGGAAGCCCAGGGCTCCAAGGGCCCCGTTTGGTGTGCCCAAGGCCGAGCAGCCCAGTTCCAAGCCCCTTTTCCAGGTGAGGTGGGACGGAGGCTCCCATGTAGTCAGGGGAAGAGAGCAGAAGCATTTACCACACCCCCCAGGACTGCCCCGCTGCTGCCCGGCCTGCCCAGGCGAGGAATCTCCCCATCCCCACAGCCACAGCCTGGTGTGCCCCACCCGGCCTCCTCCCTGTTCTCTCAGCTTCCCGGTTCCCACCATCACCCCCATTCTGGCCCAAGGGGCTGACCCTGGGGTGTGACATCAGGGAAGACAAGAGGTGGGGTTAGGGCGCTGCCTGACCTCCTACAAAACAAGCTGCCTTCCTGGTAGCCCTGGGCAGCTGGCCCAGGGATGGCCCATGGGGGCCCCGCCCTCCAGCCAGGTTACCTGCTGCTGGCCAAGAAGCTGGGGTGCTCTGGGCTGCCTCCCTGTCCCTTCTGCAAAGCCCCTGATCCCCACAACCTCTCTCCCACCCTGAGAGCCTGCCGGGGGTTCCTTCCTGGCCATCCCTGGGCTCAGCCTCCTTGTCGTGGGGCACAGGATTGGGTGGCAGGAAAGAACAGGGGGGGCTGGGGCTGGGGCACAAGGGGGGCAGGGAAGAGACACAGAGTGGAAGGTGGGGAGGGACAGGCACAGCTGGAGACGACAGTGTGTGGGGGCTCCGGGCAAACACATCTCACCTCCAGCCCGTTCTGAGCAATCCATCAGTGTGGCTGCCCCTGGAACGTGCGGGGGCACCAAGGCGGAGTTGCAGAGGCTGTTACTGATATGTGTCGTGGGGTGAGTCGGGGTGGGGGACGCATATCCCCACTCAGAACTCTGCATCGTAGATCCCATGCGTCTTGACACCTTCGTCTGCTAACATCTAGAAACCTTAGCATTTGAGAACCTTCAGATCCAAGGGTTCTGAGAGCTTAGAATTGTAGGATTTGTGAATTCTAGAAACAAAGGCAAGAAGATCACCCGTAGGGTGTCTCCTCTGCTCATGCAGCCTGGAGGGACCTCTCGGTGATCCCCGGCCGACCCCTCCCCAGCACTCAGCCCAAGAACCAGCCTCAACCACCTCCCTTCCCAGCTCAGCCTCACCTGCTGCCCAACCTGCAATACCTCCTCCCATCTCCCATCCTCAGACAGCCCATCCCTCCTGCAAGGTCCAGTCCGAAGTCGTCACCTCCCCCAGGAGGCCCACCCGTCCTCCTCAGCCCAGCCTGACTCTCAGGATCAGGCTCACCCTGCGGAGGCTGAAGCCACCAAGTCATAGTCCCAGTCCCAAGGGGAAGACAGGCCTGGAGCAGGGAGAGGTGTGGGCAAGAACACAGCCTCCGTCCCACAAAGAGGAGTTCAAACCCCCGCTCCAGCCCAAATGGCCCGGGCAGTGCCCTCACTCGTCTGCTTCAGCAGCCTCACCCGACTACTCACGATGGCTGCAGGTGGAAACTGCCCACGCATCTCTCAGCAGCTGAAAGGATGACTCCACAGTGGACGATTACTCAGGTGTAAAAAGGAGCAAAGCACTGGCACATGCGATAATGCGGAGGGACCTGAAGCCACCGTGCTAAGTGAAAGAAGCCAGACACGAAAGGCCACATGGTGCTCACACCTCCAGAGATGTCCAGAACAGGCAAAGCCAGAGACAGAGCACAGACGTGCTAGCCAGGGCTGGCTTCCTTGGAGGCTCCCAAGGAGAATCTGTTTCCCTGCCTTTCCAGCCCCTGGGGGCCCCCCTGGACTCCATGGCTATGGCGGCGGGTGCCAAGGCCCTGCAGCAGGGCACGACCACCAGGACCCATTGGGAATTGGCATCTGACTCCCTTCCACCACCCCGGGTGCCCCCACTTAGGAAGAGCCGACTCTCAGCAACTGTGCCCAGAGTGGCCTGGCCCATCAACCATGTGCCCCCTCAGCCTTCCTGCAGCCATTCAGAGACAGCAGTAAACACTCCTCCATCCCAGTGTGTGGGCCCAAAGCTGAGATCCCAGCCCAGGTCTCCCAGCTCACAGCCCTGCCCAGGGCCATCCTCCTGCTAGACGTCACCACATCAATGAGCATCTACCCCGTGCAAGGAAGAGGCCGGCGATGGGGTCCAGGTGAGGGGACAGCCAAGCCCACCAGGCGGTGGCCTTCCCTCACCTGCCCATTCTGGGCTAGGTCAGCTCTACCTGGAGCCTGAGCCCAGGCCCCTCCAGTGCCCTCTGCTGACTGCAGCAGACTGACCACCCTGGAGACCCTCCTGCCCCTGCCCCGAGACCCTCCATGCCACCCTGCCTCCAACCTCTGTCTTCTGCCCCCATTGCCCCTTCATGGTCCTGCAGGCCGCCCATGCTCTGTAAATCCAGCCCACCTGGGCACCCCGTGAGACCTCGGACCCGTCACATCCTGGTCCCTCCTCTTCCCCCACCCCCACATCCGACTGGCACTCCCTTTGGGCAGCTCCATCCGGTGGTGTCCTCTCTGAGTCCCAGGGCCTGCATCGGGTGGTGTCCTCTCTGAGTCCCAGGGCCTGGCACTCAGCAGGCCCTGGGGACATCAACCAGGGGCCCTTGAAGCTGTGTCCCTGGACACAGTTTCCCTGCCCCAAGCCCTGGCACATTCGGCCCAGGCTTGGCAAAAACTCCTTGTCCTCCAAGGACTCGGCTGCACCAGCCACTCAAATAAATTGATGTTCCCATCTCTGCTGACTCATGGATGAGAACATCGGGGCTCCTGCCAATGGCCACACACACCCCCAGCCCCACCAGGGAATAGCCCTGCACCCTGCAGGGACAATGTCATGAGCCTGAGAAGCCACCAGCTTCCCCTACTCCGTGAGCACCAAACTCCAGCCTGCTTGAGCTGTTGGGGGCCCCCTGCCTTGGCACTGTTCCTAATAGAGCCTGGGATCTTGTTTGAGCCCTACAAGGAAGCAAGGACCCCAGGCATCATCTTACAAACAAGGAAACTGAGGCTTGGGGAGGGGAGGAGCTTGTGGGTCCAAGTTCCCTGCCGGCTGTAACACTGTAGGAGTCAGAACCTGGCCAATGCCTGGAGGGGGCTTCCTTGGCCAGGGCTGAGCCTCAGGCTGCCCCCACCCCATCTCTCCCCCACTCCCATTGCATATGGAAACCAGAAAATCAATCCTAAGACCCCCAGCCAAACGAACGGACCCTCGTCTTGGCTAAGGACATTCCAAAGTGAACCTGAAAAGCGAGTTCAGGCCACGGTGGGAAGCGGGAGACGGACATACCTTGTTATCCCCCCTCCCTTTTGGAATGACTGGCAGAACAGTCTTTCAGTCTGATAATAAACATCTCCCATCCATTCTCTCTGCAGTCTGCTGCCTGGAGGCTTCATCTGCATGATGAAACCTCGGTCTGCACAACCCATTATCTTAACCCAGACATTCCTATCTACCGACAATAACTCTTTCAACCAACGGCCAATCAGAAAATCTTCGAATCCACCTATGACCTGGAAGCATCCCCGCTTCCGGTGGTTCCGCCTTTCTAGGCGTAACCAATGTACAGCTTATGTGTATTGATTGATGCCTTGTGTCCCCCTAAAATGTATGAAACCTAGCTGTGGCCCGACCACCTTGAACACATGGTCTGAGGGTCTCCTGGGGCTGTCATGGGCCCCCGGCCATTCATCTTTGGCTCAGAATAAATGTCTCAAACACTTTACGGAGTTTGACTTTTTGTTGATATATACGTCCAGGGAGGCCTCACTGCAGACTTACTGGGCCGCAGGGGCCTCAAGGACCAATATGGCCCCTCCTCTTGGAACAGACGGCCCCAAGCCAAGAGGACTTGGGGACCCTGTGGCCCAAACGGGTCATTTCACAGAATGGGAGACGGAGGCCCACACGGGGAATGGAGGAGAGCGAGGTGGAGCAAGGCCCTTCCCAGCCCTGGGCGGCCCCTTGACCCTTTTGTTCCCCCTCGCTGCCAGGCCTGTGACTGGGTGGGCCTGGGTCTGCAGCCCTACGGGGACTGGAGGGACAGCTGAGTGAGCAGAAGGTGCCTTGTGGCCAAGGCACAGAGGCGTCAGGGCCCAGCTGTGTTCAGCAGGAAGAAGGTCTGTGAGTGGAATATGGGGGTGCAGCGGGGTGGGGGGCGGCCAGCCTGCAGCTCAGATGCTGCGCTGGGGCTCCGGCCGTGACCACGCTCAGCCTCTGTGTCCTCCCCGGTAAAGTGGGAGGAATCGCCTTCCACACAGGACTCGGGGCTGGGTGAGGGCTGGGCGGCCACCACCACCTGCCCTGGGGCAGCAGGAGCTGCAAAGCCAGGCTCAAGGCCTGGGGGAAGGAACCCGGCGCTGGGTGCCCAGAGTCCAGATGAGATGGGTTTGGGGGGAAGGAACCCGGTGCTGGGCGCCCAGGGCCCACATGAGTTGGGTGTCGGAGGAAGGCAACCCCACCCAGGCCACCCCAGCCAGGGCTCAGGGACTTTGCCCACATGTTACCCTCTGGATCTTTCGGAACATTCTGCTGAATAAAAACTGGATTTAAAAAAGAGGCCAGGCACGGTGGCTCATGCTTGTAATCCTAGCACTTTGGGAGGCCAAGGTGGGCAGATCACTTGAGGTCAGGAGTTCAAGACCAGCCTGACCAACATGGTGAAAACATGTCTTTACTAAAAATACAAAAATTAGCCAGGTGTGGTGGCACATGCGTGTAATTCCAGCTACTTGGGAGGCTGAGGCAGGAGAATCACTTGAAATCTGGAGGCAGAGGTTGCAGTGAGCTGAGATTGCGCCACTGCACTCCAGCTTGGGCAACAGAGTGAGACTCCATCTCAAAAAATAATGAAAAATAAAAAAGGTATATTCTATGAAACTCTATTTGGGGTGTGATCTCGTTTTTAACAAGTATTTAAGAAGTAGGCTGGTGCAAGGTGTTTCTAAATGCTTCACAGTGTTATCTCTAGCAAACATTTCATCTGACGGTCTTTTGAATGAGGAGCTCCTGAACGTTCGGCAGAGGAGGTGGAACAGAAGAGAGAGGGCAGGCAGGGGCGTCTCCCTTCTTATCAAGGTATGACTAAGGGCACAACCTTATTTCCAAACAGAACAGTGGACAAACCGGGAAAGGGAGAGTCTGGAGAGATGAAGCGATACTATTAGTGCGGCTGACATGTCAATCACGGGGCTGGCACCGTTCACAGCTCTGAGGCTGCTGGATCTTTCCTGCCTCTCACCTCTGCTCTGCTCAGGCAAGCCTAGCCAGGCAGGGACTGGAGTTGGGGGCTGTTTTCCAGTTCACAGAGGAAGTCACAAGGCCCTAGGACACTCAGGGCCTTGGGAAAGCCAGCCAAGGACCAGAACAGATGTTTCGGCCTGACAGCACCTACTCTTGGGTTAAGCATCACCCTCGGTTTGAAAAATAGAAGTGAGGCCAGGAGTGGCTCACACCTGTAACCCCAGCACTTTGGGAAGCCAAGGCGGGCAGATCACTTGAGGTCAGGAGTTCAAGACCAGCCTGGCCAACATAGTGAAACCCTGTCTCTACTAAAAATACAAAAATTAGCCGGGCGTGGTGGCCGGCACCTGTAATCCCAGCTATTTGGGAGGCTGAGGCTGGAGAATTGCTTGAACCCAGGAGGCAGAGGTTGCAGTGGGCTGAGATTGCACCACTGCACTCCAGCCTGGGCGACAGAGCAAGACCCTGTCTCGATAAATAAATAAATAAAATTTTAAAAATAATAAAAAAAAAACAGGCTAGGCACGGTGGCTCATGCCTGTAATTCTAGCACTTTGGGAGGCCACGGTGGGCGGATCACTCAAGGTCAGGAGTTCAAAACCAGCCTGGCCAACATGGTGAAACCCTGTCTCTACTAAAAATACAAAAAATTAGCTGGGCGTGGAGGCGCACACCTGTAGTCCCAGCTACTCAGGAGGCTGAGGCAGGAGAATCTCTTGAACCTGGGAGGTGGAGGTTGCAGTGAGCTGAGATCGTGCCACTGCACTCCAGCCTGGGTGACACAGCGAGATCCCATCTTAAATAATAATAACAATAATAAAACAGAAGTGGGTAGGGCACGGTGGTTGACACATGTAATCCCAGTGCTTTGGGAGGCTGAGGCAGGCAGATCACTTGAGCCCAGGAGTTCAAGATTAGCCTGAGAAACATAGTGAGACCCCGTCTCTACAAAAATAAGTAAATAAATTAGCCAGGCATAGTGGTGCCCACCCATAGACCCAGCTACTCAGGGGCCTGAGGCGGGACGATTGCTTGAGCCTAGGAGTTCAAGACCAACCTGGGCAACATAGGAGACTTTGTCTCTATAAATAATTTTTAAAAATTAGCCAGGCCTAGTGGTACACCCCTGTAGTACCAGCTACTCAGCAGGCTGAGGCGGGAGGATTGCTGGAGCCCAGGATGTTGAGGCAGCAGTGAGCTGTGATCATGCCACCGCACTCCAGCCTGGGCAACAGAGCAAGATCCTGTCTCTAAAAAGAAAAAAAAAGAAGTATTCGTAGGAGGATCACAGAAGACCCCCAACACCCTGGTGATGTCACCCTGAAGTCCAGGAGAGCCGAGGCTGAAGTCTCGAGGGGAAGGACCCGGCCTCGATTGGGCCGCAGCCTCGGCGCTGGAGCCAGGTCTAAGACACTGCTCTCTATCACGCTGGGTTCCCCCTGCGGTGCTGCACGGCGTGGGCTGGGCACCCCCTCTGGGATCAGTTTGCTCCCTGCAGGATGACAGGGTGGGCAGGGACATGTATGGGACTCACCACCCACAGCAGGGACCCAGGTCCTTCCCCGTCTGGCTGGGGTCAGCCTGGGAGGGGCAGGGTTCCGCCTGCCTGATGCATTGCCTCCTGCTCACCACCCCCAAGCAACACTCCGGTCACTTCTTACTTCCATACCAGGTCTTCGCACTTGCTATTCCCTCTGTTTCCCATGCCTTTCCTCAGGAGAGCTCCTATGCCTCCCACACACAGCTGGGCCGCCGTGTGGTCTGGGAAGCTGTCTCTGAGCAGAGGCAGCCACTGTGCCCCAAGCCCCGTGGGCCCTCGTCCTCACCTCCATTCAGCTGTGGCCCTGCTGGATCGTCACCATCCAAGTTGATACTCTCTCCCAGGGCCCCGTGAGCCCCATCAGTGCAGGGAGTCCATCTGCTCTCTCCCGACTCCCTGCTGCACCTGGTCCAGGGTTCCCCACAGAGGAGCTACTCCATGAAGGCTCAGGGACCAAATGTGGAAGTCCCAAACATGGGCTCCAGGGAGGAGGAGAGACAGGCAGGGCCATGCGGTCAGATAGGGACAGTGAGGAAACCATTGACACGTTGATCTGTGTCACCCACATAGGAACCCTGGGGAGATGCCAGTCTCTTCTTCCCAAGCTATGGGAAGGGGAAACTGAGGCTCAGAGACACAAGAAACCTGCTGGGTTTCAGGAGTCTAACCCACCAAGGACCCCAGGATGCCTCACACCCTCCCCAACCCCACTTCCCAGCACCAGGTTGAAGACAAACTGGACTCACACCCTGGTCAAGGACTACCACCACCCGCCGCTGCCCACGTGCAGCCTCCGGTCTTCCTGCCTGGAAGCGGGCATGAGTGTGCATGTGTGCATGTCCACACAGGCATCTGCTGCACACCCACCGGCTTCCTGATCCCCTAAACAATCTGTCAGCTGTGACTGCCCATGTCCTGGCCCAGGTGCGTGCAGAAGGGTGGGATTAGGGAGGGAGCCCCGAGGGTCTGCAGGGGAGGCCGGGTCCGGGTCAGGGACACAACCAACGTGGCTGATGGGGTGGAGACGGCTCAGGCTTTGAGCAAGGACTTGGAATGTAATCCTGTGTCCAGATCCTTGTCAACAGGAGGCTTAAAACATGGGTGAAAGGATGGCACTCAAGAAAGACTGACCTGCCCCTCCAGGGCCCAGGTAGGGCACACCTGTGGGGTCAAAGCTCTGGCTTCTGGTCCAGCAAGATCCAGCTGAAGATGGTCACTAAGAGGCCTAACTTCAGAGAGCACCCTGAGCTCCCTTACCTCCTGAGCCCTGACCCTGGTCACTCCTGATACACATTGAGCCCTGACCTCAATCACAATCTGAGCCCTGGCCCTGGTCACTCCTGATACACGTTGAGCCCTGGCCTCAATCACAATCTGAGCCCTGGCCCTGGTCACTCCTGATACACGTTGAGCCCTGGCCTCAACACAATCTGAGCCCTGGCCCTGGTCACTCCTGATACACGTTGAGCCCTGGCCTCAACACAATCTGAGCCCTGGCCCTGGTCACTCCTGATACACGTTGAGCCCTGGCCTCAACACAATCTGAGCCCTGGCCCTGGTCACTCCTGATACACGTTGAGCCCTGGCCTCAACACAATCTGAGCCCTGGCCCTGGTCACTCCTGATACACGTTGAGCCCTGGCCTCAACACAATCTGAGCCCTGGCCCTGGTCACTCCTGATACACATTGAGCCCTGGCCTCAACACAATCTGAGCCCTGGCCCTGGTCACTCCTGATACACGTTGAGCCCTGGCCTCAACACAATCTGAGCCCTGGCCCTGGTCACTCCTGATACACGTTGAGCCCTGGCCTCAACACAATCTGAGCCCTGGCCCTGGTCACTCCTGATACACGTTGAGCCCTGGCCTCAACACAATCTGAGCCCTGGCCCTGGTCACTCCTGATACACGTTGAGCCCTGGCCTCAACACAATCTGAGCCCTGGCCCTGGTCACTCCTGATACACGTTGAGCCCTGGCCTCAACACAATCTGAGCCCTGGCCCTGGTCACTCCTGATACACGTTGAGCCCTGGCCTCAACACAATCTGAGCCCTGGCCCTGGTCACTCCTGATACACGTTGAGCCCTGGCCCTACCCACAGTCTCAACCAGGGGCCTTTATTGGGCAGTGCCAGTGCTCAACCAGTCCTTGAGTTGGGATTGCAGCTCCATGACCTCCTGGCCCCAGCTCCAACACCTGAGGATGTCAGAGCTGCGTCCCCTGCCTGTGAGCTGCCCCGTCTCTGGACCGCGAACCTGCAGGTCAGTAGGAGTCCTCAGGGCTGGCCCCCGTGCTCCGCACGGAGCTGGGTACCAGGTACTGGGTGGAGAGCTGCATCACGTCCGCTCCCCCCGGGCACCCAGCAGGAGGCTGGAACAAGGGACTGGAGCTGAGGGCGGCGATTTCTCTCCAGAATATTTCCCGTGCTCCTACTGTTTACCAGGATCTGAAAGACTCACAGGCCCGTGGGTTCCCCTCTCTCCCAGGCTGCGGTCTGCAGAGGAGGTGCCAGCTGTGTGGGGTGCTGGGCATTCGAGCAGTCTCGGGTGGCCGGAGGTGTCAGCCGGGCAGAGTGGACAAGAGCCATACAGACAGAAGTGCGGGGGCCCCTGGGAGACCCCAACAGTCCACGGGAGGTTGGGGCATCCAGGTGGCAGCAGGAGGGTGTGGAGGACCCAAGGCCTGGAGGACAGAGAGGGGATGGCAGCAGGCTCTGGGAGAGCAGTGGGGCTGGGACAGAGAGGGACGAGGGGATGTGCATTTGCCGGGGTCTTGGCCTCTGGTTGTGAAGCCTGTGGTCGGGTGGGGCTGGGGGTAAGGGCCTGAGCTGAGCCCCAGGGCTCTGGCTAGGAGGCTGGGAAAGCGGTGGAGGTGCTTGTGCACACGGGTGTGCATACACACACACACACACACACTGTGTTTGCACCATTGGCTCCTGGGCAGATGCTTTTCCCCACTACCATCGTAACTTCCGTTCCCCTCCACCCTGCCAGGACATCTTTTCCCAGACTTCCCACCCCCATGCCCTTGCCCCACTTTCTCCCCATCTAAATCTTCCCAAACTGCCAGCCCTCCTCCTCCAGGAAGTCCTTCCTGTCTACTCCTGCCCCTGGGCTCCCCATTTTGGCAGAGGCTGGTATGCAGTGACTGTCCCTCCCCTCCTCAGCATCCATCCAGCACCCACCGCAGCCAGACCTGTCCTGGATCCTGAGGGCTGGGGCACCTGACATGCAGACATTCCAAAGACAGGTGGCATCCTACTGCACGTGCATTTCCTCATCTAGCCCTCACACTCTGAGTGTGGACACTGAAACAGTCCTGTTATGCAATGAGGAAACTGAGGCAGGAGGCTAAGACACTTACCCTCAGTCACAGAAGGAACTTCTGTGTCTGAAAAAGACCAAAGTCCCCCCCTGCCCCGCCAGGTCTCTATAAAACATCTTTGGGAAAGGGTTTGGCTGCCTCTGTCGTGGGATTGGGGCTGTTCACGGCCTGCCTGCGGTCTCACTCACCTGAGTCCTCTGTGGGTCCCTGCACACAACCCCAGGCTTTCCTCCAGCCCCTCCTCTCACCCCTCCCCTCCAGCTCCCCTCGGCTGCTTCCTCCTCCTCTTCCCTCCCACACTCCACACTCCTGTCCATCCTCGGTGCAAAGACATGAACTTGCTTCCCACGGACCCTGATCCCATCCCCTCCGGGCCCCACCTTGACTTCTCTAGATCTTTTCCTAAATGAATTCCAGGGAAGGATTGGGAGCTGGTCTCATGGTGATGGGCTTTGCTTCCTTTGCCCAGTGCTATCACATTTCATCTTTGCAGTGACCTGGCTTCATCCAAAGTACCAGGCCCAGCCCCTCCAGCCTCACCTCCCTCCACCAGCCGCCCCTTTCTCTGGCTCCAGCCCCTCCCTCCCGCCTCCAGGCCTGCCCCAGGTACACGCTCTCCACCCATCTCCTCCTTCACCTGCTCATCCCCTGCCCTCCACAGGTCCACTGAGACGCTGCTTGTTCCGGCAGCCATCCTGACCTGCTCAGTCTCCCTGATGATCCTTTGCAGGGGCCGTTCCCTCTGCCTGCAACACCCTGTCCCACCCCCCTTCTCCGGAGGCCTGGCTGTTTGTGCATCAGCAGGGGAGATGATCCAGATGTTCCAGATGGTCCAGAAATGCCATTCTTCTGGGCTAGAAAAGAGAACTGGGTAGGAGTCTCTTCTGTGGGGCCAAACCAGGTGCCAAGCCCATGAGTCCAAGGATGGCATCTGCTCAGAGGAGGGGATTTTTCTAGTTCTCAGGAAGGGCTGTAAACCTAGAGGCGGGTGCTGGCACAGTCGCCCCGATGCCCAGGGGCACACTTCAGCCCTCCCGGCACACCCTTCCCTGCTCTGTGCCCCCCTTACTAGAGATCAGTGTAAATACTAGCCCAATTATTTATTGTCAAACTAAATAGACAGGCTCCAGACTCCGGCAGGATCTTCCCATTGAATTCTCAAGAACATATTTTTGAATTATATCTTAGTATCCCATTTGATAAGAGGACACTGAGGCTCAGAGAGGTGAAGTAACTTGCTCAAGGGCACACAGCCCATTGTGACTGAGCAGAGCTCGAATCCAGAAATGCGGAAGCCCAAGGGCAGCCTCCCTCCCGTTCTGTCAGCCGCCTGGTTTCATCCAGCATGCTTACAGGGACCTGCTGCCCCCACCTGGGTTAGGGGTGGGCTCTAAAGATGATCAGGGTGCTCCTGGCCCCATCATCACATAGGCAGGGCTCCATCCTGCTTCTGCCACAAGTTGGGTGACCTTAGGCAACCTACCTAACCTCTCTGAGCTGCTGCTTCCTTTTCTGCAAATGGGTTACTGGGATTTATCCTGCATAAACAAGACATGTAAAAAAAAAAATCAAAAGGCTCAGGACAAAGCCTGCTGCACAGAACACCCTCAGTAAGTGTCAGCTTCAGGCAACAGCTCATGACTGTGTGCTTAACGCTGGAAAATCAAGGAGTGTTATAGGACCAAAGAAATGAGGCCCCACTGGTGAGGTTTCAGGCACAGTGACAGCATTCAGGGGGGTACAGGAAGCCCCACAAAGGCCCTGAGGCCCAGGGCCCTTCCCGGCAGCAGGTCACCAGGAAGCAGGTGAAGGGGTTATGGGCCCTGAGGATAGATGACCTGTTGCTGCCCATTCTTGTGGGGGTAAAGCGCTCCCCTCCCCCCAGGGAGTTTATGGTGAGCTCCCCTTTCTGCTTGGTCCTGGCCTGAGCATCTCCCTGGCATGGTGGTACCACTGCTCTGTGCCCTGACGCCTCTGCCCAGACCTCGGCTGCAGGGCCCATGTTGCAGAGAATTACTCCCAATTCCATAGACGGTCCTGAGGCCAAGAACAGAAGCAGGTGCTGGCCCAGCACCCACCTCTTGTCTGCATCCTTTCCCAGACCCCCTTCCTTCCTCCACACACCCCGGTCATGCCCACCCCGGGGTCCTTGGCCGCACAGCCCTCAGTGTTAACCCAGGACCTAGGCCCTGAGGACTGAGCTCATGGTCTCTGCAGAGGTCCCAGCAGGCAGGCAGGCTGGACACTATTCCCGGTGACAGCTCAGAGGTCAAGCAGGTACCCCCGGCCACACGGGCACAGGAGTGAAGTCCTGCAGGCTCCCCCTCCCCTAAGCTTCCGGCCAGTGCCCCCACCCCAGCTTTGGCTGGGCCTCGAAGGCTTGGCGGAGCCCCTGCGAGATGCTGCTCCCGCGGAGGACAGGAGGAGGGCTGTCCCATTGCGGTGGGTTCACTCCCCTGCCACTTTATTTTCCCAGAAAGGCAAAAGACACCTTGGGATAGGACAGTGGGATGGAGTCTGATGTATTTGAAATTGGAAGCAAAAAACCCAGCTCCCAGGGGCTGGGAGAGAGGCCGAGGGCAGTGGGAAGGTGGGGCAGGGACACACCAGGACGCAGGAGTCTGCTGGATCATAGCCAAGTGCGTGGGGCCCACTCAACCAAGGAAGAGCAGGGGGACCCAAATTAGGAACTCCCTTGGGAGGGGAGCAAGCACTGGAGAAAGCCCAGCCTGCCCTGCTGCCCTCCGCATCCCTGCAGGCTCCTGCCCGGCTGCCCTCCACGTCCCCGCAGCCTCCTGCCTGGCTGCCCTCCGTGTCCCCGCAGGCTCCTGCCCGGCTGCCCTCCGTGTCCCCGCAGGCTTCTGCACCTCTAGCTCACACCACAGGCTGCCCAGGTGGGGACCTGAACTCGGCTCTTCTCACCCACAACCTCCTGCACCAGGGCCAGCAAATGCTGCCCCTCCTGCTGTTCCCCAGCTTAATTCCCAGCTGAAAACAGAGCAAAGGCATTGGCAAGACCAAAGCCACTTGTTTCCCAAGGACCTGGATTCTGAAGCAGGTGCCCAGGTGTACGGCCACACTGGACACCCTCTTGATCCTCCCTGGAGCTGAGCTAAGGCCAAGGGCTGGCCCCAGCCCTGGCTGCCTAGTAACTATGCCCAGAGGCCCAGCACAGAAGGCGTAGCCTGCAGAGGCGCTGGGCAGAAGGACGGAGCCCTGAAAGTGTGCAGAGGACACACTGCCTGCGGGCAAGCGAGGCTGTGGGACTAAGTGAGCAGTGCAAGGTGCACCGCCTGCCGGCAGCCCTGGGCAGGGACCCCCATCCATCTGCTATGTGCTCCCCCAAGGCCAACCAGGTGTCTCTGCTGGAGACAGTCACAGTTTGTGATCTGTTTAACTGATTAGTGTCTGCTACAGACTGCCAGCTCCAGGAGGGCAGGGTTCTGTCCTGTCCCTTCCAGCTGGACCCCCACGTCCTAGCATAGTGCCTGACGTATCACATGAGCTCGGCCCATATTTGTGAGAAGAAGAGGAAGAGGGAAGGAGAGGCAGGCACCCCAGGGCCGACACGGAGGGCAGGTTGGAGGGTCTGGGAAACTTATTCAGAAGATGGGCCTGGAGCATGAGTGAGTTAGCCTCCACAGCAGCTCAGGGTTTGAGTCCTGAGAGCAGAGTTCAGCGCAGGTGAGAAAAGGCCACATCCCAGGAATGAGGAGCTGGGCCTGACACTTTCCTACGTGGCCACGGACGGCTCTCCTTTAGGGACCACGTGCATTCGCTGCCATCTCTCTCTGGCCCTAGAAGGGACGAACACCCCGATACCTCCATTTTCACAGAGGAGCAGCGGGAGGCCCAGAGGTGAAGGTCCTCACCAGGCGTGCAGCTAGGGTCTGTTCCTAAACCTGTCCTGTGCTGCCCCAGGTGCGGACAGGGGCTGAGGCTGAAGCAGAAGCCGGCCTGCTTGCCTGCTCTGTGTTCCCTGAGAACCCTGGCTGTCTAGTGGGGGCAACCCTGGCATGCCCAGAGACCCCACGCTGTGGTGGGGGAGCCCCTCACAGGCCCAGGCGCAGGTGCATGTCCTCCCTGCCCCAGAGGCCCTCGCCTCCTGCCGCTGCTGGGGGCCGCCCTGGCTGAGCGCCCACCAAAGTGTGAAGTGCTTCCCGAGGGAGTCCATGGGGAAGCCCCAGCCCCGCCTGCTGTGGCTGCATCAAGGAGGCGGCCTTCCTTCCGGGCCCATCGCCTGGGCCTCTGGGGTCAGGCCTCGGGTCACCCTCCGGCTGGGACAGGAAGCCTGACATGAGTCTGGAGTTGGGGGTAGGGCAGGGCCGGGAGCCAGCCCAGCGGGATGGGGATGCCGGCTGTCTGGGCAGACACCGGCGGGGTCAGGGAGGAGGCTGGGGTAGGGTAGCTGCCCTGTGACCTGCCCCCCTGGGATGCCGCAGAGCCCAGGCCCGCTGCTTCCCTCCGGTGCAAGCTGGGATGGGCTGGCAGCTGAATGGAGGGCCAGGAACCCCACCACAGCTCCAGGCCAGGCACCATCATTCCTGCCCTGGAAAAGGGCCTCCTTCCAGCCTCTCTGACTCTACTCCGGCCACCACAGCCCGATGTCCACGTATGTGTCATCCAAGACTGCGGCCTGAGTCTCATCCAAGATGTCATACAAGACTGCAGCCTGTCTTCTGAGTACATGAGGTGCAGCCAGTCCGAATTGAGTTGTACGGTAAGCGTGGAATATGTCCCCACCTAGTATGAGACAGACTGTGAAATATCTCATTCATAATTTGTTATATGAATGACACGTTTAAATAATATATTGGATATATTAGGTTCCATAAAATATATTACTAAAATAATTTGCATCAAATTCTTTTTCCGTTTTCCTAACGTGGCTGATAGAAAATTAGAAATTATTCACGAGGCTGGCATGAGATTTCTAGTGGAGAGTGCTGTCTCTGTGCCGACAGAGGGAGTGTCTCCAATCTAATTCACACCAGTCCCTTCCTTGCTTAAATAAAGCCCATCAGGTCAGGGGAAAGTCTCCCATGTCCGGTGTGGACTTCTCCCAGGACTCAGTCTCACCTCTGCCCACCAACCCCACTTTCCAGCTGCCCCGTGGTGCCACATCTTCCAGCTGCCCCCGTGGTGCCACATCTTCCAGCTGCCCCTGTGGTGCCACTACTGGGCCTCTGCAAGCTGCTCCTTCTCTAGGAGTGCCCTTCCCTAACCCTGTTTCCTCCTTTGTCTAGGGATGTCTTCTGGGCTTTCACAGATGCCTGGAGTGTCACCCTTTCTTCAGTGCTCCCAAGCCCACCTCCCCTGTCCACCCCCAGCAGCCCCTGCCTCAGCCCCGCTGGCTTGGGCTCCAAGAGGCGGGGCACCGTGCCGGGGTCAGGGGATTGAGTAACTTGCCTCGGAGCATCAGTTTGCTCATCTGTGAAACAGGTGCCCCATTCACGGGACCCACATCCCAGGCAGTCACTCAGCTCAAGTGAGGTCATCTAGACAGCCCCCTCAGGGCTGCCGCACAGAAGGGAATCTTTGGCTGGAGGATTAAATGTCCAGGTCGCCAAGCTGGCCACCCTCCTGAACAGAGCTGGTGAATCTTGAAAGAAAAAGAAAAATTGTTTCCGGAGCAGCAGCCCCACACTGGGCCCAAAGGTGATCGATAAGCAGGTCTGGCCCGGCGCCTCTTAGTGCTGAGAGGGCTCCTTCACTTAGGGCAGGGCTGGCTTTCAGACCAAAGCTGGCCAGCCACCTGTTTCTGTAGGACTGCAAGCTAAAATGGTTTTTACATTTTTAAATGGTTGAAAAGAAAACTAAAGAAGGGGCCAGGTGCAGTGGCTCACACCTGTAATCCCAGTAGTTTGGGAGACTGAGGCAGGCAGATCACCTGAAGTCAGGAGTTCAAGACCAGCCTGGCCAACATGGTGAAACCCCGTCTCTACTAAAAATACAAAAATTAGCTGGGCGTGGTGATGTGAGCCTGTAATCCCAGCTACCAAGGAGGCTGAGGTGGGAGGATTGCTTGAACCTGAGAAGTGGAGGCTGCAGTGAGCCAAGATGGTGCCACTGCATCCCAGCCTGGGTGACAGAGCGAGACCCTGTCTCAAAAGACAAACAAACAAAACAAAAACCAAAGAACAAGAATATTACATGAAGTTCTGCTTTCAGTGTCCACGAATCAAGTTTCCTGGGAACTCAGCCACACCCACTCCTTTACATCTGCTGTAAGGCTGCGTGCAAACTGCAGCTGCAGAAGTGAGTCTTACAACACAGACCTCACAGCCCGCAAAGGAGAAAAGATTTACTCCCTGGGCCCTTCCCGAAAGAGTTGGCCAACCCCTGCCTTAGGTAATCCTCCAACCCCTTGGGTGGGTGCTATTGGCCAAGGGGGAAACCGAAGCACAGGGGGGCTAAGTGTGTCCCCCGAGGGCCCCGGCCTTCAGCTGTGCTCCTACCCATCATGATGCCTGGTGCCCGCCCCCATCCCCAGGACCCAGAGGTCAACTACAAGTCCTGCTTTTCCCGCCCACCTCACACCCGGTCTTGGTGTTGTCTTGTTTTGTTGGCTGTGTGCCGTGTTTAGGAATCACTCACACTCACCGGAGGCCCTCGTCTTCTGGGCGTCGCTCCGTGCCTCGCACACATCTAAACAACCTTAACAACCCCCTGTCACCTGCCGGGGCTGCCAGAACAAAGTTCCACTCGCTGGGCGGCTGAAACAACAGGCATTTATTGCCTCACAGCTCCGGAGGCCAGAAGTCTGAAATCAAGGTGTCAGCAGGCTGGGTTCTTCCGAGGGCCAGAGGGAAGGGTCCGTTCCAGGCCTGCCTCCTTGGCTTGCAGAGGGCCATCCTCTCCTTCATGTGGCACATCTGTCTCCAAATCTCCCTTTTTCCAAGGACACAGTCACATTGGATTAGGGCCACTCCAACGACCTTATTCAACTTGATTACCTCTGTGGAGACTCCCTCCAAATAAGGTCACATTCTAAGGACTTCAGTTTGAATTTGGGGAGTCACAGTTCAACCCACAACACCCCAAGAAAGAAACTCTCCACCCCATTTTACAGATGAAGAGGGCTGGGACCCCTGCTTCAAGTGGGCTGGGGGCTGTAGCCCTCCCTGGAGAAGGAGGCTCCGGGAGAAGGTGGCTCCCAGCCTGGTGGGGTGAATCAAGTTTACCAGGGCAGTTGTTGCAGCTACATTTCAAAATCTGGCCCTTGCAACAGCCTCCTCCTCCTCTGCCTCCTCCTCCTCTGCCTCCTCCTCGACTAATTGACCTCAGGCATCCACAGGGGTATCGATGTCTCTTCTCCCGGTCCCACCCCACCTGGGGAGCAGCCCTGGCACCTCCAGCCCTGCCGCCCCACCCCCGGTGGGCATATTCTCAGCTCAGCCTGCTGCTGTCTAGCCGTGTGCCCCAGCAGGCGTCTCTCTGAGCCCACCTGTGAAATGGGTGTGATGAGGCTCGAGTGAGTTCGTACCGTAGCAGGAAACCCCGAAGGAAGCCCTGAGCCCTGGAAGGAGCTTTGCGGGAAGCAAGCTGCCGGAGACCCCACCATAGGCAGTCACAGCCATCTGCTGAGCTCCGGGGTGAAAGCTGGCAAGCTGGGGAAATCTCTTTAGTGCTTAGGGCACTCCTGCAGGGCTGGACTCGCCTAACGGCGGGGTAGGCAGAGTAGGACTGGACCTCAGGCTGCCAGGCTGGACCAAAGCTTCCCCTCCTCCGCCCCTCCTTGTCCCCCCGGCCCCTCGCCCTCCCTGGCCTCCAAGTCCCCACCGTCTCCAGTAAGGCTGTCCAGACGTCTGTGTCTTGAGCTGGTCCCAGCGTCTTTGTTCCTGCTCTGGAATAGGGATGGCTGAGAAAGCATTTGGGAGGGGCGCTGCGTTTTAGTTTAGATTGGAGGGCATGGGAGCTGGGCAAGGCCGGGCGGCATCTGACTGAAGGAACAGTGTGTGCGAAGAGGCCAGAGTATGGATGACCTTTGACCCCAGGCCCTCTCTGGGTCCTTGCCCCCGCCACCCCCACCCCCGCCTTCTGTGGCTGCAGCCCTCGAGGGGGCTGGCAGCCTTAGAGGGTCTCCAGGCCTTGCTGTTTCCGCAGCGCTGCTCCTTCAGCCGGGAACGCCTTTCCATCTTTTCCGTCTGCAGAGACCCTGCCCGCCCCTTACCTCCTGGCCAGGAGTCCAGCCCCCGTGTGCCCTTCACGTCCCTGGGCCTCAGCTTCTTCATTCACAAAGTGGGCTGATCCTGTCCTTGCCGCCCCTCGTGGTGGGGGTTGGTTGTAGGGTCGGCAGAGCCCCTGGGAGTACAATCCTCTGTGAACCGCAGGTCCCATGATGTGCTATGTGTGTCGGGGCCACGGCAGGTGGGGGGCCTCAGACCCCAGCATGGCAGGCACCACGTGGCAGCTTGCTCAGCAGCCCCAGGGCCTCCGCATCCCCCGGGGGGTCGCGTAGCAGCAGCCACACCACGGGGCGCTGCTGGGGTCAATGCCGAAGGCCGGTCGGGCTCAGGACCGAGGCCGGCTGTTGTCTCTTGGTTTTTCTTCACTCTTCTGGGTTCGACATTGAGGGACTGCCACGTGCTGATGCGAGAGCCCCCTCTCGCCCCCAGAGCTCGGAGTCAGAGCTGGGGCTGTGCTTCCCGGGGTGTCATGCTAGGTGACCCAGACTGAACGCTTCTAGTTCCCCAGCAGCTTCAGGGAGCCTGAGAAGCTTCCGGAAGGAGCTCACTCTCAGGGGTGCTATGGCCTTGGGGCTGAAGAGCTTGTGTCTCATTGCTGCCGTCTCATCGCTGCCCCCTTTATGCAGGGCCTATCACCCCCTCCTGCAAGGCCTGTGGTCCCGTCGGGCTGCATTCCCTGTCATGGGTGAGGAGACTGAGGCTCGAGGCGAAGGCTCCTCCCACCCACTGTGGGCAGAGTCCTGGAAGGAGCACAGTGTTCTTGAAGGAGCCTCCAGGGATGAGCAGAGACCTTATTCAGGTGACCCCAGGATTATGGCAGATGAGTGTCCTGGAGCCACCTGAATGGGGGATCAAGACCCCCCAGCCCCACCAAGTCAGCACCTCCTATAGCAGGCTGGCCTTCCTGGAGCCTCCATGTGGCACCACTTCACCCAGGGCCACCCATTAGTCCCCTGTTCCAAGGGCCCATGAGGTGGGTACTGCTGGTGTTCCCACTATACAGGTGAGGAGACTGAAGTAGAGCCCAGTGCTTCCCAGTGGCCAAGATTGGAGCCAGGATTCCAGCCCAGCCCTGGGGCTTCTGAGCTGAGGCCCAGGCCCCTCCACCACACCCCACTCATGGCAGCGAGGGGAGGGAGGGTCCCCAGACTCCTCGACAGGAGAGATACGTGAGGCCCAGAGGAGCGCAAGGCCTTCCAGAGGGCTCCAAGCATGGCGAGGACAGACTACACCCTGGACCTGCACAGCTTCTGGTGGCTTTACCCTGGGGAGCCCACAGCCCAGGCACGAGACTTCTGGTCTTATGTCTGCTGCAGGCCGGTCAGAAAGACTCTGTGCCTTGGAAGGCCCTGGGTGGGCGGAGCAGCCATGTTTAAGGTGGGTGGGTTTTGTTCCTCGCTGGCCTGCCACAGACCAGGCTCTGGGCTGGGCACCAGGACGGGATGGACAGCCTTAGTCCCTGCAGAAGTCACCATGGCGTCATCACGGAGGCCACTGGGAGGTGGGAGCTGCGCATCAGGGTCCTCCCCTGAGAGGCGTCTGTCCACCTGATCGGTGCTGTGCGTGCAGGCGGACACTCAGGAGCCTGCACACAGGACTCGCCTGGTCAGCGAGGCCCACATTTCCAAACCCAATGGGCCCACAGGACAGTGGCAAAGAGGGTGTGGCTGGCATTCCTTGCAGAAAGGAGGGGACTCCTCGAGGGGCACCTGGAGACACATCCCAGAACAGCCGCTGGACCGAGAGCCAACAGGGCGTCTGGCACAGGCAGATGGAGCATCAGCCACTAACAGGAGGACAGGCGGGGTGGCCTTGGCTCTCAAGGACCCCCACTGGGGCCCAGGCCAGGGCAGCAGGAAGAAGGGGCTTTGGTCCAGCGCCTGGCCAGTTCCTCTTTCTCTGAAGCTGTTCAAACCCTTAGGCCCAGGGCAGACTCCCTCAGGAAGACGTGAGTGACAGACAGAAACATGTGTCAGACAAAAGGGGCAGGGGACAAAATGAAAAGCAAGACACCCTGGGGCTGGGGCATGGGACACTGAGGGACTGTGTGTGTGAGCAAAGGACAGGAGGGGTGTGTGTGTGCCTGTGCAGTGGGGCACACCCAGCGGGGCAGGATCCGTGGGCACACATAGACCAGCGGGACAGTGGCAAAAGGGGAGTATGGGACAGCCGCCGGCATGTGCATGTGGATGTGTACATGTATGTGCATGCACACGTGTGTGAGCCTGTTCACCTGCAGTCTGAGGCAGAATGTGGGCATGCCTGTGCACTCTCAAATCCCCATCTGGTGCCCCGGTGGCCCCCACTCAATGGGCTACAAATCTGTCTCATTGGCCTCAGAGAAGCGAATGCTCACAACAACCTATACCAGTGCCATGTGCTATACACATGGGGAAACTGAGACACAGAGCAGGGAAGCAGGTTGTCTGATGTCATAGCTTGCAGAGAGTGGAGGGGACTCCAACACCTGGATCCAATTGTGCCTGTGCCCTTTGACCCCACCCCAACTTGGGGCCAGGGTAGCCAGGATGCAGCCTCCAGGTGGGCCTGGGGTTCATTCATCCATGAAGCCAGCCCCTCATGGCCCTGGAACAAGGGGGCTGAGCTGTGGTGTGTGTCACCTGCTGGGCCAGCATTCAGAGCAGAATCCATGACCCTCCCGGGCCTCTGTGAGGGGAGGTCACGGCCGAATGTTGTAGATGTGGGAAGTTGGCCTCAACCCTCCATGTGATCTCCCCCAGTCACAGACCGGGCTCCCTGGACATGCCTGCCTCCCACGGTGGCTGTGCACCTGCCCTCACCCTCGAAGCTGGTGGGGCTGAGGCTTTGCCTGGAGACCCAGGAGGGTCAAGCCCAGGTCCTCAAACCCATGTTCTCTGGAGACTAAGGAGGGTATCCCAAAGGCCCAGACCCCCCACGGCTAGGGGCCCCCAGCCCAGCTGCGACCGCAGAAGTCCCTGCTCTGGGAAAGAGCAGGTGGGGAGGGCGTAGCCTGAGGGTGCTCCAGGTGTGGGGTGCCAACAGGGTCAAACCAACCTGGCAGGTTGAGCAAGAACTGGGTTAGTCTCGTTCATTTCTGTACCCCACCCCTGCAGGATGAGAGTGACCTTATTACCGGCCTTGAGGACAGCCTGGGGCAATGGACAGAGGGGCCAGGGCTCTGCCTTCCCCTAACGAGTGTCCAGGCCACTGGGCCACGCCCAGGCCCATTTATGCATCGGTAAAGGGTGATCAGAATATGGCCCTAAAATTGCAGGTGGCCTCAAATGAGCAAGGGATGAAAAGTGTTTAGCATGGAGAATGCTCCATAGATGTCAGCTGTCATTGGTCATCGAGGCTCAAATGGCATCATGGTTGTGAGAGCAATGGGGTCATACCTGTGTCAGGAACCTGAACAGGAGTTGAGTGGGGAGCAGGGGGTGAGGGGCCCCACAAATGCCTGGTCACCTCTGAACTCAGAGATGGTATACTCCCACATCCAGCCCTTTGACCAACACAAGGCTCCAGTCTTTTTATTTTGTATTTTATTTTATGTATATTTATATTTTTATTTATCTATTATTATTATATTTTGAGACAGAGTCTCACTCTGTTGCCTAGGATAGAGTATAATGGCACGATCTCTGCTCACTGCAACCTCTGCCTCCCGAGTTCAAGTGACTCTCCTGCCTCAGCCTCCCAAGTAGCTGGAATTACAGGCACCCACCTCCATGCCTGGCTAATTGTTGTACTTTTAATAGAGATGGGGTTTCACCATGTTGGCCAGGCTGGTTTCGAACTCCTGACCTCAGGTGATCCACCTGCCTTGGCCTCCCAAAGTGCTGGGATTACAGGTGTGAGCCACTGCGCCCAGGCATTTTTTGTATATTTTTATTTTATTTTTAATTTTAGTTATTTATTTACTTATTTTTGAGGTCGAGTGTTGCCATGTTGCCCAGGCTGGAGTGCAGTGGTGCGATCTTGACTCACTGCACGCTCTGCCTCCCAGGTTCACGCCATTCTCCTGCCTCAGCCTCCCGAGTAGCTGGGACTACAGGCACCCACCACCATGCCTGGCTAATTTTTTGTATTTTTAGTAAAGATGGGGTTTCACCATGTTAGACAGGATGGTCTCGAACTCCTGACCTCGTGATCCACCTGCCTCGGCCTCCCAAAGTGCTGGGATTACAGGCGTGAGCCACAGCACCCAGCCCTTAGGTATATTTTTAAATTTTTAGTACAGACAGGGGTCTCACTTTGTTGCCCAGGTTGGTCTTGAATGCCAGGACTCAAGCGATCCTCTCACCTCAGCCTCCCAGTGTGCTGGGATTACAGGCATAAGCCACCGCGCCCGGCCTTACTTTACTTCTAATTCGAGTCCTCTTGCTGGGGAAGAGGCTCCACTATTAATGACCCTGACCGCTCTTGGGATCAGCAGTCTGGACTCTATGGCTGGATGACTTTGATGTGTCACTTAACTGCTCCAGGCCTCAGTTTCCTCATCTGAGCAGAGGGAATAATGATAGCACCTGGTCCAATGAAGCAGGCTCTTAGAGGGTTGGATGAGTTGCCGTGAGAGGTGCAGGCCCTTCAACCCCACCTGCGCCCTGGCCGCTCCTGCCCTGTCAGCAGGCTCAGGTCTCCTCCTCCTCCCAGCCAGCCCCTGCACCCCAGCCCTTCCTGCTTTGGGGCCTCAGAGTTCTCCCGGGGAGGCAGCCCCCTGCCCCTCCAACAGCCCGCTCTCTCCCCAGCCCTGTCTCTGGGGATGAGTTGCAGAGGGAAGGGGTGGGAAGGAGTGAGAAGAGGAGTCAGTTTTGGAAGAATTCTCAGATGGAGAGGCCTCAAAGGAGCTGGTCGCCTGGTCCAGGCCTCGGGGTGCAGGAGTGTCAAGAAGGAAAAGATGATTCTGGAAGCTCTGTGAAGAGGTACATGGAGAGAGGGCCAGGCTGGACACCAAAGCCAAGGTCTCGGGGAGGTGGGAGCCAAGGCCATGCAGCTCTGTCCTTCCAGGCGCCCACCCACCCAGTCCCTGCACCTGCACACCCCTGCACAGATGGCAGAGCACAGGGCCTCGAGGTCCCCCAGGCAAAGCCTTCAAGCGAGATGTGGGCAGATGGGGCCTCGAGGCTGCAGGGGTTTGGCCATTCCATCAAGCTCCCAGAGGATGGCACCCACCTGGGGACTCAGCCACCAAGGTCCCCACACACCCCAACGTGCCCCGTGTTGGCTTTTGTCTTTCCAGGGCACTACCCACCCTCACCTGCTCTGCTGCCCTGGCCTCCACCCACCCTTCCGCACCCGTCCCCACCCTTCCACCCGCCATCCTTGTCTGCCTCACGCAGGTTCATTCCTTTCCATTGTCTTCCAGACTCTGGTCCACCCAAGGTGGGTGGCCTCCAGAGCAGGGAGTGCCCACCGGCTGCTAGAGCAACTACTGTCACCTGGCAGGAACTGTCACCTGGGGCCCCCTCAGAGCCCATGAAGACCCACTGTCCGATAACTGAGCCCTCTTCGCGCACAGGTGACTCCAGCTCCCAACACTTGCCAAGCACTCATCTTGGCAACCAGCCTTTGTGCCTTTGCTCAGGTGGTACCTGCTGCCTGGAATGCCCTCCTGCCCCCTTCTTCAAGTGACCCAGCCTGCAAAACCTCCTCCAGAGAGCCTTACTGAGTACCTGGGGAAGAATGCCTCCCTGGCCCTTCCTGAGCCTCTAAGTTATCTTGGTGTGTTGTACAATTGAGACCCAACTGGGCTGCCTGGGAGATGGGAGGTCATTCAGGGCTGGGACTGTGGCTAAGTGGCCCTTGAGTCTGTAGCACCTAGGACAGGTCCTGGCACAGAGAAGATGGTTCTCAAATGAAAGAGAAAGAATGATGAATGGGGCTACTGGTTCAGTGAGAAGAGACCAGGACACCCTGAGTCCACTTTAGGGCTGTGACTGTCACATGGCCCTCATGTTGAGTCCTGGCCTCAGTCAAAGACTGAGTCCTGATCCCACTCGTTACTAATCCTCATAACTGACTGTCCTGATCCACACTGAACTCTCTAGTCACATTCTGAAACCTGATCCTAGTCACAGGCTGCACTTTAACCCTGGTCACACACTGAGCCCTGATCCTGGTCACACACTGAACCCTGATCCTGGTCACACACTGAGCCCTGACCCTGGTCACACACTGAACCCTGATCCTGATCACACACTGAGCCCTGACCATGGTCACACTCTGAGCCCTGATCCTGGTCACAGATGGAGCCCTGACCCTGGTCACATGCTGAGCTCTGACCCTGGTCACATGCTGAGTCCTGACCCTGGTCACAGCATGTGACCTGGTCACACTCTAATCCCTGATCCTGGTCACACACAGAGCGCTGATCCTGTGGTTCACATTGAGCCCTGACCCTGGTCACACACTGAGCCCTGATCCTGGTCAAACTCTGAGCCCTGACCCTGGTCACACTCTGACCCCTGACCCTGGTCACACTCTGACCCCTGACCCTGGTCACACTCTGAGCCCTGATCCTCGTAGCACACTGAGTCCTGATCCTGGTCATACTCTGAGCCCTGACCCTGGTCACACGCTGAGCTCTGACCCTGGTCACATGCTGAGCCCTGACCCTGGTCACACTCTAATCCCTGATCCTGGTCACACACAGAGCCCTGATCCTGGTCATACTCTGAGCCCTGACCCTGGTCACATTCTGAGCCCTGATCCTGGTCACACACTGAACCCTGACCCTGGTCACATTCTGAGCCCTGGCCCTGGTCACACACTGAACCCTGATCCTGGTCATACATTGAGTCCTGATCCTGGTCACATGCTGAGTTCTGACCCTGGTCACATTCTGAGCCCTGATTCTGGTCACACTCTGAGCCCTGATCCTGGTCACATTCTGAGCCCTGATTCTAGTCACACTCTGAGCCCTGATCCTGGTCACACACTGAGCCCTAGCCCTGGTCACACACTGAACCCTGATCCTGGTCATACTTTGAGTCCTGATCGTGGTCACACACTGAGTTCCGACCCTGGTCACATTTTGAGCCCTGATCCTAGTCACACACAGAGCCCTGATCCTGGTCACAGACTGAGCCCTGACCTTGCTTGGACATTAATCCCTGACCCTGGTTATATGTTAAACCATGATCCTTCCCTCGACTTAGCACTGGCTCTCATTTTACCCACTAAGCCCTGATCCTATTCGCTTCCCGGCTGAGCCTGACCCTGTTGACTGAATCGTGACCCCTTTGCTATCTGCTGTGCCCCTCCCTCACTAGGTAGCCTGGAAAAGTGCTCCCAGCTCAGCTCCACCCAAATCAGAGGTGGGCCTGGGAAGTGGCTGCTCAGGCTGTGGTTAAGGAGGGTGGAGCCTCCCCTCCCACTCATGGGTTGCCGGGCAGTCTGCTGCCTCCACCCTTCTCCACTGGCCCAGGGTGGCATCAGCACAGCCACCCCCACCTCCCAGCGTGCTGTCGAGGGGCTGACCCCGGGCACTCAGCCCAAATACTCAGAGCTCCTTGGAGCCGGAGAGCCCAGTAAACACCCTGGAAAACAGGCCTCCTGGCACCACTGCCTCGGGAAATGGGGTCAGCCCTCTCTGCAGCCTGCGTTCCTGGCTCCGGACCTCAGGCACCCCGGGCAACTTCTATTGGGCTCTCCCACCACAGGGCCAGACAGTAGCAACCCTGCCATGGGCAGCTGTCTAACAGGCTGCCACCCTTGACCCAGGATGCCCTGCCGCACCCAGTCACTGTGGCCCCAGTTGCCTCTGGCTTTAGCATTGCTCTCTCCCACCTCCCTTTTTCTTTCTATTTTCTTTTGAGTCAGGGTTTCACTCCCATGGCTCAGGCTGGAGTGTAGTGGTGCAGTCTCATCTCACTGCAGCCTCAACTTCCCAGGCTCAGGTGATTCTCCCACCTCAGCCTCCCTAGTAGCTGGGACTACAAGCGCACCACTATGCCCAGCTAATTTTTTGTATTTTTAGTAGGGACAGGGTTTCACCATGTTGGCTTGTCTTGAACTTTCAGGCTCAAGTGATTTGCCCACCTCGGCTTGCCAAAGTGGTGGGATTACCACTGGCTCACTGCAGCCTCAAACTCTCGAGCTCAAGTGATCTTCCCTCCTCACTTTCTGGAGTAGCTGGGACTATAGGTGGGTGCCACCATGCCTGGCAAATTTTAAAAATTTTCTGTAGAGACAGGGTCTCACTATGTTGCCCAGGCTTCAGTTGATCTTCCCACCTTGCCCTCCCAAGTGTTGAGATTACAGGCATGAGCCACCATGCCCAGCCAAAACCACTATTTGTTAAGCGCCTGTGGGGTATTGTGTACCCACGCCTAGACCAGTGCCCAGCATGAATGGGGCCCCATTGAGGCTTTGCTGAGCCAACGAGGGCTGGCTTCACTCCCACATTTTCCCTGGCTTCTTCTCACTAGAGCCTTGGCAGTGAGGTACTAGCACCCCACTTCACAGGCGAGAAAACTGAGGCTTCAGGAGGCTTATGCAAGCTTTTACAGCCGCATCCTACTCCCAGCCCTCCAGTGATTCCGCCCTGCAGCTTCAGTGTTTACCAAGAATCCGGCCACGGCTCCTCCACTGCCAACACCCTGCCTGCAGCCATCAGCTCCCTGAATTGTCAAGAAGCTTCCCACGTCCTGTGCCCTCCAGCCACCCTCAGCAGCAGCCTGAGCCTTTTTAAAACATCGAGATCCCTGAGTCCCTCCTCTGCTCAGACCCTCCTGGGGTTCCCGTACCCCACTCGGGGGGGCTTTGCTGGCCACCTGCTATCCATAGCAACACCCTCCTTGCTCTGCCCTCTTTGTGTATTTAGTACCACCTGGTCTTCCACTATGTATTTATTGCTATGTCCTTGGATGTAACGCCCTTGAGAGCAGGGACTTTATCCGTTCTGCTTCACACTCCACGGGACCCTGACCACCTGTGCTTCTTCCAGAACGGGAGGATGCATGAATGAATGCATGCGTGCATGAACGCAGGAGTGTGTGAGCCCGTGGGTGAACAGGAAAGCATCAGAACCAGGATGCGCCTCATTTCCACTAGTTTCTCCAGGGTGTGCCGTTTCCTACAGGGCCTCCTCCTAGGGGAGGGCACATTCCTGCACCCACCTGTACCCTAGACAAGATGCAGCTGGGAGCCAGGCCAGTCACGCTCTCTCATTCACTCCTTTCTCGTCCGTTCCTTTGCAAGTTGTGAACTGTGTACCAGGGACCCAGGGACGGACAGGGTGGGCTAGAGCCCACCCACATAGTGCTCACAGTTGAGGGCAGAGGGTCGAAGGCAGCTGGTGCTGGAAGGGGGCTGGCTGGCAGGGCCAGGAGAACTGCAGCAAGGTGGCTGAGGGCAGCCCTACTGTGCCTGATCGTGGGGTAGGGGGTGTCTAACTCCCACTGAGAGATGAAGCTAACTCCTCTGCCCGTTCCCTCTCTTCCTTCAGGCCCTTCCTCAAAGTCCCCTTCAAGGGGGACTCTGCCTGCCCCCTTCCCCGCATTTCCACAGCAGCTATCGCTGGCCGGCTTACTGCATGTCACTTGCTTCCTTGCTCCTTGGCTGTCTCTCAGCTGGGATGCAGATTCCAGGAGGTGTGGCCTCCCTAGCATCTATGTCAGAGTGCCTGGAGCAGAGCAGGTGCTCAGTCAATGTTTAGTGAATGAGTGAATGAACGAATGAATGATTAGAAATCACATAGGCCAGGCTTTGGCACCCAGGTAGGTCTCAGTGAGTATTAACTACTGGTGCAGTGACACCCCAGGTGAGCTCTGGTCCTGCCCTCACCTTTTAGGCCCCCATCTGTAAGGGGAGACCAGAACTGACTCCACAGGGCTGCTCAGAGGCTCCAATGAGACTGTGGACAGGACAAGCACGTTGTAAAGTATAGGCGGTTCTTTAAATGATGATTCAGGACTTAAAGCCTAGGTGGGCCTTATTTTTGCTATGTGCTGGGGGAGGCAGGAATTATTGAGAGCTGGGGTGGTCTGGGAGGGTTTCCTGGAGGAGGACACATGGGACAGGCAGACCCAAGGGAAATGGTGGGCACTACCGGCAGGATGAGCAGTGTAAGCAAACGCAGGAAAAGGGAGAGCCAACCCAGAGGGCTTAGGAGGCTGCTGACTAAGCAGGGGCAGGGGTGGGAGTCCAGAGACGAAGCTGGGCTGAGGACCACGGCCTGGAGGGGATGTCTGGGAGGGAGGCTTACCCTGGGTTCCGCCCTGCCCTGGTGCCATCAGCAGGTGGGGCCTGCCGCAGGGGTCCTGGGTGGGGTGACCCCAGACATCACCTGCCTTTACCCTTCACTGTGAGAAGCCGTGCCAGATGCTCCACCCTGCTGGCCGCCCTGGGTGGCTGCCTCCCTGCTTCCTTTCCAGGTCACCCTGGTCATTTGGTTCATGGCTATGGCTCCAGTGCCAGCCCCTGTACTGGGCCCTGCCCCTCCTCCCCATCCTGACAGGTGGGCTAGAGATGCCAGCAGATGCAGCAACCACTCCACACTCTGACAGTCTAGGAGCCCCTGGCAGGCCCTGTGACCTTGTGGAAGGGGGCACGAGGACTCAGAGCCAGATGGCCTGGGTTCAAACCCTGGCACAGTCACTGACTCGATACGTGACCCTAGGCCAGCTACCTCCCCTCTCTGTGCCTCAGTTTCCTCTTCTAGCAGATGGGGAATCTAATGGCACCCAGCGCAGGGCTGCTGTCAACACGAGATTACTTTGATCAGGCGGGGGCCCAGCTGGCTTTGGAGCCCTGTGGTAACTGATCCGCATCATTATCTGGGCCCTGACCAGCCCAGCTGAACAAGCACTAGCCAGCCACTGCCCCACTAGGCTCTAGATCCAATTTCTCAGCCCCACCCCATATGCCCCACACACGGGCCTCAAGGAGCTCTTTAAGACCCCCATCTGGCCGCTCGAAGACGTCCCCAGGAAAGAGGTCAAGTGCTGAGGCCCTCAAACCTGGACAAAGTCGGTGTCTGATCGTGTTGACTTATTTTACAGGTTTCATTGTGGGATATAAGACAGCTACAGAGAAAGGCATCGCAGAGCTGCAAGCGTGCACATCCTGCTGCCGGGCGGGCGTGGAGCCTGTCCCAGCCCCTCACCCCTCTCGTGCTTCTGAAACCCGGCCTTTGCCCAGGGCGGGCCCATGTGGGGAAGGCCCTTCAGTGAAAACCTGCCTCAGTCTCTTCTGGGGAATCTTCAGGTTCTGCCCAGGCCTGGAGGGCCAGCGTCGTGCTGACGGCCACAGCCAGTCCTGGGCAGCTGCCCTTTCCTGGCACTGTGGTCACTGATGAGCTCTTCCTAGTCAATGACCTCCGCTGGGCCCTGCACTGTCATTTCCTCACATAATCCTCTCATACAGTCCTTTGTGCTAGAGAAACAAAGATTCTGTCCACCTCACTGATGAGGAAACTGAGGCTCAGGGAGGGGATGGGGCTCACCCAGGACACAGAAGCAGTGGAATGGCCTGGATTGCATTGAACTTCCAATGAGACACACCAGTATGGGGAGCCGTGTGGCCCCAGGTGTCCATGTGACCTGGGGTATGACCCCGAGTGGCTAAATCACTCCATCGTCAGGTAGCTGTGTGACTCCTAGCGATTGTGACCGTGGGCAATCGCATGGTTCAGGTAGCCATGAGACCCCAAGAAGCTCACGATCATAGGATGCCACATGGCCCCTTGGTGGCCATATGACACCGGGCAGCCATATGACCCCAGGAAGAGAAGCCGTGGGACCCCAGAAGCCCATTGCTCTGGAGCCAATTCAGGTACCTGGAGGTTCCGACCTGGATTCGTGTCCCGGCCCTGGGGCTGCTCTGAAAGCCCTTGGCTGCCCAGGACACTGGGCAGGCACATGGTCTTTAGGGTCTCGGGTCCCCTCCTGGGCAATTGAGATCCAAGACCTGCGGGTTGTGGACCTACTCACCTGCATCCCAGGGCTTTGGCCCCTACCCTCTGTGGAGCTCACACCCTCTTCATTTTGCCTTGGGGCTCACAGAGATTAGGTATTTTCTCCAAGGTCACACAGTAAGCTAGAACTCTGCTCCTGCGCTCTTAGCCTCACCTAAGCAGAGGCTGCTCCTGGGGAAGGGGCGGAGCAGGCGGAAGGACGCTGGCAGGGTGAGTAGACACAGCCTGAACATCAGCGCCCTAAGCACGAGAGCCAAGCGGGGCAGTGTCTTAGGAACACCTGGTGATACATGAGCGTGCTAATTGACATATTGGGGTTTTGTGAACGAGTTTGTTTAAAAACGTGTTTGTTGCTTTGAAAAGATAAAAGATTTGTGAAGGAGCACAGGAGGTGTCACTAAGGGACTGTCTGGCTGGGACACTGCTTCAGCTCATCCCCTCTCTTTCCTCCCTCTTCAGGGCCCACCTACTTGCCGCCCCCACCCCACCGCTGTGTAGGCTGTGGTCTCTGGAGAGAATCCTGTGCCTCCATTCTCTAAGGAAGCTGGGCAGGGGTTGAGGGCAGCTGGAGCACAGCAGGCCCTTGGTTAAAGGCGGGTTGTTGTTTGAATCATAGTAAAATTGGAGCCAGTTCAGGGAGGGCTTCCATATGTACCACCTCCCTCCCTTTCCTTTCAAACTGGGATCAATGGTTGTTGCTCTCGGACACTTCCTCATGGCAGGAGAGCACCAGGGACACTCCCAGAAGAGAAAATGGCAGATGCAAAGGTCTGGGGATGGGCTCAAAAGGGTGGCACGGACAGTCACCTGGTGTGACAGAGGAGAGAGCCAGGGGAGGGGGGACCTGCCAGGCCTGCCAGGAATGTGGAGCTCCTGGCGCCCGCGGGCTCTACTGGCACCCGCGGGCTCTACTGGCACCCGCATGCCTCACCAGCCCTCTAGCCTCCACCTCCGTGGGGGCTTCCTGCCCGGAAGCCCTCCTGCTTTTCCTAGGAAGAGAGGCTGCTCAGGCAAGTCACGCTACCTCTGAGCCTTGGTTTGTTCGTCTGTGCAATGGAAAGGCTGACAGAGGGCCAGGGAAGCTGAGGGCAGGGGCTGGAGAAGTCTGAGTGGCCTTCATTCCTTCTCCTTCTCTCCTGATTTACCTGTTGTGCGGAGCACCTTCTACCTCTCTCCCATGGCCCAGTGTGTTCTCCACAAGGTCCAAAGAGGGCAGTCTTGTCTTTTCAACCAAGGTAGGAGCTGTCCATACCAGGTCACCAGCTGGCCTCTGGCTCAGAGCAGGTCACAGCCTGTTTGTGGGATGTGGACGTTTTGCACCAAACAGGCTCTTTCCTCTTCATTTACGAGGCACAGAGGAGAGGAAGGGAATGATGCCCAGCAATAGTAAGATGGGTGTGTTCACGGACGTCATTCATTCATTCATTCATTCAATCAGTCAGCCTGTTCACCTAACACCTAACCAGATATGACCCAGGTATAAATCCCGGCTCTATCGCCTACCAGCTGTGCGGCTACAGGTACCAACAACCTGTGTCGCAGCTTCCTCCTCTGCAGGATGACACCCATCTCACAGGAAGGTGTGCACACATGAGCGCTGGGGATGAGAGGGGCCTGGCCCTGCTCCAAGGCATCCCCAGGTGAGGCACGGAGAAGACAAGGTTGGAACCTAAGCAGTGATGGAGGCACCACGCCCTGGACTCGTCCCAGCATCGGGGAGGTTGTCATGCTCACAAAGATGCAGGATTTGCCACAGCATTTGTGGGGCCCTTCTTAAAAGCTGTGAAGCATTTAAAGATGGCAACAGCAGAGCGCTAAGCCAAGCGTGGAGCTATTCTGAGCACTGGGTATGTGTGACTACACAGGTCACACACCCATGACAGCTAAGGGCCCAGGCACGCCTGCTTCAGAGCCAGGCCAGAGTCCGTGTCTTTCTGACCCCTGGGCAAGAGGGCTTCCCCGTATCAAGCTCTCTCCTCACAGGACTGGGGAGCCAGCCATTTAAGGAGGGGGTGGAGTGGGGCAAAGATGTGTGGGGGCCCTGAGGATTCCATTCCCCGGCTTCCATGGGCAGCTGGACAATGGGGCCACAGGCCACTGACACATATCACCCTTCTTGGTGGTGGCAGGTAATATAAGGCCCTGGCCGGGTAGGCTGGGAAGGAGTGCTGCAGGGTGGCCCTGCCACTGCCCTCTTGCATAGGCATGCACACGCACACATGCACACGCACACACACACACATGCACACACGCACATGCAAACATGCACACACATGCACACACGTATGCACACACACATATGCACACACGCATGCACACACACTTGTTGAGGTGCTTGCACAATGGGGATATATTTTTTCTTAACTTTACTCTGGTCTCTGTGTTTAACTCCAGGTTATAGAAGTAAATTAGTTGGGTTTCCACATCTCAGGCTTAGAAACTGCCTTCTAAGTTTCATTCACAAGAAACTTCATGCCTACACTTACATTCTTTTTTTTTTTTTTTGAGACAGGGTCTTGCTCTGTCATCCAGGCTGGAGCACAGTGGTGCAATCATAGCTCACTGTAGCTTTGAACTCCCAGGCTCAAGTGATCCTCCTGCCTCAGCCTTCTGAGGGCTGAGATTACAGGCATGTGCCACCACACCCAGCTAATTTTTGAATTCTTTGTAGAGATGGGGCCTAGCTATGTTGCTAGGCTGGTGCCTATACTTCTATACTTGCATTCAGTTACTCTTTTAGAGGCTTTTTTTTTTTTTTTTTTGAGATGGGGTCTCATTCTATTGCCCAGGCTGGAGCGCAGTGGTGCGATCTCAGCTTACTGCAACCTCTGCCTGCCAGGTTCAAGTGATTCTCCCGCCTCAGCCTCCCAAGTAGCTGGGCCCACAGATGCACACTGCCCCAATCAGCTAATTTTTGTATTTTTAATAGAGATGGGGTTTCGCCATGTTACCCAGGCTGGTCTAGAACTCTTGAGCTCAAGCAATCCACCCACCTCGGCCTCCCAAGGTGCTGGGATTACAGGCATGAGCCACCACCATGCCCAGCCCCAAGAAATACTTATGGAGCACCTACTACAAGGCTGATCCTAGACTGGGCTCCATGGCTACCATGGCTGGTACATACCCCACAATGCACTCCTTAAGAAGAGAGATGGGATCATGTTCCCAGCTCCAGTACTAGGACCCAGCAAAGCGTGTGGCACATAGTAGGCACACACTCAGTAGTTGGTTACTGCATGAATGACAATGAAGACAATTCAATCAATACCAGCAATTTGTGAATAAACAAAGTCTTTACCTGTTCTGTCCTCTTGATTGTATTGTCATTTTAAAAAGCATCATTTTGCTATTTTGTTTAAGCTTCAGGACAACTTGTGAACTAGGTACTATTAGAATGCTCACTTATAGAAGAGGACTCAGGGAGGTTAAGTAGGCGCCCAGGCTCACACAGTTGGCTCACAGCACACCTGGAATTGCCGCTGCCTCTATCCTTTGGCCATTGAAAGAAAAATCACCAGGGAAGCAGATGTACAGTTTGAGCACTCATGATGTGTCTGATGCTGCTTTGGACTGTCTACAGACCATTGATGTACTTACTAACCCTCTGTTGAGATACTGCATACACATGGAAAAACACACACGTCTTTTTTTTTTTTTAATAGAGATAGGGTCTTACCATGTTGCTCAGGCTGGTCTCAAACTCCTGGGCTCAAGCAATCCACCCGCTTTGGCCTTCCAAAGTGTTAGAATTACAGGCGTGAATCACCGTGCCCCACAGGCACATGCATCTTGACTGCACAGCTGGAAAAGTCATCATAAACTGAGCACACTGTAACCAGCACTCAGACCAAGACACAGAACACAGCCAGCCCCCAGACACGTCCTCTGTGCCCTGCTTCCTGGCTCTGGCACCCCTCCCTCCAAGGGTAACCACTATCCTGACTGCTACCCCCATATACACCTTCTACCACTTTATCCACATGGAAACAAATATGGCTTTTTATCCTCTGGCTTCTTTTCCTCAACATCATTTGTGAGAGTCATCCATGTTGTTGTGTGTAGTTGATTATTCACTGTCATTGCTGTCATTCCACTGTGTGAATATATCACAATTTATGTATCCATTTAACGGCTGATGAGCATTTCAGTAGTTTCCAGTTTGGGGCAATTATAAACACTGCTGCTATCAACAGAAACACAATGTTAGGTGTGTATCTAGGAGCAGAATTGCTGGGTAATCAAGGCCTTTCAAAAAGATTTTGAAAGTTGTACCACTTTGCATGTCCACCAACAGTGTCTGGCAGTTCCAGTTGCTCCATTTCCTTGTCAACACTTGATATGGTCAGATTTTCCCATTTCCGATGCTCTTGGAGGCTCTGCTCTGCACTTCACTTCTAAATTCCTTTAGCAACAGGTGAGATGGATCTTACGATTTCTATTTTACAGATGAGGACGCCAAGGTTCTGAGAAATGAAGTAATTCCTCCAAAGCAACTTAAACCCTGGCAAGGGTGCAGGGCTGCGACGTTAACAGGGTTGGCCTCAGCCCATCACATCTGTCTGTTAAAGCCGCCTCCCCAGACCTTGTCTTGATGGGGTTTCCCAGCAGTCCTGCCCTAGGGATTGTGGCCCTTCTACACGTGGGGAGAGACGGATCAGTGTCCCTGGCCAGGGCCAAGCCTGAGAGGGAGGCCCAGCCTCCAGGAAGCTCCGGGTCGGGTCTTCGTCCTGCCCCGCTCTCCAGGTTGGAGAGGGGACCCGCAGAGCGCGGGGCGTTGGGGGAGTTGGGGACGGGGGCGTGGTCCGGGACCAGGTAGGAGGTCTTCGGAGGGTGGCAGGGAGGGGAAAACAGGAGAGTTTTCTCCTGCAGCGGAGGAGGGGCTGCAGCACCTGGATGGGGCCCATGTCGCCGCGCCACGGGCAGGGGCGGAGGGGGCGGGAGGGTGCTTGCCAAGGGGCTGGGCTGCCGGGGGCCGGGGCCTCGTGGCTAGCCGGACCCCTCTGCGACAGAGTGGCGAGAGGAGCGGGGAGAGAAGGTGGGGACAGGCGGGGGCCACCTCCTGCGGCTGCAGAGAGGGATGGGGTGGATTGCGGGCCAGCGCTTTAGGGGAGAGAGGGCGGACGCTCGGTGCGGAGGGGCCGGGGCCGGGGCCGGGGCCGGGGGCGTAGCGGGAGGAGGGCGGGGGCGGGGCTGGATTATGGCTGGGGGCGGGGCCATGGCGAGACGGGGGCGGGAGCCACGGTGCGCGCGGGGGCGGGGCAGGGGCGCGGCGGGGGCGGGGCGGCCGTTCGGGGGCGGGGTGGGCGGCAGCGGAGGCCAATGAGCGCGCGCGGCGCAGACCCCGCCCCCCGAATCCCCGTCCCGCGGCGGCGGGTGCTGCATAGTCATGAGGCGCAGGGGCCGGCGCTGCGTCAGCGGAAGCGGCGCGGAGCGGCTGTTTCCGACCCGATAAAGCGGCGTTGTCTCCGCGCGCCGGCCGCAGCCTCGCAGCGCTCTCTCCGCGCCCGCGTCGCTGACTGACCGCCCGGCCGGCCGGCCGAGGGAGCAGCCCCCGCCCGGACCCGCAGCCGCCTCCCGACCCCGGTGCGCCCGGGGCTCCGCGCCCCCGTAGCCCCTGCCCGGCCCGGCCCGGCCGCCCCGCCGCCCCCGCGGCCCCGGCCGGAGGAGACAGGTGAGTGGCCTGCCGCCCGCAGCCGCCTGCCCCGCCGCCCCCTGCACCTCGCACCTGGGCGCCGGGCACCTGCAGCCTCCCCACCCCCACCTCCCGCACAGCCTCGGCCTCCAGGTCGGGTCCGCGCCGCAGCCCCAGCCCCGCACCTTCTCCGGGGGAGGGGACGTGCCCCCACCCGGCTTGCGCTGGCTCCTCAGGGCCCCCCAATTCCTTCCCGCCTCCTCTTTCCGGATTGCACCTGCCCTGGTCCCCAGCCCTGCAGCCTCCCTCATTCCCCCCACCCCGGCCCCCACCCCGGGGCGCGCGCCTTCATTTGGACCCGGCCCGCTTTCGCACCCATCAGTCCTCCCCGCCCCCAGTTCCTCGGTTTCTCTACCCAGAGAGGAGCCTGGCGCCTCTAACTCCTGGTCCTGACCCTGTCTTGTCCTTCTAACCCCTGCCTGCTATCTCTAACTTATGAGAATTCAACCAGCGATACACCACTCGCGAAGTGGCCCCCTCTCCCCTCTGTCTGGACCGGTCCTCCCAACCGAACACACTCCCTTCTTCCCCTTCTTCCCCTTCCCTTCTTCCCCTCCTTTCCCTCTGCCCAGTGCACACACGACCCTGGCAGCACTGCTAGCCAGTGTCCCCCGCCTCGGACCCCCAGCCTGCACCGCCAGACTGTGGCTCTGCCCCGGTCTCATCGGCACTGCGCTCCCTTGTGTCCCTTTGAAGATACCTTGATTTCCTGAGACCGACCTTGTCCCTGGAGGAAAGAGGCCAGGGCATCAGTTCATCCGGGCCCAGATTCCCTGCTCTGTAGAAGTCCCCGCACCTTCTGCGTCTCAGCACCCGCTGCCCCTTTCCCCTTTGCGCTTAACCCGTTCCTCCCCCAGGTATCCTGCTCTGGATTGGAGCACTTCCAGCAGCGGCTTTTCCAGCGGAGGCGGATCCACACGGGGCCCAGCCTCCTGGTTAGCTATTCAGAATGATTCTAGAAGGCGGGGGCTAGGGAGGGCTGGGAAGGGCCGCTTGACCTCCTAAGGAGCCTGAGGTGTTTGTGTCTCTCCAGTGCGGGTCACTGATGGAGTGTGGCTTCAGGTTCACAGACCTAGCCACTGACCCCCATCTGATACCTCAGCTGACTCCAGCAAAACAGGGCTTGTCGTTTTTATTACTGTTTTGGGGGCTGTCTTTTCCAGTCTATGACCCGGAGCGAGGAGGGTTTACCAGATGAGTGATTGAACTAATTGTTGTGGGGTCAGATGATTCTTGTGGGCTGGTAGATTCTGAATCGAAGCCCATTTCTGCTGGGGAAAAGCCACTGCATCTGCCCAGCATTACTGAGAGCGCCCTGCGCTTCCATTCCCCAGACGGTCTCATCCTTCCTGTGTCATTGGCAGACAGGTAGAATGTGGTAGGAATCTTATCCTTCTGTTATTTTGTGCTGGCTTTAGGAAAAAATAAGAAAACAAAAAGCTGGAGTATTGGTGTACAGGTTAGGGAGTGTAACACATGGGGATCAGAGCAGGTAACACACACTGTCCTTAAAAGAAATGTATAGTGTCCTCACTTTTCTGCTAGGTTTGAATTATTGTTAAAAGAACGAGCAGAGATTATTTAAATGCTTGGGAGAGGTTTTGCAGAAGCCACTTGATGAGAAGAGGCAGCCCTGCAGGTTCCGGGTGGAGGAGACTCAGGCGCAGTAAAGAACTCATGTGTTTCTAGAGAGAGGCTGGGGAACTAGGTCGTCTTACACATCAAGGATTTCACACCCGTTCAGGCTAATTGTTTTTGTGGCAGTGGCTGTAAAGGAAAGAAGCAAATCGTTTGAAATGTGTTTGAAATACACACTGGGTATTTAAAGGTGTGTTTTTTTGGCCCAGGTGTTCACAGGGCGGGGAGTGGGGAGGCTGCCCAGGGCCACCTCCCGGGCCTCGTGGGGGGAGTGGCCTGCTGCCCTGCCGAGATGCGTGCTGCAGCTTTGGCCCTTGTCGCATCGTGAAAGCAGATCAGAGATTGGACTGGGTGAGCTCCAAGGTGTGTGTCTTGCAGCTTGTAACACCCTCTAACTTTGCTTATTGGAGGGGGGTGGGGGAGGGGCGGAGCAAGCCTGTAAACCGGATTCTGCCTCCTTTCCGTGAGCTCTGAGATCCCGCCCCAGCCCGCCCCGCAGATCTGCAGGGAAGGAGAGGGCTGCGGCAGCGGCAGCTCCCCACTTTCCCGATGGAGGAAAGGAGCCGAGGAAGGTATTTCAGCCAATCTTGAGGTTGCTTGGTGGTGAATGGATTGTATCTGTGTTGTCAGGAGAGAGGTGGGGAGGACAGAGGAGTGCAGCGCAGGGGTTCGGGCTGTGATTGTCGTTCTGACCGTGGTGCATCCCAGTGCCCTCTCCCGCTCTTCCCGAGGGTCCTGACGCCCAGTGGCTGGCTGGGGTGGTTTGTGACCAACAGCCTTGTGGCCTGGCACCGAGTGAGGGTGACTGACAAGCACTGTAGGTGGCAGACAACCCCAAATTGCCAGTGCCCTTCTTGGGAACACCCCTGGCAGAGTCGTGTCTGTAATTTGTGGAGGCAGAATATGCTGGAAGCCGCGTTCCTGCTAATGATGGGTGAGGACTGTTCCTCGCTGGCCTCCTAGGTTCCCCAGGTTTTCATCACTGCGTGATTATGCTGACGAAGGCGCACTTAGTGAAACACCATCAGAAGGGTTGTCTCCACCTGAGCCAGGAAACAGATTTGACCAGAGGGAGCAAACCTCCCAGCCGAAGAGCAGCCTTGTAGAAAGGAAGGGGTGAGAGGACCCCAAAAGCAGGCGTCTGCAGTGGGTTTTCATGCAGAGGACCTGAGCGGCTGCACCTCCCCCACCGGCTCCTAGACAAGGTCCCCTTGTTTAGATTAGCTTAATTACCCCACCAAAATCAATGAACAAGGATCTTTTTAAATGTGAAACTTTCAAAATGTGCTTCTAGTGGCCTTTTCCCCCGAGTATCAAATGCTAAGCTTTTGTGAAATCAGGCACTTTCAGAGGACCGGGAGACCTCTTTAATGTTCGTGGAAATGAATCTTCTCTACCCTGAATCAGGAGAGGGCCTGCCGAAAGGGAAGCTTAACAGGTCATATTGTCATTTTCAACCCCTTGCCATTTGGGTGGAGGTGACAGGAGAAACAGCATAGTGTTTACGAAGTGGCCTCCTTGGCAAGTGACTTTTGGAGGAGGCATTTTAAGAAGATTAAAAACATCCACAGACTTAGAGGGCAGCCGCATAACCCACTTAGTGTTTCATATCCCTGATAGAGTGGCCCTTTGAGAGCCGTGGATGGGTTGCTGTTGTTCCCACCTCAGACGACGTGGGTGTTATTGCCCCAGGAAGACGGGACACTTGGTAGGGGTCATTTGTTGAGTGCGACTGGTTAGATTGCGGGAAATAGCACAAAACCCTGATGATGGAGAGAAGGGCTCTGAGTTCTCTTTGGCTCAGCTGCTGTGTAGCTTGGGGACTTCAGGTGAGAGGGAGAGGAAGTTCTCTCTCTCCCCCCCTTTTTTTTTTTTTTTTTGAGACAGTCTTACTCTGTCACCCAGGCTGGAGTGCAGTGGTGCGATCTTGGTTCACTGCAGCATCCACCTCCCAGGTTCAAGCGATTCTTTTGCCTCCGCCTCCCGAATAGCTAGGACTACAGGTGCACATCACCATGCCCAGATAATTTTTGTATTTTTAGTAGAAATGGGGTTTCACCATGTTGGCCAGGCTGGTCTTGAACTCCTGACCTCAAGTGATCTGCCTGCCTGGGCCTCCCGAAGTGCTGGCATTATAGTCTCTCTCCTTTGCGTGTGTGTGTGTGTGTATTTAAGAGTCAGGGGGTCTCACTGTGTTGCCCAAGCAGGTCTTGAACCCCTAGGCTCAAGTGATCCTCCTGCCCCAGCTTCCCAAGTAGCTGCTGGGTTATAGGTTCATACTACCGCAGCTGGTGGGATTTCTCTTAAGTTAGAGGGGCTGGGCTGTAGCTGCATTATTTTGAGGGTCATCCCAAGGCCCACCTTCCTGTCTAGTGAGGGCTCCAGAACACAAGTTCACTCTCAGAGTCTGTCGGGAGCCGCGGGGGGGAATAGTGCTGGGCATTTTGTCCCCAGTGCAGGAATAAGGGTGCCAGCCAGTCCAGAGTGGGATCCTGAGGCAGCTGAAGGGATTTGCGTAACCTTTCAAGTCATTGAGCTTGGCCATCTCACCCTCCCACCTCTACTGGGCCCAGGCCCCAGTGAGGGAGGTATTGTTCAGACCTGGGTCTCGGTACTTTCATCCTCCTAAACCTGTTGAAGGATTTTGCTGGCAGTGAGAGGAAACTGCATTCCTGAACTCTGGCCCAGAGGTGCTTAATTTGCTGCATTGAAAAGTCCCTTCCAACCTGGGGTTCTGTTATGCTACTTGCTCTGAGTTTTTGTAGTTTGCCCCAAGGTTTCTCTTGGGGTTCTGCCTTGAAATCCTGGAGCCATCTGAATTGACTGGCAACCAAATTTTTCCTATTTCAAAGAAAGGAAAATCTTGAGTGAAAAATGCATAGCAAACCCTTAGAATAGATAATAAAGAGGGATCAACACAGTGCTTACCTGGTCAGGTGTGGTGGTCATTATACTTTTATATATGACCCTTATTGCACAATTTTAGGAAATCACTCAGGCTGGGCACAGAGGCTCGTTCCTGCAATCCCAGCACTCTTGGAGGCTGAGGCAGGAGGATCGCTTGAGTCCAGGAGTTCCAGGCCAGCCTGAGCAACACGGCAAAACCCCACCTGTCCAAAAAAAAAAAAAAAACAAAAATTAGCCGGGCACGATGGCACGTGCCTATAGTCCCAGCACTTTAGGCGGCTGAGGCGGGCAGATTGCCTGAGCCCAGGAGTTTGAGACCAGCATGGACAACATGGCAAAACCCTGTCTCTATAAATACAAAAAAATTAGCCGGATGCGGTGTCTCACATCAGTGGTCCCAACTACTCGAGAGGCTGAGGCGGGAGGATTGCTGGAGCTCAGGAGGTCCAGGCTGCAGTGAGGGGAGATCACACCCACACTGCACTCCAGCTGGGGCAACAGAGTGAGACCCTGTCTCAAAAAAAAAAAAAAAAAAAGACATTGTAAGGCCAGAAAACAAGAAAATAAGAAAAAACAGAAAATAAGTTCCTTATCACCAACAATGTAGTCATCATTTTAGGGAAATACATTTATTCAAGAGCATGGTTTTTGGTTTGGTGTATATGGGAAGGGAATATTTTGTAAGTTTTTTGAGGGGAGGGGTTTGACATCTCCACGCTGGAGATGAAATCGCATATTAAGAGCATGTTAGACACGAGGCGAGGGGGACTGCCTGAGTATCGTAGAGGCAGCTTTTTCACTGTCAGTGATGAATGAATTAGGAATGTTTTAGAGTTACATTGCTGTCAAGCAAAGGCCTGAAAACATTTTTGCTTATGTGTTCTGTAAAATAACTTTACGCCTGCCGCGGTGGCTCATGCCTGTAATCCTAGCTCTTTGGGAGGCCAAGGTGAGTGGATCACCTGACGTCAGGAGTTCGAGACCAGCCTGGCCAACATGGCAAAACCATCTCTACTAAAAATACAAAAATTAGCCAAGTGTGGTGGTGCACGCCTATAATCCCAGCTACTTAGGAGGCTAAAGCACAAGAATGGCTTGAACCTGGGGGCAGGGGTGGGGTCGGGGGGAGGGAGGGCAGCGGGGATGGGGGTGGTGGTGGTGGTGGTGGTGATGGTGAGTGGCGTGGAGGTTGCAGTGAGCCAAGATTGCGCCACTTCACTCCAGCCTGAGCGAAAGAGCAAGCCTCTGTCTCCATCTAAAAAACAAAAAAAACTTTGAAAAACTATAGACACATTTTTAAGTTGATGTTTAAATTTTTGGTCCTAATTTGAAACAACTGCAAAAGATGCAATTTCTAGTATAATGTTGGCATTTAAAAGTAACCATTGTATTGCTTTTTAAAAAGTATCCAATGTTAAATATCCTAATGATACCTACCATCAGTCACCCTTTTAAAAAATGAACAAATTGTTCTTAACAGTCTTGACAAGGCAGTTTTTTTCTTTGTGAACTTGTATGTTTGCTCCATTTGAAAGTCTTTTCATCCCTCATTCTTTTTTTTCTTTTTTGAGACAGTGTTTCCCTCTGTCACCCAGGCTGGAGTGCAGTGGTGGGATCAGGGCTCGCTACAGCCTTGACCACCTAGGTCTATGCAATTCTCTCTCTCCAGCCTCCTGAGTAGCTGGGACCACAGGTGTATGCTATCATGCCCAGCTAGTTTTTATTTTTATTTTTTGCAGAGATGGGGTCTCACTGAGTTGCCCAGGATTTTTTTTTTTTTTTTTTTTTTTTTTTTGAGATAGGGTCTCATTCTGTCCCCCAGGCTGGAGTCCAGTGGTGAGATCATGGCTCACTGCAGCCTCGACCTCCCCGGCTCAAGTGATCCTCCCACCTCCACCCTCCAGGTAGCTGGGCTTATGCCCAGCTAATTTTTCTTTGTATTTTTGGCAGAGACAGAGTTTCACCATGTTGCCCAGGCCGGTCATGAACTCCTGGCCTCAAGCGACCCTCCCTCCTGCCTCAGGCTCCCAGAGTGCTGAGATTACAGGCATGAGCCACTGCACCCGACCTATGGACTGTTCTCCATACTTCTCTGTGACAAAAGTATATATTGCAATTTAAAACATTTCTGTGATCATTAGGCTATGTTAACATCCAGAAGAATGTTTTATGTCATTGTAATTATCAGTACAGAATTGATCACAGAAACATAAATATCATTGATCTTGATAAACAATTACTAAATGCACAAAATACACCGGAAGGAGGTCTCAAAGAGCTGGGGGGTGGGGCCCGTTTAAGGTGCCTTAATTAAAGGGATAATTGAACTGTCCCTGGTACCGGGTACATCTCTGTTGCTGGAACGTTCCCTGGGAAGAGTGCCTTCCTCTTGTCTAGGCGGGGCAGGCAGGCTGGAGGTGGGGGCTCCCTGGGCACCGGGACTTTCTCCACAGCAGCTTCTCAGGCAGTCCAGTTTTAGGCAGGCGTTTGTGGGGACCTTGCGGCTCTCTGAGTTCCCCACACCGGAGGCCCCTCAGGATGCTCCTGTGTTTGCACGGGGCGCTTGCTGTGCTGTGTTCGCACACTTGGTCCACGGGTAAGGTCCACGCCACTTCGTCGAGTCACGGGGTCCGTGCTGCTCCATGTTAAGCTTTACTATTTAATTGCCTGTTTTCTAAATGCGCAGTGTTAAAGGGCAGAAGATGAACCATTTCACGAGTAAGCACGCTGCGGCATTTTCATCTGGTTGGGCTAAAATGTAAGACAGTGGAATTGTGCCTCGGGTTAAATTTTAATTTGACAGAAAGGTGTGTTAGAAGCAGAGAAGACTGACATGGCCAGACTTTAGATTTGCTAGAGGTTTTTGCCTGGCAGGAATCTGGTCACCCTGCTCCGCCCTTCTTCCTGCACAGGGCATCGCTGTGCCTGTTCCGGAGCGAGGCAGCTGGTCTCAGGCCATCAGGTTGCCATTAGGATCAGGGCCATGGGGTGGGTTGGGAAGGTGGGCCTCTGCCCGAGAACCAGATGAGGCTGGTCCGGGGCGTTGACACTTGGCATCCCTGAGAATTTGCTCAAATCTGGAGATGCTCAAAAAGTAGAAAGATTTACTATTTTTAGCCTTTAGACCTAATGAAATTTGGTAAGAAAATCAGTTTAGTAACCAAAAAACCACCACTTCCCATCCCACTCAGAAACAGCACGCTGAGGACTGAGAGCAGTAGAACTTTGCGTTGTGTGATGGTTTTATGACATAAGAGGAGATTTGACGGACCTGGGGTCTCTGGTGTCTCCCAGCTTTGTTGGAGGAAAGCAGGCTACTCGCCCAACTCTGTGGAATCGGTAATGTGGGTCCGGCTGAAGTTTTAACCTGTCTTCTGTCCTCAGGGCTGGCCATTAGGAGTCCACTAAGAATGCGTCACTTCCAATTCGGCCATGCAGCTATTTGGGGAGGCGATGATGTCGTCAGATCATGGGGCCAGTGCCTTCATTCCAGGGATGGGTGAGGAGAAGAGCAGTTCCACGGTCGTGTTCTAGGAATCCTGCGGTTTAAACAGTGAAGAACGGGACCAGGAAGACAGGCCAGCCCCTAATTACCCCCACAGAACCGGATTAAATCACCCTGGAAAGGGGATCCTCCATTGGTCCCTTCTCCAAAGCAGCAAATCCTTATATTTTCGTGGTATTTTGGGTATTAATACTGAAATCAATGTTTCAGTCTCTTAAAAGACTTTGAGAAACGTTTTGGCTGCTGAAGAAGAACAGGTACAGCAGAGTCCAGCTGGTTCTAGAAATTCCTGCCCTAACCTGAGGCTTTACTTCAGTATGCAAATCCGCTCCCAGCCAGGAGTACTAGAATAACTGCTAGTGGTTTTTTTCGTGTTGCTTACGTAAAACGGCATTAAAAGCTTGGAGTGTGGAAGTCCTCCCCCATCAGGGCCTGCGCACCACCACCCTCTGCTGGATGAAGCCGGATCCCGGGGCTGCGGCCACGGCCGCTCTGCTGTCCCTAACCGTGCCCATTTGAAGGGCAGCTCTGATTTGGTGGCGAGAACGACACCCACAGCTCAGGTGGTCTTGTTATGGACTTGCAGCCTGGAGCTGGTGTCTCTAGTGTGACAGGTGTCTCCCTAGGTAAGCCGAAGGGAATATCAAGGCTGTTGAAAACATGTCTAGTCCACTACTGAACTATTGAGGTGTCGAGAGTGTTTTTAATTCTTAAAGGCACGGGGCTCCCCGTCCGCTTTCTCCTTCCGTAGAAACATCATGAAGCCTGGCGTCCTCGTTGTGGGTGGGGTGCAGGGAGAGTTTATAGTCCGGGCTGGGCCCTCCTTGGCTTTGTGACCTTCCAGAAGCCACCCAGTGCTCGGAGCTTCTGCTTCCGTGTGGTAACCAGGGTGTGTGAGGGGTTTCTGTCTCCAGCACTCAGTAAGCGCCTGAGAAGGGGTCACAGCAGCACTCACGCTGCTAGACAGTGCGGCATCTGCATCCGTGCCGGGCGCCCAGCTGGGACCTCTGGAGCAGCGCCTGGTGGGGGCACTGGTGAGGGAGAGGAGCCACCGGATACGGCCGGCCTAGTGCAGTTGTGGGCCACTGGGTCGCACTGCTCATCAGCTCCCCCCACCCCCCACTGAAAAGTGCCGTTTGTCTTCTGCGTGGAGAAATGCAGCAGTGCCCTCCATGCCTTGGATTCGACTTTGAGGCACCTTTGCGGTCACTCCCCATGCCAGGTAGCTGCTGCTGGAGGGGGCTCTGTGGCCAGCCCTGCTGTTGGCCCACGCAGCATGCTAGTTCCCACACCCCTCCTCCCTGGCCAAGAGCTTGGAAGGAAGGACTCCTGGCTGCCACAGGTATGGGCAGCTGTGCCCAGCTGGCACTGCCCTCTGGGTTGGCTCCCTGGCTCCTGCGGAGGTCAGGGAGGAGGTGCTGCCGCTCCAATTTGTTTCCTTGTTTCTTTCGGGTTGGCCACTTGGCTTGCTGGGTTGAGCCTTTGGTGCCCAATTTTGCCCTCTTGTTGGGCACTGTCACTAGGCTCAGACTGTGAGCTAGCAGGGGACTGGGCCTGCTGTGGTATGTTCCATTCTGGAGATGGTCCCCAGGTGGCTGCTCAGTGCCAGGCTCAAGGCAGGTGCCTGAGAAGACAGCCATCTGGCCAGGGTGATGGGGCAGGCCTGGGAACCCCGAGGAGGGCATCTGACCCATGGCTGGGTGCGGAAAACGTCTGAGCAGGTAGTCCTTGAAAGAAACAGAATGTTCTTCTTAAAAACTTCTTACTGTGGTTGTTTTGAGACATGCCTAAAAGTAGTGAAAATAGTGTAATCGTGTTATCCCCAGATTCATCACCCGTTAGCAATTCTGTTGACTCTCACTAGTCTTTGAACTGAGTTTTAAAGGACATGGCCTGTGGGATGAAGGGAAGGGCTTTGCAGAAAGAGCCTGGGGAGTGTGGACACGGGGGATGGTGGGCCAGTCGGGCTTGCCGCAGGGCTGTCGCACAGCAGGTGGGCCTCCCGGGCAGCGCTGTGGCCCACCATCCACAGCTGGAGTGAGAAGCTGGGTGAACAGTCACATGGAGAAGGTTTTTTGTTTTTTTTTTTGCAATTTTGGGTGTCATGTCCTTCTCTTTAATACTGTGGCTGTGTGTGAGAAAAATCTTGCTAACTTTTCCTGAAATGAAATGAGGTAATGTTTAAAGCTAATCAAATTTAAAATAAAATTGGAACAGTTTTTTTCAACAAGTGAACTAGCCAGTGGCAGTTTTGCTAATTCAAAAATCTATGCAAAAAGAAGAAAGCATTTTGCCATTTCCTAGATCTCTGCAAATGGAAAGTCCACAGGTGCAGGCTGTGTGTGGCATGGCCACTGGCCGGGCTGTCAGTCCCGGGTTGGTTCCTGACAGTTCGTGCCATCTCTGCAGCAGCCAGGCTGTGTGCTGATAAGGGCCCGTGGCTGGTGCCAGTTTGTGGTTGTAAAGTTCAGATAGGTTTTTGATTAAGTTTTCTGGGTCTGTGGGAGAGCCTGGAAGCCCTGTAAATGCAGGCTGTGGTTTCTGCCTGGTGATGATAGGGTTCTGGGAAATAGATTTTAAACATTTCCATGTGGATTTTCTCCTGATCCCCTCAGAGCCTTGTCCATCTGGGGATTTATTTTTGCCCACACAGTTCTGCTTCGGCTTAGCGGGCCTTAGGCGTGGACCCCAGGCCTACCTCCCCCGCCAGCATCCACTTGCCGCATTGCCAGGCAGAGTGCCCGGCGCCCACCGGGTGCCCGCCTCTTCTTGGTGGAGCCCTGTTGCATTTGGCTTTAATAACTCAGAGGGGAAGGCAGCCAGGGAGCTGCCTGTGCTTCCTGAAGCACCAAGTGGATGGTGTAGAGAAGAACCAGAGGAAGCAGTTTCTGACCCTCCTCCCAAGGCCCTCACTGGTGTTTCTGGTTCAGTGTGGCAAACCTGGGGGGGACTCAGTAACTTAGGGTGGTCAGACTGCTTCAAACACGTACCGTAGACCAGGTGGCTTTGCAACAACAAAGATTTCTTTCTCAAGTTCTGGAGGCTGGAAGGCCAAGAACAAGGCACAGGCAGGTTGGTGTCTCCTGAGGACCCATTTCTTGGTTCAAACATCGCCCCTTCTTGCTCTGTCTTCATATGATAAAGGGCGTGAGGGTCTTTCCCTCCACTTTTTTTTTTTTTTTTTTTTTGGCAATGGAGTCTCGCTGTGTCACCCAGGCTGGAGTATAGTGGCATGATCTCGGCTCACTGCAACCTCTGCCTCGTGGGTACAAGCGATTCTCCTGCCTCAGCCTCCTGAGTAGCTGGGACCACAGGTGTGCGCCACCACACCCAGCTAATTTTTGTATTTTTAATAGGGATGGGGTTTCACCATGTTGGCCAGGCTGGTCTTGAATTCCTAACCTCAGGTGATCCACCCACCCCAGCCTCCCAAAGTGCTAGGATTACTGGCGTGAGCCACCACGCCTGGCCTTCTTTTTTTTTTTAATTTTAATTTTAATTTTAATTTTTTTTTTTTTTTTTTTAAGAAATGAGGTCTTGCTCTGTCACCCAGGCTGGAGTGCAGCAGTGCAATCATAGCTCACTACAGCTTGAATTCCTGGGCTGAAGCCATCTTCCTGCCTCAGCCTCCTGAGTAGCTGGGACTACAGGCGTGTGCCACCATGCCCGGCTAATTTATTACTGTTTTTTGAAACAGGGTCTCACTCTGTTGCCCAGGCTAAAGTGCAGTGGGCAACTGCACTTCAACTCACTGCAACCTCTGCCTCCTGGATTGAAGCGATTCTCGTGCCTCAGCCTCCTGAGTAGCTGGGATTGCAGGTATGAACCACCATGTCTGGCTAATTTTTGTATTTTTAGCACGGACCAGGTTTCACTGTGTTGGCCAGGCTGGTCTCAAACTCCTGGCTTCCTGTGATCCGCCCACCACAGCCTCCCAAAGTGTTGGATTACAGGCGTCAGCCACTGTGCCCTGCTAATTTTAAATATTTTTATATAGGGAGGGTCTCACCATGTTGCCCAGGCTGGAAGCCTGTTTCCTAGGGGCCAGGCTTGGATGGTGGTCTTGTCGGGCTGACCCCGGGCTGTGGACACCTTGTCCCTTTGTGCCAGAGGGGCAAGGGCTCCAGCACCAAAGCCAGGGAGCCTCTGACCTTACGAGATGAGCTCCGCACCATCCTGGGCGGTGCAGGGCTGCTGGCTGCTGGGGCACTCAAGGCCTTCAGCCTTGAGAAGTTGTTTTTTCTCATCACGTTCACTCAACCAGGGTAACCTTCCCAGGTGCTTCCAGCCTCTGGAGACCTTTCAGACTGATGTTGGGTTCCGAGTGGTCAATCGAGGGGCCTCAGTCAGTGCTGCCGTGGGGCAGTTCAGGGAGATGGAGTTGCTTGTGGAGCCGTTTACCCTGTTTTCTGCGTCCCCCTGGGTGCTGTGTTGTGGAAGTGGGTGTTCCAGACCAGCTTCTTTGCATCTTAGATGCCTTCACGTCATTGCAGAAGGGATTTCCTTATACCTGTCCCCTGCTGAGTGCGGTAGTTCCTGATAACACTTAAACTTTCAATGTTAATAGCCCTGTGATGCGCTGTTATCTCCATTTTAAAAAGAGAGAGATCTTCATGGAGGAACTGAGCCTAACTTGAAGGTGGCGGCCCTGGGAGTTCCGCCTGGTGCCCTTGGGCTCTTCCTGCCAGGACTGGGAGGTCCTGCAGAGATTGGATCCTGGTGCCTCTCTCAGGGGCCTGGGGCAGATCTCTAATTTCTCTGAGCCCCAGGGCCCCACCCATAAAGCAGGTGTGGTCCCAGCTTCCCTCCTGCTTTCCCTTCACCCACAGGGGCTGCCTTCCCTGGCTCACATGCCTCCAGCCTGTGGCAGCTCCTCTCTGACCACACAGCGCTGCTTCCTCCTGTCCAGTGTGTGTTCTCACTTCCCTCTCTGGAATGTCCACACCCCTCTGCCAACCCAAGACAGACAGGCCTGCCCGCAGCTCTCTCCTGAAGTCCAGTGGGAGGACTGTCCCCGGAGAACCTGGGGAACCTGCTGCCCCCACTCTGCCGGGTGTGAATGCTCCATTACCTGCCAGTTCCTGACTCACTTTCCTCACCTTCGAGCTGAGGCTGCCACTTGGGAGTGCCCTGGGAGCCCCCAGAGGGTTAGATGAGGCCTAGGTTTGGCATTGGCCCTTGGTGGGCTCTGCAAGTGGTGACTTAGGAGCTGATTCCCTCCCAGGGTGCCTCCCTCCCAGGGGTCCCGCACCAACTGGGCCTGGGGCTCAGCACCGCCGCTCCCCTCTCTTGTGCTGCCCTCTGTCTTCACATGTGTGTTTCTCCTGCCATGCTGGCTGGTGGCCCCCATTTAGCATGCATGGGTTCCCCGGGACGTGGGTTGCCACGTTGAGCTCACAGCCGTTCCTGCCACAGGAGTGCTGGTGCAGTTCCACTGCTCACAGGGAACTGGCTGTGAGGGGACCGCTCTGGGGAGGCCTCATGGGGCTCCACAGTCCCAGCCTTGGACCAGCAGGGACCGTGTGTCCCAGCAAGCCTCAGGCCAGCCTTGTCCCCACTGGCCATCTGCCTGCAGTGCTACCTTGGAATTGGGTTGGTGAGGCGGGGGCTGGGGTCAGGGCTGCCTCTGCTGACCTCCTGCTCTGCTTCTAGGCAGGGGCTGGCCCCGGTGCACGTTCCCTCTGCACGCACTGGTCCCTCCCGATGCGGCTTGTTCATTCACAGCAGGCGTTGACTGAGACCTGCTTCTGTCCAGCCACCCTGACCAGTCGCTGTGGGTTTTCTCAGGTGGCACATTGTCCCCAGGAAGCTCAGGCAGGGTCCCTCGGTTGGCCCTGGGGGAGTGCTATGCTAACAGTACACAGAGACCCTGGTCCACGGAGACCCTGGTCTACAGAGATCCTGGGCCACGGACTCAGGTCCTCCTGGTCTGCAGCGTGGTGTGCCCAAGGGTCTTCTTTTTGCTCCCAGCTGGCCTGAATCCCCAAACCAGATGTCTCAACCCTTGTTCAAACCATTTTTTCTCACTTTTTCTTCTGTAGATCTTTACCGCGGATGATTTTTTTTTTTTACATTTACTTTTTTTTTTTCTTGAGATAGAGTCTCGCTCTGTTGCCCAGGCTGGAGTGCAGCGACACTATCTCGGCTCACTGCAACCTCCACCTCCAAGGTTCAAGCCATTCTTGTGCCTCAGCCTCCCAAGTAGCTGGGAGTACAGGTGTGCACCACCACGCCCAGCTGATTTTTGTACTTTTAGTAGAGACGGGGTTTCACCATGTTTGCCAGGCTGGTTTCAAACTCCCAACCTCAGGCAATCTGCCCGCCTCGGCCTCCCAAAGTGTTAGGATTACAGGCATGAGCCACTGCTCCCGGTCTGTTTCCATTTTTTGATTGCAGAGAAGTTTTGTACACAGAAAATGCATTTCCGAGCATGCCTTCCCCCTTGTCCCAACACTCTAAGCTAAGCTCAAAGGCAGACATTGCCACACTGTCTTCAGTGGAACTTTGCGGATTCCACCCTGCACTTTGTACAGTGCCATTGCCGTGCATTTTATTTTCTTTTTTTTTCTTCGAGACGGAGTCTCATTCTGTTGCCCAGGCTGGAGTGCAGTGGCGTGATCTGGGTTCACTGCAATCTCTGCCTACTGGGTTTGAGTGATTCTCTTGCCTCAGCCTCCCAAGTAGCTGGGATTACAGGCACCTGCCACCACTCCTGGCTAGTTTTTTGTATTTTTAGTAGAGATGGGGTTTCACCATGTTGGCCAGGCTGGTCTCGAACCCCTGACCTCATGATCCACCTGCCTCAGCCTCCCAAAGTGCTGGGATTACAGGTGTGAGCCACTGCGCCCGGCCGCATTTTCTTTTTCACTTTGTGGGCTTGAGGAAGCAGGTGGCTGTAGTCACAGTGAACTGCTGGCGTGCATTACGTAGGCCCACGCATCCAGCCTCAGTAGGGGGGTGGGGGAGGATGGTGCTGTCCTCGAGTCACCATGCATGTGGGTGTCCAATCCCCATTTCCGATGACTGACCTGTAATCTGGGCCCTAGGGGGTATGTAGGCCCCTTGCCTGAGTGTCCCAGAGTCAGGCATCTGCGCACTCATCTGTCCTGCAGTTTAGAGCCAGCTTCAAGGCTGATGGTTCTAGTCTTGATTTGTTAACAAGCTGATGGAGAACTTCTTAGAGCCAGCCCTTCATCAGCGTTGATAGGGTGTGGTTTTTGTCGCTGACACCTTCAGTGACCCATGAAGACTGTGTATGCCTGTGTGTGTTGTGGAGCGATGTTAGTTGCTGTGTCAGTCAGGTCCTCGTGTTACCAGGCGGCAAGTGGCACCTGCAAGGAGAGAGAGAGAGGAGGCAGTGGAAGGACTGGACCGAGGGTCGGGCAGGGCTGAGGGACACCAGCAAGGAGGGGTGAAGCCTCATGCTGCTGCTTCCACTCCAGGCCCAAGGGGCACACGGAGGGAGCTGTTACTGGAACCCCCCAAGAGAGCAGGGGTGCAGGAGCGGGCCGCAGCCTTCCGAGGAGGGACCCGAGGAGCCTGTGTGCTTGGCCAGCCTCCCGCCCTGGGCGCGTGCGGGGCTCTGTGCTCCACGGCCTCCTTGTGTGGTTCCCTGTTGGGTGGGAGCTGTGGCCATAAGTTTACGGTAACTTAGAGCCTTGGGGAGGGAGCAGAAGTCTGTGTCGGCCCACATAGCTGAGGAACCTGAGCCCAGAGTGGGCCCAGTGTGCCACGTGGCCTGAGCCCACAGCTGGATTGGCGGGCCCAGAATGCCGCGTGCCCTGGTCGGGGATGTATGCAGGTCTCCTGAGTGTGAGCCGTTTTCTCCTGTGAGAACCTGCCCCAGGTTGTGCATGGACACCCGCTTGTCTGCCGTGTGCAGCTTCGAGGCAGCTCCAGGGCGGTGAGGGGCGGGGAGTAGGGCCGTGAGGTCTGGTTTCTCTGTGCTGTGATACCTAAGTTAGCGCATGGCCTCCCAGCACCAGGCACGCAGGAGCAGCAGCTCTGAGGGCCAACGCGGTGGCCAGACCCCAGAATCTGAGGGTTGAGCGGTAGTGTCCCAGCCGCTTCTTTGAACCTAACATGCAGATGAGATGAACGTTTTATCTGGAGGACGGCCTGTGCTTTGGTTATGAAATGTGAAACCAGTATTTTGCTGTTTTTTTCTAGCTCAGTCTTTCCTTGGCTGGGTCTGTCCTGGGTTACTTTTCAAAATGCATGAGTTAACACCTATACAGAGGGTTCACAACAAGCTCACACTGCCCTGGCAAGCCACGCCAGTAACATTGACCCAGGGACTCCACTCCAGACACCACTGCTCGCCTGATTTGTTTTATTTGACAGATGCCAGTAGTTTTACCTGTAGTCGTTCATACGTTTGTCCATTCCTCTTGGATCAGTTCTAGAAAATGTGGTTTGACTGTTACTTTCTGACATCACCAAGTACGTGTTTGATGAGCTTCAGAAAATAGCTCTGTAGTGATCTGCGCTGTTACTTATAGCTTTTCCTAAACTTAGAATCTATTTTCCTTTGTTTCTATTTGCCCCCCCTTTTTTGTTTTGGTATGAACCTAAATTGCCCAACTAAATTCTGAAGTAAACTACAAAAGGGAGGACTGATTTAAAAAAAAATTATGAGAAGATAATAACCACATCACAACAAAAATTCCTTTGGCCAGTTAGATGAACGCGTGTGTGTCCCCCAGCCCTCTTTCTCCAGACTGGGCTGGTTCTCTATCTTTTCTGGGTCATGGATTCCTTTGGAGATGTGGTGAAAGCTGTAAACTTGTTCTCACAAAAATGCAAATAGATGCAATTTTGTATACAGTTTAGGGAGTGTTTTGCCAGTGCGGTGGCTCATGCCTGTAATTCCAGCACTTTGGGAGGCTGAGGTGGGTGGATCACCCCCAGCACTTTGGGAGGCCAAGGTGGGCGGATCACTTGAGGTCAGGAGTTTGAGACCAGCCTGGCCAACATGGTGAAACCCCGTCTCTACTAAAAATACAAAAATTAGCCCGGCATGGTGGCAGGCACCTGTAATCCCAGCTACTTGGAAGGCTGAGGCAGGAGAATCGCTTGAGCCCAGGAGGCGGAGGTTACAGTGAGCTGAGATCGCACCACTGCACTCCAGCCCGGGTGACAGAGTGAGACCCAGTCTCAAACAAAACAAAACAAAACAATTTAGGTGTTGTTTATGTGTGTCCAGGAAAGATCCTCCCCAGGCCCCCCCGCCACATCCCTGCAGTCTCTGGACCGTAGGGTAAGACCACACGCAGCGTGGGCTGCCTGGTCTGTCTCTGGACCCAAGGACAACGTGCTTGACCTGGTCGTTCATGGGAGCTGTGTTTGGCAGCCCTGGAGGAGGGCGGCCTGGTTTCATCCCCAGTGGAGATAAATCCCAAGGGTGGCTGTCCTCACGCCTGGGTTGTTGTGTTTCATGTCGTTGTCATGACCGAAACTGGCCGAATTTGCAGAGTGACTGGAACGCTGCCATGGTGGTGGCATGAACACCTCATATTTACTTTGTGGGGAAACATCAGGTAGTTAAAATTAGCAGTGAGCACCACGGAAAGTCAAGGTTGTCCAAAAGAATTGTGCAATGTCACATTGAGAAATGTGGCAGAGATAAGACTTGGCAGCGTTGGAGTGGCGGGTGGAATTCTCAACCCTGAGCCCAGCCTGAGTGGGAGGGCCGGGCTTGGAGCTGCGGCACTTGGGGCCTTTCTGCCGGTGCCGAGGAGTCCTGGAGAGGAGCCTGGGGTCAGATACCTGCACGTGTGGTGAGCTCACAGCCAGATGTGCACCACGCACTTAAAAAAAATAGATTCCTTTATATACAGTGCAGTGTTAGATGACCGTAGATGTAGATCATGTATAATATATACATACATACGTGTATATATTATATATGGACATGTATAATTATACATATGATGTATAATGATAGTACTGTCTAGCATAATGTAACATAATATGTTTTTTGCTTTTTACTTCTTTAAAGTTCTTTGTAGGGCGATGTCTGGGTGTTGGAGTTCTCTGCTAGCTCATTTTCCCTGCTGAGGTGAGGGACTGCATGCTTTGTAGGGGACTGAGATCTGGGATCTGAAGCTGTAGGGCTGGGGGCACCTCGCTCCAGTGTCCGGGGCCTCCAGGGCAGAGTTGGCTCTTGGTGGGCTCCTAGTGCTGAGGACTTGGAGGGTGGTGAGGCCTTGCCTTACCTGGAGTGCTCCCTGGGCTGGGCTGGAAGACCCCGGGCCATGGGCTTTCTCTAGCCCTCACTCCAGGCCTCCCTGAGCCCCCCTCTGCAGAGGCCACAGCCGCAGGGGACCCCTGAAGGTCCCTCTGGCCCCTGACCTCTTAGCTTCTCTTACTACAGGAAGCTGACCCTTTCCAGCATGGCGTCCACCGGAGTAGGAAGCCAGCTTCTCAGCAGGCCAGCCGGCTCTTCTCCGCCCAAGGAAAACCCAGTCATACCCATTTGTACAAATCGCCTCTCTGCACTCTTCAAATAAAACTGATAATTCTCAGCAATCTGTTTCCCATCTGGAGCCCTGAAAGATTAGAATCCTTGTTTGAATGCTGAGCCACGGTTGAGATAACATCTTTGTGACTCTTAGACTTCACTCCAGATGACTGTCTGTCATAGATGGAAGGGGTGAGTGAGTTAAGGGGAACTAAGGCGTGGAACTTAGGTTTTTGATCAGTGTAGGATTTAATGTCTTTCACTAAAAAGGACAAAAGTACAACCCCTGTTGGCTCCGAGTCTCCCAAGCAGCAGCCCTGTTTCTCACTCCTTCTCGAAAGTGCAGTGTGCACTCCCCCGCCATCCCCGCCTCTGCCCCTTCTGCTCTCGCCCTGGCCTCTGTGCCCACTGTTCCCTGGCACCGCCTTCTCCGATCATCCTCTTCCCCAGGCCCTGACTCCATCGCGCACCTGGCTGGTTTCATGGCCGGCTGAGGCCCTGCTTATTCCTCTGGGACCACATCTCTGCCTCTGCCTCCCTCTTGGGAGCTGGGTTCCTTTCCTGGACCTCTTTTCCCACCCACGCCGAAGGATTAGCGCCTCGATGGTACTGACTCATCTCTGACTGCAGTCCAGACTGCTCCCCAAGTTCTTCTGCTGTGCCAGCTGCCTGGCCATCTGCATTTGGACGGGGAGTCCCACAGAAAATGTGGCTGCACGGGGACTTGTGCCCCTTGCCCTCGTCTTCCTGTCATCTTTCCCAACCCAGCAGTGGCTCTGCATGAAGTAGCCAGGGCCGGCACCCTCCGTGAGTGCCCCAAGAGCATAGGTTCCATCCAGTCCCTGCTGTGTGTCCAGCACAGACCTCAGGCAGTGTGACCCCGCTCACTGCAGCTTGCTGGGCCCTGGCTGCCTCAGTCCTGCAGGACAGGACAGTGCCATAGTCAGTACACAGGTCCCTGGCTGTGTGAAGTAGGCCTGTAGGAGAAATTCCTGTGTGTAGACTAGCTGGGCTCCAGAAGATCTAACTTGGTGGGGCAAGAGAAGTGTGCTTCTCATGAGCGGTCCAACCAGGCGTGGTCCCCATCAGACACGGTCAGGGCTTTTGCCTGGAGCCTTGTCCCGTGGTGGGTCACTCTGTCGTATGTGAAAATGTGGCGTACCGATGCGCTTGCAATTTGCATTTCTCTTACTGGACGTGAGCTTGAACACCCCTAAGTGCCATTTGCATCTCCTTTTCTGTGAACTTTCTGTTTCTGGTGTTTGTGTGTTTTGCACTGAGCGGCCAGCCTTCTGCAGGTTTTGAATGAGCTGCACAAGGGCAGCCCTCGAGGCTCTGAAGGGCAGCGTGAATATGAATTCCCAGCCTGTCTTAAAAAATTTAAGACATACTCAAGCCTGTCGCCCAGGCTGGAGTGCAGTGTAGTGGCAGGATCATGGTTCATTGCAGCCTAAAACTCCTGGACTCAAGCGATCCTCCCACGTCAGCCTCCCAAAGTGCAGGGATTACAGATGTGAGCCACCACCAAAAAGGAGGCTGTTGACATGACATAGGCTTGAAAGGGGCAAGGAGGGTGGGAGAAACGTGGGGGTCGGTGCAAAGCCGTCTAGTCCCCCTCGGTGGCTGGGCGCAAGAGGGTACGAGATGGAGCTGCTCCTTCTCTGAGCCCCGTCTTCCTCCAGGTGCCCCTGGCCCGGGCCCTCCTGTGTGCTACCCTGTGGACTGTGCCCTGGGAGGTCTGAGAGCCGTCTCCTCACCGCCCCACTGAGGCCCGTCTGCAGATGCTGGAGATTCTAGCTGTTCCACCCGGCTGCCTGCTTCTGCCCAGCAGAGAGCCTGCTGTACCTTGGCAGCTCTTGAACGGGGTGGCAGGTGAAAGGAGGCACTTTTCACCTGTTATGGCCTAAAGCATTCTCTCGCTAGACTGAAAAGATGCCGCACAGAAGATCCTTTTAAGCTAAATACATGCTAGTGTTCACAGAAAAGACAGTACTCAACTGTCTGTAATTGTCCAGTCAGCCAAGGAGGCCAGAAGCCCAGCGTCCTGGCCATGGAAATGGGAAACTCCAGACTTGCCGTGAAGGGTTAACGAGGGACTTTGGGGAGAAGGCCGGTCTGTGGCAGGGGCACAGTCTGCGCTCCGTGCCCTGCGTGTGGGTTATTTCCTCTTGTGAAAACACCTGTAGTATCCAGGTGACCTCACCTATCAGAGCATCAGAGCAGCTGAGTCACGATGCTGTAGTTAGTATCCGCCGGGAGAGGTTTTCATAGCTGCGGTTATGTCTTCTGCCTGTTAAAATCAGTCTTTTGAAGAAAGCATGAGCTGTGCTGAGTTTATAGTCTGTTTATTATAGGTTGCTGCTGGGCTCTGAAGGCCTCTCTCTCATGATGATACACACACCTTCGTGTGTGGTTTTCAGTTGTAGAATGAAAGCGTGTAGAAGTGGAAGGAACCGGGAAGTGCTCTGTTCACACCCTAAGGCCTCGCACATGACCTGGAGCGGTCAGGCGACTTCCTCAAGGTCACACGGTGCTTGGTCGGCCTCAGATGTTTTCTGATAGTCTTAGGATTTGGTGATAAAAATACTAACTTGGATGAGTTCAGGAGGGAGCCCCGTGGCCGCCAGCAAGAGAACTCTGCAGCTCCTCCCCACTGCAGCTGACATTGAACTATGGAGTTATTTTGGTTGGCTTCGTTGTAAGGTTTAAAGTAGTTTGTGAAGAGCAGCTGCTTCTATTTTTCCCAAGTCTTGAACTTAACTGGGGGAAGATGGGGAAGAGGTTGGAGGCCGTGGTATGGGGTCGGTGGTGGGGAGCGGGGGGGCGGGGGGGCTGCTGCTGATAAGCGAACAAGTGGGAAAGAAGTTAAAGTTGGGGCCTTACCCATTCCTGGGGCTCCTGGCTGATAACAGGGGGTCACATTTCTGGGGGGCAGGCTCTGAAGAAAGTGTGAGTAGGAAGCAGGGTCAAATGCAGATGGGTGCAGTTACTCTTTTAAATATTCAATGGGGGAAGTACTTTTCTTGTGAAGTATAAATTCCTCGATTTGCACCTGCCCTCATCTGGAAAGGGTTTCAAGTGGTTTAAGTAGGGCGTGTGGGTAAAGGGTGCCCCGAAAGGGACCAGGAAGATACATTGGCAGGCTTCTGCGCTTACCTGGCTCTGCTTGTAACAACCGCGCATGTGAGGCCACCTCTCGGACTGAGTTTCCTGAGGGCACAGATCCCATGTCTCACGCAGGGTGGTGAGGGTGGAGGCCTTTTCTGAACATGCAGTAAACCACCACCGCCCATTCTCCTCAGCTCCCGAGGGAAGGAAGGGGTGTCACAAGCCCATACCTCACCTTCCCGAGGAGGGGCTGTGGGCACCCAGTGCCTTGGGCACCCCAAGGGCTGGAGCCAGGCCTGTCTCCCCTTGTGCCTTTTTGACTCCTCTGGGCATAGCTCACGACCAGGAAGTCCCCAGCGGAGGGGAGCCAGTGTGTCCTTGGTCCCTGCAATGCAACTGCCCACGCCTGTGGGGTCAGTAACAAGAGCCACAGAGCCACGAGGTGCCGCTCACGTCTGCCCCCACCCCAGGCAACCGCAGGCCCCTTCACGCTGCTGGTTCTCCTGAGGAACAGTGTCAAGGAGGTGCCCGGCCCTGTTCTGTTGTGAGAAGCACCACACAGGTTCCAGAGGTCTTGAGGGTGCCCTACTGGGACCATGGCTAGAACTCACGATCTCACATCTTTAGGATGCACTCGGGAAAGACTGAAAGCCAAGGATGTGTTCAGGTGCCCTCGGCCGGTCAGAAGGGGGCACGGGGCGTTTGCAGACCCCTGCCCGGTGTCGTGCTTTCCGCCGTGGGTTGTGCTCCTGCCTCTCAGTCTTGTCCTGTTGGTCCTCGTTATCCCAGGGCGGCGCTTCCCTAACTTGGGGTGCGCGTCTCTTTGGGAAATATGTTTAAACGGACGTGGCCGTGGATGTGCAGTGGGTGGAGTGCAGACCTCACAGGACTTGTAAAGATGCATTTGTTGGAGGCTGACTGCTCGTGTGCGGTTTATACCCCTGGTCTTGTCTGAAGTGGGGTCCTTCCGCAGAAAAACATGACACACCGTGACCTCGGGCCAAGTGCAAGGCCGGTCACTGTGGAGTGGGGATTCGGTAAAGATTTAGTGAAGGTCGAACCCGTGTAACTGGGGAGCACACGGGGGAACCACCTATCTTCCAACGTAGGCGAGGCCCCGTCATGGCGCAGGCCGAGGAATCTCAGCCACGGCAGTGAAGGAAGCCATGAGGCTGCGTGACCCGAGGATGGCCGCTGGGGTGCGGGCGCGTTGTGGTTCCCAGCGGACGCTCTCTGGTGGCTGCTGTTGCAGGCAGGGCAGGGCAGTGACCACGTGCTGAAGGCAGGAGCTGGCGTTTCACCCGCCCTCAGTCCGTGCTGGATCCCGCTGGGCCGCTGGAGAGGAGAAGCTGCCTGTGAGGTGGGGGAAGTCTGCTTGGGAACCAGTGGCCCCGAGCCCCACTGCCAGCTCCGGACCCTGTTCTGCTCAGGCCTCTGCTGGCTACTGGTTCCTGTCAAGCCGGCCTTGCTGGGGGGCCGAGGCCCCAGGGAGTCGGGGTGTGGGGCGGCTCTGCATGCCACGGTGGACGCTTGGGACAGAGCTCCTAAATGTCAGCCGTGGCAGGGACAGGGGCGGGGCAGGGGGCACGGGCAGCTGTTCTCTTCCACAGTCAGGCCCTGGTGGGAACACAGAAGGGCCTCCTGGGGTGCGGAGGGGCAAGGAGCCTCCTGCCCTTCAGTCCTTCTTCATGGGACCCAGGCAGACACAGGCAGGCTTTGTACTGGGGTAGGCGTTTCATCCCCCAGGAGAGCTTTGCTCTAACCAAATAAACAGAGTTACTTGGGGCCACTGGCCAAACTAGAAATATTTTGGATCTAGTGATCTTTTTCTTTGGGTCACTGTTCACCGTAGGAGGTTTTGACCTGTATTCCATTTCAGAATAGGAAGAACGGCTTATTTTTCAGAGTGGCAAATAAGGAAAAGAATGAGAGTATCTCAGAGTCTCTGTTTTCAGCGGCCCTCCTGGGAGAAACATTTTTTATAGACACCAGACGTCCTCGCCAGCCCCGCCAACTTTCCTTCCCCGGATGGCCGTGGAGTGCTGGGGGTGGCCCCTCCCTCCCGAGCTGGTGCGAGGAGAGACCCGCACTGGCTGGGGTGGGCGCTGGGCAGGTGCCCTCAAGTGCACACTGCCACCCTGGCCCTGTGGCCACCTGTTCTTTGCTCTCGAGGCCCCAGGTCCCTGTGCCCACCAGCCGAGCTCTCTTTTGGGCTGTCCTTCTTACATCCCAGACCTCAGAGTCTTCATGACTTGACGGTGGACAGTTGACCTAGATGAACGATTGATCTAGGTGGACAGTTGATCTAGGTGCGGGTGGTTTGGGGGAAGGTGACTGTCATCAAATAATCACTGAGTCATTAAGCAAATTGCATAATGTGTACATGAAAGCCAGTGGAGAAAATATATCAGCAGTCCTAGTTAAAGGAAGCTCCTGCCATTAGGATGAGCAGGAAGACTTTGCGTCTCAGGCTTCCTCAGCCTCTTTAGGTGGCATGAGCTCCACACAGCCTGATTGGGTTTGAGCAGGTGAAACTCTCCTTCCGTAGAGCTCATGTGCAGAGCTGGGCTTTGATGTCCCTAAGTGCTTTGTAACGTGCTGGTTCTGGGAGTTTTCTGTTTTCAAATGTCCAGCCATCATGGGCCCTGCTGCAGTAGGGAGCAGGGTGGAGCTGGAGGTTTCCCTTTGTAACCTGGCTGCCGTTGATTCTTCTGGGTCCACGTGGAAGTGTGGCTGGGCTGTACCCACACTGCCACTTTTCTTCTGCTCCTTCAAGCTGCCCAGCAGTCACTGTAGGAAAATCCTTGAGGCTTTGCACTTGGGTGGCTGAAAGCTGACTGACCACAGCCCGGTGGTGCCCTTTGTCCCTTGCTGCCCCCTGGGACTAGCCTAAAGCGTAGGCGGGGGTGACACCGATGTTGATGCCTGGAATTGATTTCTGGAGCGGTTGGGACATCCAGGGATGCAGTGCGAGAAGCCTTCATTGGTTCTCCTCTCTGCTGCCTTCTCCTGCCTGTCCCAGGGTGCACTGCACTGGGAGCTAGAGGTAGGCCTGGAGCTTTGGGGCTGGGAGGGAACCTTCCCAGGACGTGAGACTGTTGGGCCTGCTAGGAGGCCAGGCACTGCCACTGGTGCCCCTTAGAGAGAAGTACTGAGCGCCACCTGCTCATCTTCCTCATGTTCGCAGAGGCTGCAGTGTTCTTGAGGTGTCGTAGCCTGGGCTCCCCACAGAGTCATGCTTCAGAGGTTCCGTATCTAGCATCTAGCTCAGGACTTGAGGAATCTCATGTTCGTGAGGTTGTGGGATAGGAGAAGCAGTGATGTGACAAATTTTGGATGCAGAAAATCATAAAATCACAAACATTCCAGAGGCAGTAGGGGTGGTTTATCAGCACTTCTTTATCCCTTCAGGTTTTGCCAGAAACTTCTGCTGGCCTCTGGCACTGAGCCTCAGGCAGGATGCCGGTCTGCAGCTTTGCCGCAGGTCTGTGCACGTCTCCGCTAGGCCTCATGGCCTAGGCACGAGGCCGCGCTGACATCGTGTGACCCCTGCCCTGCATCTCTGACTCACGTGCCAGCCAGCCCCACTTCTGGGCACCCAGATGAGAAGTCACTGTGGCACTTGAGCGGGAAAGGAGCTGAGCTCAGGCCCACGGACTTGCAGCTGCCTGTTCAGGCACTGGAGGCGCACGGCAGACTCTTGCGACATCGTCCCAAATCGCGAAGGCAGTGCCAGCCCCGGGAAAGATGGTTGACTTCTTGGCATCTGTTACCTGTAGCCCAGGCCTTGGACGTTGGGTTGAAGTTTAATGTTGTGAAGTGCAAAGGGGAGGCGAGTGCAGAGTTCATGGAAAAGGGAGGACCGCATCCACGAGCTGTGCACGGGGTGGTGTGAGCTGAGCGCAGCGCGCCCTGAGTGGTGGCCTGGAGAGAGGGCAGCGATGGAGGCGGCGTGCCCTGAGCGGCGGCCTGGAGGGAGGGCAGCGATGGAGACAGAGGCTCAGAAGTGCAGTTTGGTGGAGGCGGGGCCGCCCAGCGGGTGAGCTTGACTAGTGGCTGCTTAAGTTTGTGCAGCTGCCTTCTTCAGGCTCGTTCAGAGCAGCTGGCCAGTTTTCAGGAAATTCGAGGAAACTCCATCGTGGGGCCACCTGGGAAGGCAGGAGGAGCATAGTGTCAGGTCGGCTCTGCTCACGTGTCATTGTCCTCTTTGCTGAGGGCCCCCCCTTGGCCTCCCGGGCTCTGTTTCTACCCTGCAGGTTCGAGGTTGGGCAGGATCAGCTCGGATGCTCCTTCCATCCTCGACGTCCTGAGACCCGGGCCTGCCTGTATTTCTGACGATCGTCCTACTTCCAAAGGAGGTTCCCATGCATCCTTCGATTTGCTCTGGGCTTCCCCAGATGAGGAATTGGAGGTCAATCCTGGGAGCCCCATGGCTGACCCGTGTCCTTGCCAACCATGCGTCCTGGCGTTAGGAAAGGTGCCGTGCAGCTCGGGGCAGGAGCCACCACGCGTCCTGGCGTTAGGAAAGGTGCCGTGCAGCTCCGGACGGGGGCCAGGCTTTCACTGGCTTTCTGATAACCAGTGCGAAACACTTATTAACCTAAGGTTTTCGTTTTCTAAACCAAAAATATATCCCTTTTAGTGACAACTGGGTAAAAATCCTAATGAAACCAATGATATCATCATTATTAGATGATTCTTTTATTCTTTTGAGCCATTGAAACAAAAATTAGACCATGTTCAGTAGCTGCTGCTTTTCAGCTAGATGGTCCTGTGTTTTTTGTCTCTTTCAGGCTGAGTCTGTGTATGTGCAAACACTGTCATGTATTGAACCAAGGATTTGACTCATCCTAAGGCCATTTCAGAAAGTCGCCTTAGTTGACAGTACCTTGTCTCTGAGAGCAGTCGAGGGGCCACGTGCTGCCGCGGAGCTTTAAGGCCATTAGCAACCGCTCTGTCCGTGAGAGCCTGCTGTGACAGGCACTGTGCTGTGTCGCCACCTGCCCTTTACAACACTCGCAGTGTTGCTCCCATTTACAGGTGGGGAAACTGAGGGCTGAGCCTGTCACAGTCACAGCTACTGTAGGAGACTGATTCGGAGGTTTTTTTGTTTTTTGAGATGGAGTCTTGCTCTGTCACCCAGGCTGGAGTACGGTGGCGTGATCTCAGCTCACTGCACCCTCCGCCTCCCGGGTTCAAGTGATTCTCCTACCTCAGCCTCCCAAGTAGCTGGGATTACAGGCGCCTGCCACCACACCCAGCTAATTTTTGTACTTTTAGTAGAGACAGGGTTTCACTATGTTGGCCAGGCTGGTCTCGAACTTCTGACCTCAGGTGATCCACCCGCCTCAGCCTCCCAAAGTGCTGGGATTACAGGCATGAGCCACCACACTTGGCTGAGACTGATTCAGACTTTTAAAGTCTGTTTTTCTGCACCAGGGGAACTCGTGCGATGCTGAGAGGATGCCTGGACTCCGTTGTCTTTGAGTAGGAAAATGTGCAGGAGAAGGCAGCCTGGTGTAGGACGCACAGCCCGGTCTTGCGGAGACCTCACGAGGCCCTTTTCCTTTCCCTCCCCTGGGAGAAGCAAGGTCGTGCTAAGACAGTCCTTCGGGAGGTGCCCGGACAGGGACCTGCTCTCTGCACACCCACCTGTTGGGGAGGATTCCAGTTACCTGTGCGAGTCAGGCTCTGTCCTGACAGCTTGCTTCCTGTGTGTGTGGAGCTGCACGCTGTCGCATTACACGAACAAAAACCCCCATGGTGGAGGTACGGGTGGGGCAAAAACACACCCTGCAGAGGGTGGGCCAGCCTAGCACCCACTCAGCCTGGCTGTTTGGAGTCTCAACCTGGGATTGCTGATAGCAGGGGCCCCGAGTGACCCACTGCCCTCAGAGCCGGCCTCAACACCATGTTGCAGGGGCCCCGCGTGACCCACTGCTCTCAGAGCTGGCCCCAACACCATGTTGCATTTGGTTACCCAGGTTACTTAAATGTCTTTCAAGAAAGTAAGTTGGAATCAAATCTAAGCTTGAATGCTCCTTTGTTCCCTTTTATTTCCAACAATCATCTTAAAACCTCTCCTTTTAGTTAAGTCCATTTTCCACCTATTCCTGTTTGCTGTGGGTGGCTTATCTGTTGCCAGGCGCCTGGCCATCAGGGATCCAGGAGACAGAGTCGCAGTCCCGCCCTCACGAGCCAGTGACCCCAGGACAGGGTGGGCAGGGGGCACGTGGGGCCCAGAGGATTGGTGCCCTTGCTCTGTCTCACTCACAGTGCCCAAGGTGAGTCCTGCTGCTCAGCTCGCAGGGGGCTGCATGTGGAGTGTGACACGGGGTGAGGGGCCAGCGTGGTGCTGGGTGCAAGGAGGTGCCTGGGGAGTCGAACTGATGTGCGGCAAGGCTGGAAGCAGTGCCTGGGCCCATGCCTCGCTGCCCTGTGGCCGCCGCTGCTGCCGCTGGTTCTTGCTTTAGAACTGCTGTCTTGGCAGCTTTCACTTCTCATGTAGGCGAGTCCCAAGCTAATATTTATCCTCCAAAGTATCTTAACAATGCTAGATTGCTGAGTGTTTGGGGGGAACTTTATTAATCTTTGAAAGAGTTATTGTTACATTGATAAACTGAGGCACTGTTTACAATAGCCAGATTGTGTTTGGACTTGCAGCCTTTAATTCTGCCGTTAGTTTTTGTTCGCAGATGGAATTGTTTTGGCTGTTCTTGTAAAGACTCCTTTGTCCGTGTGGGTTTTGTTTGTTGCCGGCCAGCGCGGGGCGTGTGCCAGGGAGGGCAGCCTGGCCAGGGAGGGGTGCGCGATGCACCAGGTCAGGTGTTTCCACTGCATGATTGGCAGGCTTCTCGGGAATGCGGAATTGTGTACTCGAAGCCCCCAACTTTTTATGAATTGTCGGTTTACAACTGAAGGCATCTCCTTCCAGAGGGAAAGCTGGCCTCCCTCATCAAAGACTTGCAACGTATGTGAAAGAGCAAGTGACAGACGTAAGAATGGGGGTAGAGGGCATTGAGATGTGGTCCGTGGGATTGCAGGTGTAAAGGAAAATGACACTCTTAGCCGACTTGCTCCTTCAAACAAAGTCAGCTATGAGTCTGTCCTGCGGATGTTACTTTTCAGTAAAGCCAGACTTGTCCTGGCTCCCCTCCAGAGCCGTTTCCTTCACCTGGCAGCCATCCTGGGCTTCTGAGTAGGCGGATGGGAGGCAAGGAAAGGCCGCCTGGCACGGTGGGGATAGAGCCAGGGCCCCGAGGCCACAGGGGCTCCCACGAGCATCGGCCCTTCCTTTCCAGGCTGCGTGGGGGAAGGAGGTGAGAGGAGAACCAGCAGAGCCTGGAGGTGGGTCCCGCAGAATGTGGGAGCCGTCACAGAGGTGGGGGTCTTGGGGTGAAGGCTGGAGCTGGAAGGTGTGGAAGCCAGGCCCAGCCAAGCCTGTGGAGAGAAACTGTGCCCACAGGCTGGGGGCCAAGGTGGGGGCTGGGGCTTTGCTTGTCTGGCCTTGAAGGGGACAGAGCAGGCTGAGGTGTGCTGCCCTGGAGGCTGGAGCCCTGGCCCCCAGCAGCCTGGCAGTGAAATGTGCCTGGGGGCAGTAGGGACAGAGCCCGGGGCAAAGGATGCCCCCAGCAGGTCTGAGCAGCCCTTGCTGCATCCTGCAGTGCTGCCCACTCCCTTGCGGGTGCGTCTGTGCCTTGTTGAGACGTTAGCAAGGAGCCCAGCTTCCTCTCTGGTCAGCTGATTGCATTGCATTTTTCTGCTCACTCACAGTTCCTCTATTTCCTCCACTTGCTTGCCTGTGCTGCCCGTGGGGGCTGTGGTCAGCACTCAGCTGCTGGTGGCTAGGGGGCAGAGGCCTGTCTCTCCTTCGGCTGCCCGCCCCACCTCCACTGCAGGTGCTCACCCCTGTCTCACCAGTGTCCTCGTGGGTCGGCCGCCCGCCCCGCCTCCACCACAGGTGCTCACCCCTGTCCCGCCAGTGTCCTCGTGGGTTGTGCTCACCCCTGTCCCGCCAGTGTCCTCGTGGGTCGGCCGCCCGCCCCGCTTCCACCGCAGGTGCTCACCCCTGTCCCGCTAGTGTCCTTATGGGTTGTGCTCACCCAGTCTCGCCAATGTCCTCATGGGTTTCACAGACCGAGGAGTCCCAGTTGGCTCAGTTGTTGGGTTGCACCGAGATCCCATCGGGGAAACCCACTGCCTCACGAGTGTGGCCTCAGCCCAGGCTCCCTATGTGCTGCAGGAGCTCAGCTCAGCTGCCTGGTGCTGGGGCTGTCAGAGGGCGGGGCTGCTGCTGAGGCAGGTGCAAAAGTGTAAGGGTGTGTCCTGGAACTATTCGCAGATGAGAAGTGTGCTGTATTTAAAACAGTGACTTATAAGTCGGACATGGATGTTGGCATGCATCTGTAGTCCCAGCTGCTTGGGAGGCTGAGGCCGGAGGATTGCTTGAGCCCAGGAATTTGAGGTCACCAGTGAGCTATGATTGCACCACTACATTCTAGCCTGGACCACATGGTGAGACCTTATCTCTTAAAAAATTGTTTTTTTCACTTTGTGAGGCTGAAGCAGGCGGATCACGAGGTCAGGAGATCGAGAGCATCCTGGCTAACACGGTGAAACCCCATCTCTACAAAAAAAATACAAAAAAATTAGCCGGGCGTGGTGGTGGGCGCCTGTAGTCCCAGCTACTCTGGAGGCTGAGGCAGGAGAATGGCGTGAACCCGGGAGGCGGAGCTTGCAGTGAGCCGAGATCGCCCCACTGCACTCCAGCCTGGGGGACAGAGCAAGACTCCATCTCAAAAAAAAAAATGTTTAAAGATAACACAATTTGAAGATTTTTTTTTTTAAGAGTAAAAGGGTGGACTTTTTAGTGAACTAACAGTAAAATCTAAAACATCTAAAGTACGTGAATCATGTTGATTTTATCACGTCTGTGATAAGCTTTCAGGTCTCACTATCATTTGGAGTTCACATAAAGTAAATACAGTTTATTGATGAATTTGAGGACTCCATTGTGTCCAGAGTAGCTTGGCTTAATTATTTTTCTAGGTTTAAACACTGTTGTGTGTCAGCTTCATGAACCTTTGTCCATCACTTAGCAAGGTTTTAATATTCGGGCAGGGATCAGTTGACATTTCTGAAACTGGTCTTTTTGGTAGCCCATGATGGTCCTTTCATTCCGGTCCTCGCCGGACCCGGACCTGTCTTGTGTCCCCAGATGAGGAAGATTCTGATGAAGTTCACCAGTGTCACAGGATGCAGACAAAACGATGTCTGTCCACATGTGGCCGGCGTGTGTGGCTTTGCATTGCCCGTTGCCATCGTGGCGCACCCATCTGTAGAGGGCGGCGCGGGCTCCTCACCCCTGTGCCGGGCATCCTTCAGAGCCTGGCTCGCAGGTGTCCAAGGGCTCTGCCTGCCTTCCCTTGCTGCTGGGAGCTTGCTGGAGGCGACATCCTGTGCTGGCTCACAGGCGGCCATCCGATCCTGGAGGGCAGTGCTTAGGCCGGGGGGACGTCAGCACCTAGGAATTAATGAGTTGGAAAGGTGCCCGTGATATCTTCAGCTGAGGAGCCCGCGTGAGGTGTTTGGCCTTGGAAGCCCAGCGCTGTCTGGGCCTCAGGCAGGGAGGATGCTGTAAACTACCCAGACAAGAAGTAGAGCTTCTGAGCCCGTGTGGGCCTGTAGCAGACCATGTCCTGTGGTCTCTTTCAGCCTGGAAAGAAGGGAAAAGGGCAGTCGACTCCTTTCTTCCTGGTAGGCTCAGTGCCTTGTAGTTGGGGCTGACTCATGGATACCTGTGAGTGCAGTGCTGTGCAGAGGCGTGGGCGACACTGGGGCAGAGTCCGAGTGAGGTCCCCGCCAAGGATCCTGGAGGAATGAGTAGCACCTAGGTTCCAAGAACATTTGGGAGGAACCTGCTGTTTTCCTGGGTGGGGTTATGGACCTGCCACTTTCATGCTGTTGCCAGATTGGGGAAGGCTTCTGTAGTGTTTCCGTACCAAATAGCTGGACCCACTAGCACCTCAGTGCAGTCAGCTTTTCAGACTTGCTCTCCCTACTGAGCTTCAGGAGCTGCTCGCATCGCAAACCTCTGTTGGAAGGTCTAGGCCATCTGAGATTCAGTAAGTCATCTTAAAACACTCCTGAATGTCATATCACTTACCCAGACTTGTGTGATGTTGGACAGGGAACCAGAAAATCTGTTTTTAGAGGTAACTTATTGTTTGTTTGTTTTAATTAAAAGTAAATTTGGCCAGGCAAGGTGGCTCACACTTGTAATCCCAGCAATTTGGGAGGCTGAGGAGGGAGGATCACTTAAGCCCAGGAGTTCAAGACCAGCCTGTGCAGCATAGTGAGATCCCATCTCAAAAAATCAGCTAGGTATGGTGCCATATACCTGTAGTCCTAGCTTCTTGGGAGACTGAGGTGGGAGGATTGCCTGAGCCCAGAAGGTGGAGGTTGCAGTGAGCCGTGACTGAGCCACTGCACTCCAGCCTGGGTGACACAGTAAGACCCCATCTCAAAAAAAAAAAAAAGTAAAGTTTAGGTCCTATAGGAGCAGAAAGACTCTATGAAACATGCGTAAATAACACCTTTTTATCTGCATCCGTACCTTTCTAAAGAACTCAATGTGATCATAATGTAGTTTTAACCTGCTTAAACTTAGGTAGTGGGTAAGTATATTTGCATGTCAACAAATTGTCATTCATCATGATTTTGTGATTTTGTATGTGGATATGCCATGCTTTATTTTACCAATCTTTTTTGGATATTTAAGGTTTCTTAGTGGTGTAATAAGCATTGCTCTGTAGTGTTTCATGGTTGTTGTTGTTTTTTTTTTTTGAGACAGGGGTCTCACTATATTGCCCAGGCTGGAACACGCCACCTATTCACAGGTGGAGTCATGGTTCACTGCAGCCCCGAATTCCAGGACTCAAGTGATCCTCCTGCTTCAGCCTACCGAATAGCTGGGACCACAGGAGCATGCCACCAAGCCTGGCTTCCTGTGGCTTTGTTTTCTTATGATAAGTTCTAAAGGGTAAAATTTTGGGATCAAAAGTTGTACGCATTTTAAGGTTTTTGATACATATTAACCAGGACTCCAGTTTTTAAGAAGTCATTTTTGTTGACTTCGGGACTGTCCCAATTAATTCCCTAGGAGATATTGTTCATCTTGAACGTGGCTGCTGTCCATAATCCCAAGAAAACGCTTGGTTCTGAACAGCTGACTTTTCCAGATAAATGAGGGGCTGCTCGCTGAACTATAGACTGACTTTCCTCGTCACAGAAAATGGGGGACCACGAGGTTATGGGATAACTCCTCTCTCGTAGAGGAGGGGAGATGTTTCGTGGGTTTTCAGTCGAACCGATGTGGTTGGCGGAATTCAGAGCTGGCTCCTGCCGGCGCCACGCCCCGTAGAGTTGTCCAGCCACTTCCCTGCATGAAGACAGGAGAGCACGAAGAGAAAGTGGCCGTTCTGCCCTCTCCTCTGTCTCCCATCCGCAGTGGCCCTCTGAACCGGAATGCCCCTGGGGCCCCCTTTTCCTTGTGGTGAACCCCTGTTGTGAGTTTACACAAGGGATCCACGAGGAAGTAGAAGGGTTTTGCAGAGGGCCACAGGGCATCATGAGGTACTGTTAAAAGTGTCACCTTAGCCCATGTTTTTAGTGGCTCAGCCATGCCATGTCATCCAGCAAGTAGTAGAGGTGACCCATTCTGTCCCTCGAGATGGCTGACCTTCAGCCTTAGTTTCTGGCGGAGCCCCTGGTATTGAGGAGAGTGAAGGGGAGAGGGTCCCATGGTGGTTTTGTTGTTTACTTGGTCTTAGAAAGTAGGAATAAATCTAGCCCCAGGCCAAGGCCATATGTAAGTTTTGGTCATTCACCCACATTTCACTTTTTTTTTTTTTTTTTTTTTGAGACCGAGTTTCTCTCTTGTCGCCCAGGCTGGAGTGCAATGGTGCGATCGCGGCTCACTGCAACCTCCGCCTCCCGGGTTCAAGCGATTCTCCTGCCTCAGCCTCCCGAGTACCTGGGATTACAGGTGTCTGTCACCACGCCCAGCTTATTTTTGTATTTTTAACAGAGACTGGGTTTTACCATGTTGGCCAGGCTGGTCTTGAACTCCTGACCTCGGGTGATCCACCCGCCTCAGCCTCCCAAAGTGCTGGGATTACAGGCGTGAGCTACCACACCTGGCCCAAACTTTACATTTTGTTTGTTTGAGACTGAGTCTCCCTCTGTTGCCCAGGCTGGAGCGCAGTGGCGTGATCTCGGCTCACTGTAAACTCTGTCTCCCAGGTTCACGCCATTCTCCTGCCTCAGCCTCCAGAGTAGCTGGGACTATCGGCGCCTGCCACCACGCCCAGCTATTTTTTTGTATTTTTAGTAGAGACGAGGTTTCACTGTGTTAGGCAGGATGGTCTCAATCTTCTGACCTCATGATCCACCCGCCTCGGCCTCCCAAAGTGCTGGGATTACAGGCGTGAGCCACCACGCCTGGCCCAAACTTTACGTTTTTTAAAGACAAGCTTTGACATTAACATTGCTGAAATATCCGTCATACTTCCCTTCAAACACACGGACATCGTGTGTCCTGAGTGCACACCATAACTGAAAGAGCTCCGTATCATTGGACAGTTAGCCATTTCCATTTTTCACTTTCGTAGCACGACGTTCACTATGTTCTTTTCTGCTTGAGGTTAAGTTCAGGACCTGGAAACCGCTTTGATTTGACTTGATTTTACATGGAAGAACCATCAAAAGGTCTAATTCCATCTTGGCAGTCATTAGTGGTATTCCTCAATTGTGCCCTGTCTGTGAGGTCAGTTCTTGATTATATGTGTGTGATGTGAGGGTTTCTGCTTCCATGTTTGGATACCATTTAGCTGCTTCGCGTGCTGTCAGGAACACGCGACCTGCCTCTCCCACGCTGCGGGTGACAGACTCAGTTTGTTTGTACCTGCGTTTGCTCCTAAAGTAACCGCGACTCAGAGGAGACCTAGTTTATCCTAGGGCTTATGGGCATTTCAGGTTGATACTGGCGCTTGATTTTCCTGAATTCCCAGCTGAGATTTCAGGGGATGCGCAGGCTAGAAGCATGCCACCGTTTCCATGGCAGCCAAAGCGTCCTTCGGACCCTGGCACACACACCAGGTCAGTGCTTGAGCATTTGGAAAGAAGGGCACACCCCTCATTGCCTCTTAATTAAAAATCCAAAAACCTACTCAGCTGATCATGCAAATCAAGGAGACTATATACAGGTAAGAAGGGAGATGAGCAAAACTTTGTATGTTCTAACAGAAGCTCAGTGGCGCGGAGAATATTTTCTTTTGGGGGCAGTGTGTCCTTGTTTTCATGTGATTTCCTCTTAAATGAGCTCTTCTCGCGTGTTTGCTACGTGTCGGACACTGCATCTTCTTCCTGTTGACATTTAGGTAACAGTTTGTTTTGGTAGAAGATGAAGAGGGATTCTGTTTAAAAAGGTGTCTTATTTCAAATCCTAACACCTTAACCCTTAAATTTTAGAAAGTGGAGTAATAAATGCTTTGATTCGATGCAGTATTGAGGAGTATTTACCGTCATGTAAATTGTCACTGGCCTTTGCCTGTTGAAATACACTGTTGCGTTTACTTTCTGTCTGGTGTTGTGGAGGGAAGGGGGAGAGCTTGGGGTCCTGTTGGAACTCGGCTCCAGGCAGCGCTGGCGAGGAGGCTGTTTGACCAGTGTGCCTAGGACAGCACCACTGAGGGGCAGCGGGCAGAGGGTATAGCAGGAGTAGGGGGGGTGAGGGCCTAAGGCTTGCAGGTGCCGTGTGGCAAGGGCCCCGTGGTTGGGCTGGGCTGGCAGGCTCTCCGGAAGGGTTTGGGGAGCCAGGCAGGACTCCGTGAGGTGAGGAATGGCTGGTCTGACTCTGTGTTGTAAGGTACCGCCCTGTTCACAGTACTGACAGCGGGTACTGTGGGTAAGGGTGGAAGCTGTGAAACCAGTCACGACCCTCCCGTGGTAGCCTGGGCAGGAGATGCACTGGCACAGATGTGGAGGAGAAGGTGGGAGGGGAGGTTCTGGGTGCACTGGGAGACAGAGCCCAGTCTGCGAGATCAGCCGTAGCGCGTGAGCTGGTGAACACACCACACACCACCTCCTGTTCAGATTTTGGCTTTAGTGTATTTTGGGGACTGTCCTGACCTGTGTCAGCAGGCTTCATAATCATGCTTCTAAACTGAATGAATTTCTCTGATTAGAATATGGCAACCAGGGAGATTGCATTTCCTGTCTTTATATAGTTTTGAAGATCAGGAAGATCAATGAAAATGAAAATTTTTGAAAGAGACACTTTCAGCTCAGCATGCCTGTGTGTTGCGTGCACATGTGTGGGAATGGATGTGTGTGCGCAGGTGTGTGTTGCACACGTGTGTGAATGCATGTGTGTACGCAGGTGTGTGTTGCATGCACACGTGTATGGGTGCATGTGTGTACGCAGGTGTGTTGCACACGTGTGAGTGCATGTGTGAATGCAGGTGTGTGTTGCACACGTGTGAGCGCATGTATGTGTACGCAGGTGTGTGTTGCATGCACGTGTGTGAGTGCGTGTGTGTGTGTGTACACAGGTGTGTGTTGCATGCACACGTGGTGTGTGTGTTGTGTGCACACTTGTGTATATACACTCAGTGCCTGTCCTGTGCTGTGTTGGTGCTGGGGTGGTGTCAGGAAGAGTGTTGGTGAACTGCGGACTTCCCCTGACATATGATCATATCTGTGAGAGTGGCTCTCCCCTGCCAGTTGTTTGGGGGATAGAACGGTGTCTGGTGGAGAAGAGCTGAGCTTCCCTGGCCCCTTCTGAAATGGGGTCAGGAAGGGGATCAGGAGGGGGATTACCCTGATGCCTGCTGCCTGCTCCCATTTGATCCACCCACACAGCCTCTCGAGGTAGGGGCTTGGCACCCCGTTGTCCAGCTGTGTGTGGCCTTTCTGAATGACGTGGTTCTTGGGCATCTGAGCCAGTCGCCAGCCATGTGCCCTGCCCCACAGGCCCTGGGAGTTCCTGGTAGGATCCCACAGCTGTTGGCAAGTCTGAGGTTTGCCTTTGCAGATGGAAAAATGGCTTCCAGAATTGAGTGTGGTGCCAGCCAGGAGAGCCCAGAAGCTGTGAGGTGATGCTCTAGCCTGTGGTGCAGGGGCCTTGCCACCAGCATCCTACAGTTGGCCTGTGACTTCACCGGCAGGAAGGTCATCTTCTCCAGGAAGTCTCTGGGAGCTCTTCCAGTAAGCTCAGTTTCCAGTGGATTTCCTAGCCATAATGTGTGGGGTTAGCCCCGTGTGCTGGGCGCCGGAGGCGGGCAAGCGTTCTGGCTCATCAGTAACTATGAGAACAGCATTGTCGATGTCAGTCAGAGCCTTTGTGGGAATAGTGCCATTGTAGGTCCTTTACTCTGGCTTGGCGTTAGCACCCAAGGCGCTTCATTTGCTCATTTATAGGTCCTTCTGAGTCCCTGTCTCGCCAGGCCATGCCCTCTGCCTGCCCCTGGGGTCAGGGATCTTGCCGTGGCTGGGGAGACACAAGCACGTGACTGACTAGACAGGGAGGTACGAGCTGGTCGAGCTGGTGGTGCCGTGGGGACCCAGAGGAAGTCTTGGGGTCCAGGGAGCCCCCTGGGCTGGGGGAAGGGCCCTTTGGTATGTAGAGTTTACTGCTGAGAAAGCAGGCCCAGCAAAGGGAAATGAGCTTGCACCAGGCCTCCTGGAGGTCTGGGCGAGTCTGCGAGGGTCACGCTGGCATTGGACACGGGACAGAGACTCTGTCACCCTGGCTAGAGTGCAGCGATGCGATCTTGGCTCACTGCAGCCTCCACCTCCTGGCCTCAAGCGGTTCTCCCACCTCAGTCTCCTGAGTAGCTGGGACTACAGGAGTGTGCCACCACACCTGGCTAATTTTTTTTTTTGTAAAGATGGGGTTTTGCCATGTTGTCCAGGCTGGTCTGGAACTCCTGAGCTCAGGCGATTCTCCCGCCTCAGCCTCCCAAAGTGTTAGGATTACAGGCGTTAGCTACCGCGCCGAGCCTTTTTTTTTTTTTAATGTATTTATTTATGTAGAGATGGGGTCTCGCTGTGTCGCCCAGGGTGGTCTTGAACTCCTGGCCCCAAGCAATCCTCCTTCCTCAGCCTCCCAAAGTGCTAGGATTATAGTGGTGAGCCACCGCCCCCTGGTTTTCTTTATTGATGGAGTAATTATGGGTTGGACTGGCCCCTCTGCCTTTAGCACTTAGGGATTCGTTTCTTTTAAAGACCATCTGGGTGCCTGCGCTGCGTGTGTGCTGGACCCAGAGGTAGTCCAACTGCGCTGTGCCCTCAGGGTCTGTGGGGCAGGAGGCAAGGTCTGCAAGCAGGTGTGAGAAGGGCAGGGCAAGGGTCTGGAGGAGGCGGGAGGAGACTTCAGGGCACTGTCTGGGGCTTGGGCCAGGCCGCCCCATATGGTCAGCAGAGGAGTGCGGGGAAAGACATGCTGGGGGCATGCACACTGGGCTGCCTCTGCTGTGGGGATGCCAGCCATAGACACACTGTGGCCATACGGTGTCCGCTCATTCCTGGGGGCCCTTCCAGATTTTCCTTGATTCAGTTTCTTCAAACTTAGGGTATTTTACAAACACAACACATACACATGCACAGATGTACAGACACAGACATGCAGAGATAGACACAGACATACAGACACATATAGATCCATCCAGAGATGCAGAGACAGACACACACAGACACAGACACACATACACATGCCCACACAGACATACAGACGCAGGCAGACAGACACCCCCACACACCCCCCGCACAGACACATAGGCAGACATTGATACACAGACACACCCACACACACAGACACATAGGCAGACATTGACACACAGACACACCCACACACACACCCACATAGGCAGACATCGATACACACACGCGACACAGGCAGACATCACACACACACACACACACACACACAGACACATAGGCAGACATCGACACACATACACCTGGCCTCTGCCCACTCCCCTCTGCCGCTGCAGATTCACAGCAAGCTCTAATTGAAAGGAGAGCAGAGAAGAAGGATGGATGTGTGGTCTGCTGTGCGTCCTTTTCGGTTTCTGAAGTGCCCTGACTTGTGGCACAAAATGCACAAAGACGGTTATCAGAAGACTTAAGGCACAATTAAGCTTTAGATCATTCATCTCTGAAGTGCTGGGGTGTTCTAACTGGGACACTCTTGAGGGTGAAAGCGGGGACGTAGTAGCTGCCCCGCCAGGGTGACAGCGCAGCCTGGAGCTGTCGGGTGAGGTGGAGCTCGTGGCGCTCCCTATACAGCGTATGACTCAGGAGTGGCTGCAGTGCAGACTCTTGGTCTCTGATCCAGTGGGTCTGGGGTGGAGCCCCAGAACCTGCAGTTTAGGGAAGCCCCTCCACACTGATCCACGTGAGGCGCTGAGTGTTTGGAGGATGCCAGGATGTCACATGCCTCGTTGAAACTGGTGTGAACTTTGTATTTCTTTAGCCCATGTGTCTGGGACTAGAGGCTCGTTGTATGATCAGAGGCAGCCAAGCTGGGTTTTTCCAGGTGATGCATAGCACACCCGGAGATGGGCGCCTCCACGATAGGACACTTTGTTCAGGTGTAAGCAGGTGGCACAGAAAGCTTCCCCAAGTACGCGGCAGTCAGCATGGATGCCCCTTAATTCCTTTCTCATGAAGAGTTTTGGTTTCTTCCTAACACTGGACAACCAGGGATTATCAGGAGTTTTTGATTGCCTTATTTATTTATGTAAATACAAGGACACAACATTGAAAATCAACAAACTACTTTCTAGAGCAGTTTTAGGTTCACAACAAAATTGAGAGGAAGATAACAGATTTCCCGTGTGCCCCTGCCCCCACTCCCAGCCTCCCCCAGTGTCTGTGTCGCCGGCCAGAGTGGGACATTGATTACGGTGGATGAGCCTGCAGTGGCACGTCTCTGTCACCCCAGTGCGGAGGTCACGTCAGGGTCTCCACTCTGGGTGCTGTAGCTCCAGTAGGTTGGCAAATGCATAGTGACATGCGTCTGCCATTAGAGTGCCATACAGAGTAGTTCCACTGCCCTGACACCCTCCTCAGCCTCTCTTCTTCCCCAGGCCCTGGTCACCGCTGCTTCTTTTACTGTGTGCTTGATTTTGCCTCTTCCAGAAAGTCGTCTAGTTGGAATCACGCAGTTGGTAGCCGTTTCAGAGTAGCTTCTTTCACTTAGAAATACTCATTTAAAGTGCCCGCATATCTTTTCGTGCATGGCGTCAGAGCTCATTTCCGTTTAGCGGTGAATGACATTCCATCATCTGGATGTTCCACGGTTTATTCAGTCACCTACACAAGGACGTCTTGGTTGCTTCCAAGTTTTGGCAATGACGAATAAAGCGGCTCTCACATCTGAGCACAGGTTTTTGTGTGGACATAAGTTCTCAGCTCTGTTTGGTAAATACCAAGGAACTTGGTTGCTGGGTGGCATGGTTGAAAGTATGTCTGGTTTTGTGAAAATGGGCAAACCGTCTTTCGAAGTGGTTGCTGCATTTTACATTTCTGCCAACCGTGAACGAGCGTTCCTGCTGCCCCACATCCTCACCTGCTTTTGGTGTTGTCCGTGCCCTAAGCTTTGGCCATTCTCATAGGTGTGTGGTGGCACCACAGCTACAACCCCTTGAGGACCTCGAGTGTGGAGTATCTTTCCATATGCTCATTTGCTGTCTGTGTATCATCTTTGGTGAGGTGTCTTCAGACTTTTTGCCATCTTTTCCCCCATATAGCAAAAGATCATTTATTGGCTCTTGTTCTTCCAGCTCTTTGCTTTGAAACTGAGCAGACGCTACTCTTTAAGCCTCAAAATCCAACACATCATGTGCATCCTACTTTCTGTAATAAGAATCCATCTCACACAGTGTAAAGCCTTGCCTTGCCTCAAAAATGCAATTCCCTGGCACTGTCCGGCGTCATCAAGTAGTCACAACATTCTTGCCCGCACAGGGCTTCTGTGAACTCTGCAGGCACGCATGTGCACAGCCGTACGCTCGCTGGTGAGCCTGCCTCCATCCCTCAGCGTCTCCACTCCAGTGCAGGAGCCTGGACTATTGCACTGTGTAGCCACGCAGGCCCCACGGGACACGGCAGCAGGTGGTCTGCCGGCTTCCCAGAGCTGCTGCCCCGGTATCATTCCTGAAGGACAGCAGTGAAGCTGCTGAGGCCAAGGGAAGGCCAGAGTCCAAGGAAGGCAGTGGAAGTGTCACGGAAGTCTCCTGGCTTGTGGTGAATGCAGCACTTGCTATATGCGCACACAGATTTGGCCGTTCACAGGCAGGTCACCTGCCCCGTCCTGCCAGCCCCCGCAGTTCAGGGACCTGCCCACCGCTGTCCTGGGGCTCCCTTGCTGTGTCGTGTTGCTTGACTATGTGCCTACTCTGAGTCCAGTATAGCTCAAGACAGCTTGCCAGACCAGGGTACCACAAATTGTTAGAAAATTAATACTTCATTTCCTCATTTCCAGTATCTTAATGGTAGAGTGATGGCGGACATTTGTGGGAATAAGGCACTTCAACATCTGGGCCCTCTTGTTAGATCTGTTTTGGAAATTTCCGCCCTTCCAGCACACACTGCTTGCCCCACACTTCCTGCCCAGCCAGGCATGCACTGAATACATGTGGGGAGGAACTTGTAGAAGAGCTCATTTTCTTTTCGTTGAGTTTTAAGGACTCTTTGTATATTATGGATGCCAGTCTTTTATCAGATATGTCTTTTGCGAATACTTTTACCCCGTTTGTGGCTTGTCGTCTTCTTCCCTTGACACACACTGGTTTCATGCTGGAAGTCAGTGGGATTTCCCACATGCTTTTCAGGAAATAGCCTTAGACGCAGAATTGCCAATGCTGCTGTTAGTGTTCCTCTCCGTGGCCATCTGGAGAGGCAGGAAGACACGTGCCGGCCGTGACTGGGGGAACTGCATTGGTAAAGATTGAACGGGGCCGTCCGAGGCTGATGGTGGTGGTGGGTTTGTCTGACTGTGGGTGCCCCTACTCATGCCTGTTTCTGGGTGGTGGGTGCAGAAAACACACAGCCGTTCTCATGAGCCGGCCCTCATCAGCATGTGCCGCCCACAAGCGGTGTCTGCAGCCCATGGTGTCAGGCCCATGCGTGCGTGTACATGCGCTTCGTGTGTAGGGGCTGTGAAAGGGGCAGCACACGTTTGTGGTCACCGTGCGGACGCGTGTTGTCCGGACTCGCTAGACCGCTTCCCAGGAAGCATGGCTCACGGAATTCTCCTGTCGCTGTTGAACGCTGGGACTGTGCTGTAGATCTGAAAGTTTCACCCAAGCTTGAGGTGTGTGTCAGCAGCAACTCTCCAGTTACCTTTTTGGTGAAATTTAAGTTTACAGCCAGCTTTTCCACTCAGCAAATTGTAGGAAGTCATGTGTTTTGGCATCAGTTACCCTTAAATTAGAAACAGGACAATAGAGGAAGTTGTTGATTGGAACAATTGTAGTTTCGCTTGTCTGAGTGCATCTGCGAATCATAACAAAATTGTTGTCACCGAATGCCCCGACAGTCGCTGGAACAGATTCCAAAGGGAAGCTTGCTTTTCCATGCTGGGGAAAATCTGCCCGAAAAGTTTCACTGTTCTTTTGAATATGAGATACTAGAACAGGTCACAGCTTAACTTTTGAGCTTCTCCGCATTTTAAGCAGCTGAGGCGACAGCAGCTCTCAGGGGTACAGGATTGCCTGTGCTGGGGAAGGAGGAGCGTGACCTCCCTTAAATGGGTTCAGTGTGACGTCATGCCTCAGTAGGGAGTTTTCAGCTGTGTACTAGAGAAGAATCATTTTCCTTTTTTCAGATAATGCTCTCGTGCTTATATAAAATAGTTTCCTTACAGAAAACAATTTGCTTGCTCTAAGAAAGTGACCTCACGGCTGTAGTTTGCTGGGCGTTGGACTGGTTTTATGGTATCTGATTGCCCCCGCGCAGTGTGAGAACACGCCCCGCGCTGGCACCCAGCCCCTCCCTGCACACTCCTCCCTTCTCTTCTCAGAGCTGCTTTCCTTTCATTTCTTGTGAGGCCCTAGAGATGAAGTGACTGGGGGAGGCCGTGAAGGGAAGGATTTCAAACTGCCTCAGAGTCTTCGTGTTCAGGAAATATGCACCACATGGGCCCTTGTTCCAGTCCCAGCAAGGGCTGTGGGTGAGGAGGACCAGAGGGCCTCGAGGTGTCCACTGTTGTCTCTCGGGAAATGGACCATCACATCCAAACATGTGTCCATAAACTTTGGAAATACAATCCATCTTTAAGTTGGCAGCTATGCATATTTTGGTGATGGTTTGGTAGACTTGTTAATTTGGTTATATTCTTTTTTTTGTCCATTCTCGCTCAGACAACAAAAGAATTAGATTATAAACTGAAAATATAAGAATGAATAGCCTTAATTAGATGGGAAGGAACACAGGGGCCTTTCCAGCATGATAGACGGGTTCTGTCTTGATAGGAATTTGTTGAAACTGTCTGGGTAGTACCTTCTCACTGCATGTAAATTATAGCTGACTTCATAAACAACACTTAACAGCTGTCATGATCTAGCCAGTTAGAAAACATAAGGGCAGAGGAAATCCTATTTGCAGTGACCATGACAAAGGTTAATTAGGAGAAAACAATGTGGAAGACCATGGAAGGACTGCTTTTAAGTTCTCCCCGAAGGCGTCAGGGTGGACTTGGACAGGTGCAGGAGCGCTGTTGTTCTTGGAGAGAACGACTCAGCAGCCTGAGGATATTGGCTCCCCCCAGGCTAGTTTATAACATTAATGGAATCTCAATAAAAATACCAACAAAGACTTTTTTCCCAGAGCGAATCAAAAGTTCACGTGCTCATAAAGTTCTTGGCAATAAACATGAGAGAATTATTAGGACAGCACTGATGGGGAATAAGCAGCAACATCAGGACCCTCCCCTCCCCCAGCAGAGGTCGAGATGTCCCGGCAGCCTCTCTGCCTCCCGCGGCTAGGTAGACAGGCACATGGGTGGGACAGATTGCAGCCTTGAGAAACGGAGACAAGTGCACGCCGACATTTGGTGTGTGATAAAAGAGCAGTCTCAGGGCTGGCGGTGGACTCTCAGATCAATCATACTGCAACACCCAGAGGGCCACCGGGAGATGCAAAGTGGCTCCTGACTCACACCACACTCGAGCATATGGATCCAAGGCCTCACACGGACCCACATAGTTTTCCACTGGGAGCTGTCATCTGGGTTGAACATTCAGTAGCCTGTTACATGGATTTCCTGACCGGGACATGCTCTTGCGTTCTTAAACGTATCAGAATTTGCTGGTACCTTTCCCATGGGCTGTGGACCCAGGAACCTGTCCTTCAGCCTTGGCCCTTTAACTGAAGAAATACTCAGACTGGTTCTTCTGGCACCAACCCGGAGGCCACCAGCTTTCCTTTCAGAGTGGCCAGTGCTGGGGCCGGGTCACCATGGCCTTCTCTGTGTGCTGTCCCCTGCAGTTCCACCCTCTAGATCTTTCGGTATTCATAGCCACTCCTTGACAAGGTGATAGGACCCTTAATTAATTTATTTATTTTCTTTCTTTCTCTCTCTTTTTGTTTTTATTATTATTTTTATTTTTTTTTTTTTTGAGACGGAGTCTTGCTCTGTCGCCCAGGCTGGAGTACAGTGGCGCAGTTTCGGCTCACTGCAACCTCTGCCTCCCGGGTTCAAGCAATTCTCCTGCTTCAGCCTCCCCAGTAGCTGGGATTACAGGCACATGCCACCATGCCCAGCTAATTTTTGTATTTTTTTTTTTAAGTAGAGATGGGGTTTCACCATGTTGACCAGGATGGTCTTGATCTGACGTCGTGATCTACCCGCCTCGGCCTCCCAAAATGCTGGGATTACAGGCATGAGCCACTGCGCCCGGCCATGACCCTTGATTTTCTAAGTAAACACTTAAACTTTATTTATTTATTTATTTATTTATTTTTTCACAGTTTATGTTGACTTTATTTCTTTTTTCTTCTTCTTTTTTTAAAATTTTATTATTATTATACTTTAAGTTTTAGGGTACATGTGCACAATGTGCCGGTTAGTTACATATGTATACATGTGCCATGTTGGTGTGCTGCACCCATTAACTCGTCATTTAACATTAGGTATATCTCTTCATGCTATCCCTCCCCCCTCCCCCCACCCCACAACAGTCCCCGGCGTGTGACGGTCCCCTTCCTGTGTCCATGTGTTCTCATTGTTCAATTCCCATCTATGAGTGAGAACACGTGGTGTTTGGTTTTTTGTCCTTGCGATAGTTTACTGAGAATGATGGTTTCCAGTTTCATCCATGTCCCTACAAAGGACATGAACTCATCATTTTTTATGGCTGCATAGTATTCCATGGTGTATATGTGCCACATTTTCTTAATCCAGTCTATCATTGTTGGACATTTAGGTTGGTTCCAAGTCTTTGCTATTGTGAATAGTGCTGCAATAAACATATGTGTGCATGTGTCTTTATAGCAGCATGATTTATAGTCCTTTGGGTATATACCCAGTAATGGGATGGCTGGGTCAAATGGTATTTCTAGTTCTAGATCCCTGAGGAATCGCCACACTGACTTCCACAATGGTTGAACTAGTTTACAGTCCCACCAACAGTGTAAAAGTGTTCCTATTTCTCCACATCCTCTCCAGTACCTGTTGTTTCTGACTTTTTAATGATTGCCATTCTAACTGGTGTGAGATGGTATCTCATTGTGGTTTTGATTTGCATTTCTCTGATGGCCAGTGATGATGAGCATTTTTTCATGTGTTTTTTGGCTGCATAAATGTCTTCTTTTGAGAAGTGTCTGTTCATATCCTTCACCCACTTTTTGATGGGGTTGTTTTTTTTCTTGTAAATTTGTTTGAGTTCATTGTAGATTCTGGATATTAGCCCTTTGTCAGATGAGTAGGTTGTGAAAATTTTCTCCCATTTTGTAGGTTGCCTGTTCACTCTGATGGTAGTTTCTTTTGCTGTGCAGAAGCTCTTTAGTTTAATTAGATCCCATTTGTCAATTTTGGCTTTTGTTGCCATTGCTTTTGGTGTTTTAGACATGAAGTCCTTGCCCATGCCTATGTCCTGAATGGTATTGCCTAGGTTTTCTTCTAGGGTTTTTATGGTTTTAGGTCTAACATGTAAGTCTTTAATCCATCTTGAATTAATTTTTGTATAAGGTGTAAGGAAGGGATCCAGTTTCAGCTTTCTACATATGGCTAGCCAGTTTTCCCAGCACCATTTATTAAATAGGGAATCCTTTCCCAATTTCTTGTTTTTGTCAGGTTTGTCAAAGATTAGATGGTTGTAGATATGTGGCATTGTTTCTGAGGGCTCTGTTCTGTTCCATTGATCTATATCTCTGTTTTGGTACCAGTACCATGCTGTTTTGGTTACTGTAGCCTTGTAGTATAGTTTGAAGTCAGGTAGCGTGATGCCTCCAGCTTTGTTCTTTTGGCTTAGGATGCGATGCAGGCTCTTTATTGGTTCCATATGAACTTTAAAGTAGTTTTTTCCAGTTATGTGAAGAAAGTCATTGGTAGCTTGATGGGGATGGCATTGAATCTATAAATTACCTTGGGCAGTGTGGCCATTTTCATGATATTGATTCTTCCTACCCATGAGCATGGAATGTTCTTCCATTTGTTTGTATCCTCTTTTATTTCATTGAGCAGTGGTTTGTAGTTCTCCTTGAAGAGGTCCTTCACATCCCTTGTAAGTTGGATTCCTAGGTATTTTATTCTCTTTGAAGCAATTATGAATGGGGGGTCACTCATGATTTGGCTCTCTGTTTGTCTGTTATTGGTGTATAAGAATGCTTGTGATTTTTCTACATTGATTTTGTATCCTGAGACTTTGCTGAAGTTGCTTATCAGCTTAAGGAGATTTTGGGCTGAGACGATGGGGTTTTCTAGATATACAATCATGTCATCTGCAAACAGGGACAATTTGACTTCCTCTTTTCCTAATTGAATACCCTTTATTTCCTTCTTCTGCCTAATTGCCCTGGCCAGAACTTCCAACACTATGTTGAATAGGAGTGGTGAGAGAGGGCATCCCTGTCTTGTGCCAGTTTTCAAAGGGAATGCTTCCAGTTTTTGCCCATTCAGTATGATATTGGCTGTGGGTCTGTCATAGATAGCTCTTATTTTGAGATACGTCCCATCAATACCTAATTTATTGAGAGCTTTTAGCATGAAGGGTTGTTGAATTTTGTCAAAGGCCTTTTCTGCGTCTATTGAGATAATCATGTGGTTTTTGTCTTTGGTTGTGTTTATACGCTGGATTACATTTATTGATTTGCGAGTGTTGAACCAGCCTTGCATCTCAGGGATGAAGCCCACTTGATCATGGTGGATAAGCTTTTTGATGTGCTGCTGGATTCGGTTTGCCAGTATTTTATTGAGGATTTTTGCATCAATGTTCATCAAGGATATTGGTCTAAAATTCTCTTTTTTGGTTCTGTCTCTGCCAGGCTTTGGTATCAGGATGATGCTGGCCTCATAAAATGAGTTAGGGAGGATTCCCTCTTTTTCTATTGATTGGAATAGTTTCAGAAGGAATGGTACCAGCTCCTCCTTGTACCTCTGGTAGAATTCGGTTGTGAATCCATCTGGTCCTGGACTTTTTTTGGTTGGTAAGCTATTGATTATTGCCACAATTTCGGAGCCTGTTATTGGTCTATTCAGAGATTCAACTTCTTCCTGATTTAGTCTTGGGAGGGTGTATGTGTCGAGGAATTTATCCATTTCTTCTAGATTTTCTAGTTTTAAACTTTATTTTTAAATTATTTTCTGACTTCCCCTAAAGTGCTTACAGAATCCCCAGGGCTTTGCAGAAATAAAATGTTTGGAAGCAGCAGCTGCACCAGGTGGCATCCTGCTGTGAGCTGTTGGGTGTTGTCTTCAAGATACTCACTTTAAAACTGGGTTAGTCCAATGGGTGCATATCTTTGAGGAAATTAAGGTTGGTTAACATGAGGTGATGTTGTTGTAGTGGTTAATTTAGCCTTGTTAAGATTACTGTTTGGACAGTTGCCTCAACTTTGCCTGCTCTTAGAAGCTCGGAAGCTTGCATTGGTGTTAACACCCTAGGTTGATAACATTCCTTGGATAAGTTCATGAAGGTATGAGACATTTGGTAGATTTTTGTACTTACTGCTACTTTAAACAAACTCAAGATGTCTAAAGATATTTGTTGTTTTCATCAATATAGATGCCAGTGAGGTCACCTGTGTAAAATCCGTGTACTGTGCCCCTGCCTCTGCCCTGCTTGAGGAAGGGAAGCCAGCTGTGTCCATGCGTAGACTACTTGCGTAACAGGTGACACCGGTGCCATGCTCATGCTGTTTCATGAGGACTTCAGGGACGCATAAGCCGGTGGCTGGTCACCCGGGGCACCTGGGCGTGACTTCAGCATAGCTGGTGGGGTGGGGAATGGTTTTCCAGTGCAGATACCCCATAGTAACTATCAGCTGATCAGCCTTATTCATTCATTCGCTTCATTTGTTCATTTAACAAATCTTGTCAAGCTCTTGCTGTGTGGCTGGAAACGGTGCATATGGAAGGGAAAGCCCAGGTTCAAGAAGCATGGACGTTGCCCATTGTGGACCGATGCTGGGAGATCTGGGGACAGATGAAAGCGGGGGATGAGGGTCTCTTGAGGGGGCTTCTCTCACTGCTTGGCAGGGTTTTGCCACCTACCAGTAGCTGTCATAATCCTTTGTGCAAGATGGGGATCACCCGTTCTAAAGGGGTCCAGTGAGCCCTGAGAAGAGTCTCTAAAAACAGGGTGGTTGAGCTGAAGGTGGGAAGGGCAAGAGGAGATGCACGGGAGGAGATGCAAGAGGAGATGCATGGGAAGGGCAAGGGAGATGCATGGCCGGTGGTGTGGGCAGAGCCAAGCTCAGGGGAGAGACGGAAGGGTGCAGGCTGGCGGAGAGGCAGCCTGCTCCGAAGGGTGATCCCTCGACCAATGGGCAGCACTGCCCAGGCATGGTTCTGGAGCTGGGGGGCCTGAGGTGGGGCCTGTGTGCACGGCTGAACGTGCAGCGCCATCACTGGCGGGCTGGGTCAGCAGTGTCCCAAGGCGTGAAGCCGTCTTGCTGGCCCCTCAGCCTGCTGAGCAGCGGTGTCTGGCGGCTTGCCCTGACCGTGGCCATGCGGATACTCTGGGAGTGTGGGCTAGATGCCTTTCCCACCCAGATGCTGGTCTCCCTCCTTTTCATCTTCTCTTTGGAAGGCCAACTTTACACCAGTTGTTAGAAGTTTGCTAGGAAAGCCCCAACATGTCAGAGGAACTCCAGTGAGGCAGCTGACTTTCCATGTCAAGGGAGCGCTCCTGCACCACTCTGTCCTTCTGTGGACTTGTGACTCTGTTACTAAGGACACAGGGCCTTTGCTCCCTGAGGGCTTAGTTTTTTGAAATCCTCAGCTATTCCCAGGTAAAAAGACATCTTGTTTTAGAGTCTGTTTTTTTTTTTTTTAAAAAAAAGAGGTCTCACTGTGTCTCGCAGACTGGAGTTCAATGGCATAATTGTAGCTTACTTCAGCCTTGAACTCCTGGGCTCAAACAATCCTTCTGCCTCAATCTCCTGAGTAGATGGGACTATAGGCACATACCATCACATCTGGCTAATTAAAAAATAATAATAATAATTATAGAGATGGAGTCTTGCTGTGTTGCCCAGGCTGGTCTTCAACTCCTGGGCTCAAGCGATCCTCCTGCCTCAGCCTCTGGAGTAGCTGGGATCACAGGTGTGCACCACCATGCTGTCTTTGAAAAACGGGTCTGACTGTTGCACAGGCTGAATGAGTCTTTAGCTGATCCCTGAGACCTTTTGGTGGCCATCCCTGTGGCCCCAAGGTTGGAGTCCATGCTCCATGTGAGAGGCCGATGGTTGCCTGGGGCTTTTCTCTGTGGCTCATCAGTGATTCTTATGCAACCTGCTCTTTGCAAACAAGGTGCTGAGAAATACCACTGGCTGGAGCGCAGCTGAGCTGCTTGGGAAAGGAATGGCCTGTAGCGTTGCCACCTACACTCCTGGCCTCGGGTCGTTTAAGTCAGGACTGGACAGTTTAGGTGGCACGGAGCAGAGTGAGGCTGGGGGGTGTGGGAGCCAAGCAGGGCTCCACCGTCGCCTTCTTTCCTGTTAGAGAGACTCTGGCGACTTCCTGACCCTAGGCCAGGCCGGAGGGCAGCAAACTGTGACCCAGGGGGCAGATCCAGCGCAGAGCTGGGATTTACAAGAATGACCAGCAAGCTAAGAATAGGTGTTGTGTTTTTAAAGGATTGTTAAAAAAAAAAAAAAAAAAAAAAGGAAGAAGAAACAAAAAAGGAGAATGTACAACAGAGACCATCTGTGGCCCGAAATCCCGGAAATGTTCATCATCCAGCTTTACAGAGAAAGCTTCAGTGTCTGGTCTTGTCGGTGGACTCGGAATGGAATAATCAAGGGGTGAAGCATTTTTAAAGAAAGCCGTTTTCCTATTTAGTAATAACCCTAGAACAGAGTGTCTCCCTCTGGTGCTGTTGACGTTCTGGGCCAGGGCCTTCTCTGCTGGAGGCTGTTCTGTGCACTGTGGTGAGTTGAAAGGCATCCCTGGCCTCCGCCTATAAGATGCCAGTACTGTCCCCTCCTCCCCCTGTTGTCGCAAGCAGAGATGTCTCACGTCATTGCCAAGTGTCCCTGGAGGGTGCAGAGTTGCCCCTGGCTGAGAATCACTACCTTAGAATAATTCATATATTACTTATTACAGACATTTATTGCCTAACTCTCAGCTCTTACTGGAACGACTCTTAGGAACAGAGACGGCTTCACTTCAGGCACAAGTCTCCGAGGACACTGTAATGGGACAAAGAGCCGATTGAGCAGGCATGAAGGGTCTGATGTTTATAATTAAGTCATTAGGATTTCTTAGAAAACTAATTGCTTTTGTTCCTGCCCAAAACCCAGCTGATGTTTTCAGTCTTTGCAGACATGTCTGGGTGTTACTTCTTCTCACAAAAATGACTCTTCTTACCTGGTGGAAGAAAGCAGTTAAAATCATTGACCCTATTCTGGTACAAGATTGACAGACTGAAAACAGGGAAAATCGTGAAATTTTCTGTTAGGAATGATTCCGAAAAGGTGGGGGCGGAACAAGAATAGCAGAATGTTGGTCCTTATTAAACCTGGGTGGTTTCTTACACTATTCTGTTTACTTTGCATATGTTAGAAATAGTTCTGGCTGGGTGTGGTGCCCCACGCTTGTAATCCCAGCACTTTGGGAGGCCGAAGCAGGTGGATCATGAGGTCAGGAGATCAAGACCATCCTGGCCAACATGGTGAAACCCTGTGTCTACTAAAAATACAAAAGTTAGCTGGGCGTGGTGGCATGTGCCTGTAATCCCAGCTACTCAGGAGGCTGAGGCGGGAGAATCGCTTGAAGCTGGGAGGCGGAGGTTGCAGTGAGCCGAGATCACACCACTGCACTCCAGCCTGGGCAACAGAGCGAGACTGTCTCAAAAAAAAAAAAAAGTTTCATTACACAGTTTTTTGAAAAAATATTGCAGTAAGGTGACAGTTTGGAAACTCTTGTTTTAATTGAGATGTTTCTACGGTAGAGGACATTTGGAAAACTTGAAAGAATTCTCGAGGGCTGTCGTGTGGAATCGTAGCGACGTTCAGGGGACGTAAGAAGCAAATACATAGGTAGCACCACTTGAACCTTTGGTTCTTAAGGAATTAGTAGGCATTCTGGTTTCCGCTGCAGCGTGAAAGAAGATGTAGGGAAGAGCTGGGACGTAAGAGCCAGGCGCACGGCTTCCTTCCAGAACCTCCTGTACAGCGGAGTCTTCTCCCTCCTGGGGCCCACGTGCCAGGGACCCACCTTCTCCATCAGGGCTGTGTGAGAGAGGAGCCGAGTGAAGACAGCACCTCGAGGTTTCTGGTCTCCTCTGGGGAGAAAGAGAGGAGGAGCTAATTAAGACCACCTTTGGTTCGGTGGAAAGTAATGAGAAATATTTTTGTTGAAACCAGTTGTTGGAAAAATTCTCAGTAAGGTATTGGCCCATAGACCTACCTTAATATAAACTGTGAACACCATTTAGGTGTGTTTTTAGGGGCTCTAACACTTCAGTTGAACCGAACCCCATGTCTGGAGACCTAACTCCAGAAGTCCTGAACTTGGGGTGTTCCACATCCCCGATCTTATCTTACCTGAGGAGAGATTGACCTCATTTCCTAAAACATTTCCAAGGTGGCATTTCCAGTTAGCTTATTGCTGCTTTATTGTATGTGTTTGCCCAGGTGGGGAATTTGTCACCAAGCTGGGTTTGTCACTGGAGGCAGGGTGGTGGAAAGCCGAGGGTTGGGGTGATAGGGTTCCGTAGACCCTGGGAAAGCTGCGTGTGGGTTGGGAGTCTCCGAACCCCTAGGTACTATAGTCAGAGTTTGGCACATGCGTACATTTTTTTCTGGAGAAAAGGTCTATAATTTCATTTTATTCCCAAGAGGTTTTATAACCTAAAGGCCAATACCACAGGAGTCCAGGTGCCTTTGGGTAGACTTCGAACTCCCCCCGGACAGAGAATCATGCTATGCTCATTCCACCCAGCCTCCTACTTTTCATTTTTCTTTTCTTTTTGTTTTTTTTGTTTGTTTGTTTTTGTTTTTGTTTTTTGAGACAGGGTCTCACTCTGTTGCCCAGGCTGGAGTGCAGTGGTGCGATCTCAGCTTACTGCAACTTCCACCTCCCGGGTTCAAGTGATTCTCCTGCCTCACCCTCCTGAGTAGCTGGTATTACAGGCGCCCGCCACCATGCCTGGCTAATTTTTGTATTTTTAGTAGAGATGGGCTTTCGCCATGTTGCCCAAGCAGGTCTTGAACTCCTAATCTCAGGTGATCCACCTGCTTCAGCCCCCCAATGTGCTGGGATTACAGACTTAAGCCACCGTGCCCAGCTGCTTTTTATTTTTAATTTCCACCTCTCCAGGCAGGGTCTACAGTTTCCCTTTTTGGCTGGGCACGGTGGCTCACACTTGTAAATCCTAGTGCTTTGGGAGGCCGAGGCAGGGTAGATCGCTTGAGCCCAGGAGTTGGATACCAGCCAGGTCAATGTAATGGGGACCCTAGAAAAATTAGCTGGGTGTAGTGGTGCATGCCTGTAGTCGCAGCTACTCGGGAGGATGAGGTGGGAGATCACTTGATTCCAGGAGTTTGAGGCTGCAGAGAGCCATGGTCGTGTGACCGCACTCCAGCCTGGGCAACGGAGCGAGACCTTGTCACTAACAAATTAAACTTTTTTAAACAAAAGTTTTCCCTTTTGATTCTCTTTTGCCTACCTCCCCCACTTTTCCCTTCACCTCCTTACTTCCCTTTCATGATATCTGCAGCCACAAAGGGTGTCGCCAGCTGCCTCCAGCCTGCTGGAATAGTTACGTGCTGTGGTACACAGGGTGGACGATATTGTTACTGGCCAAAGAGTGAATATTTCCAGCGTTTTTCTCTGTCTGTTCTTTGATCCTGCTTTCCTTGATTGCCCCACCTTTGTCCTTCCCCAGGATTCACTTTCGTATGAGAAAATGTTTTTCTAGAAAGTAGGTTTGGTTATTTGCACAGACGTACCCAGAGTGAGTGGCAGAGAGCTGTGTGATCTTGGGTCGGGCCCTCGGGGCACACGGCTTGCTCGGGGGTCGGGCGGCGGTCCACAGGGCCATCTGGTGGCCGTCCCCTGACTCTCTGGCCGGGTTGTTTTCCTCTTTTGCAGATCATCCAGTCACTCGATGGGGATTACCAGCGGACCACCTGTTTGTATCACCTTCCCACCTCTCTGTAGCAAGAAAAATCACTTCAGCACCTCTTCAGTAATAATGATGAAACTGGTATTAACTGAATGGCAATTATGGATTTTTAACTCTAATTCACAGTAAACCAGCAAGCCATATGTTTAAAATCCAACCAAAAATCGTTCTGTGTTGCTGCATGTCTCATACCGTTGTGAGAAGTTGTGAGATAGCCACTTGTGCAAAGAGGAATGTAAGTGTTACCTGCCCGAGGAACACAGCAGAAGCAGAAAGAGAAGACGTCTTAATTTATCATTACAGATATATGAAAGCATTATTTATATAGATAGAATATATAGATAAATACATATATTTTTGGTGGTAATGAAAATGGCTCCGCAGAATGCCGACCCGGAATCTATGCAAGTTCAAGAGTTATCCGTGCCCCTGCCGGACCCGCAGAAAGCCGGAGGCGCAGAGGCCGAGAACTGCGAGACCATCAGCGAGGGGTCCATAGACCGAATCCCCATGCGCCTGTGGGTGATGCACGGGGCGGTGATGTTTGGCAGGGAGTTCTGTTACGCCATGGAAACCGCTCTGGTCACACCAATACTGTTGCAGATTGGTAAGTCTCCTCCCCGTCTGTGCGCAGTGAACGCTGAGCGGAGTGCTAGCGGACTGGGCGTGGCTCTGATCCTCTGGAGGCAGAGGATGGTGCGTCCTGGAGAGCCCCGGGCACTGGAGTCTTTGTCTCCTCTCCCTTCAGCCTGCCCTGATGGTGGTTTTCGTCTCCTGTTTTCAGCCAGGTTTGGGGAGGAGTGATCTTCGGATGTTGACGTTGAATTACAGTTTTGGCAAAGTGGTAGCTCAGCATCTGGGGCAGAATTGGCACTGATAAGTACTGGCTCTCGGCCGGGGCTCACCTCTCCCGCTGTCCCTGCCAGGCCACAGTGAACAACGAGGCAAAGGGCAGGGTCGCCAGCACTGACAGTCACTGGCTGTGTCATGCAGGCGAATTCGGGAGCCCTTCTGTGCCACACTCTGATTCTTTGTGTGTAAAGTGATTGCATTCGCAAACCAACCCTAAGAGGGTCCCAGGTGTGCTTAGAACAGTGCCTGGCTGTGGGAGATACTGGAAGATGCTGTCATCTTATCATTGTTGCTGTTGACTTGAATCCAAGGTTATTGTGGACAGTAGATGGCTCAGAGACAGGCATTTCCAAAAGCATGGAAATTCACAGGCACGCACAGGTGGGCATGAAAACACGGAAAATCACAGACGCACAGGTGGGCATGAAAACACAGAAATTCACAGACACACGCAGGTGGGCATGAAAACACGGAAATTCACAGACACACAGGTGGGCATGAAAACACGGAAATTCACAGACACGCAGGTGGGCATGAAAACACGGAAATTCACAGACCCGCAGGTGGGCATGAAAACACGGAAATTCATAGACTTGCAGGTGGGCGTGAAAACACGGAAATTCACAGACACTCGCAGGTGGGCGTGAAAACACGGAAATTCACAGACACTCGCAGGTGGGCGTGAAAACACGGAAATTCACAGACACAGGTGGGTGTGAAAACACGGAAATTCACAGACGCACAGGTGGGTGTGAAAACACGGAAATTCGCGGACACGCACAGGTGGGCGTGAAAACACGGAAATTCACAGACACGCAGGTGGGCATGAAAACACGAAAATTCACAGACACACAGGTGGATATGAAAACAGAAATTCACAGACACGGGCAGGTGGGCATGAAAACACGGAAATTCACAGACACGCAGGTGGGCGTGAAAACACGGAAATTCACAGACGCACAGGTGGGCGTGAAAACGGAAATTCACAGACGCAGGTGGGCATGAAAACACGGAAATTCACAGACACGCAGGTGGGCGTGAAAACACGGAAATTCACAGACGCACAGGTGGGCGTGAAAACGGAAATTCACAGACGCAGGTGGGCATGAAAACACGGAAATTCACAGATGCACAGGTGGGCATGAAAACACGGAAATTCACAGACACTCGCAGGTGGGCGTGAAAACACGGAAATTCACAGACGCACAGGTGGGCGTGAAAACACGGAAATTCACAGACGCACAGGTGGGCGTGAAAACACGGAAATTCACAGACGCACAGGTGGGCGTGAAAACATGGAAATTCACAGACACGCAGGTGGGCGTGAAAACACGGAAATTCACAGACGCGCAGGTGGGCGTGAAAACACGGAAATTAACAGAGACGCACAGGTTGGCATGACCAGGCTCGCATGGGCAAGATGTGGTGTCTCTTCCAGATTACCGGGCAGCAGAGCGGGGACCCTGTAGGGAGTCCCCACTGGGAGTGTCTTGGGCCCTAAAAATTTTGTCAGAATGTTTATTTTCTTTATGACCTAAGGAAGTTTTAAAAAAATCTGTCATTTTCCAAACCCTTAGCAATATAAGGTATCTGGTAAGAGGCAGACAGTTTAGAAGCATCCGTTTTATTCTAGAATTCAACATATTGCATGGTAAAGTATTTTCAAGCCTACTTATTTTGGTTGTTTTAGGGATGTTTGTTGATACAAACATAATAAAGTGTTTCTTGTTCCGTGAGCGCTCACTCAGCCTCGCTGCAGTGCGGATCCCTCGGTTATGTGCACGGATCTGACTCCAGTGTGAAATCGTAGCATTTTCTTTGATTGTGTGTGGGGCAGCCCCGCTGGCATCAGCACTGATTTCCTGTCACCCTGCCGTGGGAGCTGATGCTGATTATTACCAAAATCACAGGAGATACTGTGTCCATCCCTCGATCTTGTCACTTAATACATTAATGAAAAAGCACTCATCTTACTTTTCCAGTGCTTCCATGATTGTATTTCAGCGTGCTTTTCCGTCTGCAATCCTGTGTCTTTTTTCATCTTTAAAAACCTTGTTTTGAGAAGGCTTCATGAGAAGGCCAGAGGACCTGGGGCTCAGACAAGGTTAGAGGACTCTTCTGGAGGGTCGGGGGCTCGGACGTAGGAGACCGGGCGCAGCTCGCACTCTTGTTCTCTCCTCTGTGTGTGATTCTGCATTTATTCTGCTTGTGCTCCTTGGGTGCCTATCATATCCTAGGGCACGGAGGGTGGACAGAACCCACATCTGTGGGCCAGGGGGCTTAGCTCTGTGGCAGGGGGGGCGCTTCGAGAAAGAAAGTGACCCGACCAGCGAGGGAAAGAAATGGGCTGGACCAGTGTGGGAAGGCCTTCATGGAGAGCAGGGCAAGGGCTCTTGGGCATCACATCCAGAGGCTGAGGGAGGGGAGACCTGGCTGTGTTCGTGGAACTGAAGAACCACTTTCGCGACTAGACCTTAGCCAGGGGGAAGTTGGGTAGCAGTTAATTTTACTAAACATTTATTTCGTCCCTTCAGTATGTGAGGACTTGGCACCGAGCTAATCATGAAAGCACTGTCATAACAAAGCTGAGGCGCTTGGAATTACCAATTGGGCACCATCCTTCAGTTTCTGGACAACGAGTTGTGGTCGTGGTGACAAATACAAAATTTAGAACCTCCGGTTCCTGAGAATAAGTTGATGTGATAAAGAGTCATTAGGAACTGCTTTTCCCTAATTTTCTCTATGGCAGATGATGTGTATTGTGGCTTTGAAAACCCTAATACTTCCACAACACCTTGGAATTTTCATACTTTATAGATGGTGAGTCTCAATTTCTATGCACGTTTCATTGTTTTGTTTTGATTATTTATTACATAAGACTTGTATAGATTTTAGATAATTTAGGAGGACAAATACAGATGCTCCTCAACTTGCAACGGGGGTATGTCCCAGTAAACCCATCGTTGAAAATACCTTGAGTCGAAAATGGATTTAACACACCTACCGCACCGCACGTCATAGTCCAGCCTCACCTTCCTTAACCATGCCCAGAACACTCACATCAGGCTGGGCACTCTGGCTCATGCCTATAATCCCAACACTTTGGGAGGCCCAGGTGGGAGGATCACTTGAGCCCAGGAGTTCCAGCTAGGGCAACATAGTGAAACTCCGTGTCTACAAAAAATAAAAAATTAGCTGGATGTGGTGGTGCACACCTGTAATCACAGCTATTTGGGAGGCTGAGGTGGGAGGATTGCTTGCGCCTGGGAGATGGAGGCTGCAGTGAGCCATGATCATCCAGCCTGAATACAGAGTAAGACACTGTCTCAAAAAAAAAAAAAACCACTCACACCAGCCTATAGTTGGGCAAAATCATGTAACACAGAGCCTATTTTATATAATAAAGTGTTGAAGATCTTGTGTAATTTATTGAATACTGTACTCAAAGTGAAAACCAGTGTGTATGAGGACTCAAGATATGGTTTCAAGTGAATGTGTATGGCTTTCACGTTAGTGTGAAGTTGAACAATCATAGGTCCCACCATCATAAGCCCAGGACCTGTCTGCGTATGTACTTTACTACACAATATATGTAGTGCATATTGAAGGTCGCTTTCCAAAGTTGTAGGGGTGTCTGTTCCATAGATTCCATATAAACCTCCAGAAATGCTGACTGAAATGGGGAGAGTTGTAGTAAGTGGTTAGGCTGTGGCAAACTGACCCTCACCAGATGAAAGTAACCTTTATTGACCCTGAGCATTACAGAGTTCACGTAAAACTGTAAGCCCTGGTCTGTGTTCAGCAGGAGAGCAGGAATCATGAATAGAAGGTATTTTTACAGGTTATAGGAACAGGGCTTTAATGAGTTTGTTCTTAGACGTGCTTAGATTGAGTCCAGACAACAAAAGGCCCAATTTATTTCTCAGAGTTTGACTGAAATGACACTTACAAGGGCAACGTAGTGACCAAAGTTTTCCCTGATCGGAGTTGGAGTTTCTTTCAAAAGTTGTCTGCTGTCCATACCCAGAGCCACAGTGCTTATGATTGGATTTGGAAATACTGTTACCTTCACTCCGGGCAGTTTGACAGTTGGCATGAGATGTCCACAGTGGTGTGGCTGCCACCATTAGGACCTAGAATATTTTCATCACCCCAGTGCTCCCAAATGCCCCCCACATCAGCCCCCGCTGCCCCCAGCCACCACCAGCCTGCCTCTGTTGTCATGGTGCTGCCTGTTCGGGAATTGATGTAACTGGAATCACACAGCGTATGGTCTGGCTCTTGTCACTTAGCATAATGCTTTTCTGATTCATCCCCGTTACTGCATGAATCAGTACTTTCTTTGCTCCTTTTCTGTGCTGACTAGTACTCCACTGAATGGACCTGCCATCATTTGTTTTCATTCATCAGGTGGTAGAGATTTGGGTGGTTTCCATTTTGGAGGCTGTGATAATAAAGCTGCTGTGAACATTCACCTGCAAGGCTCTGTGTGGATGTGTTTCATTTCTCATGAGTGGTTCACTGGGAGTGGCTTGCTGGGTCCAGTGCTTTCCAGGGTGACGGTACCATCTTGCATTCCCACTGCAGCGTAGGACAGTTCCCATTTCTCCACATCGTCGTCAATGTTTAGTGTTGTCAGTCCTTTTCAACTTCATTCATCGAAGTGGGTGTGAACCATATCTCATTGCAGCTTTAATTTGCATGTCTTTTTTTTTTTTTTTTTTTTAAGATGGGGTCTCACTCTGTCACCCAGGCTGGAGTGCCACAGCACTATCACAACTTACTGCAGCCATGACCTCCCTGGGCTCAGCTGATTCTCCCACCTCAGCCTCCCAGGTAGCTGGGACTACAGGTGTGCACCACCACGCCCATCTAATTTTTGTATTTTTTGTAGAGATGGGGTTTCACCGTATGTTGCCCAGGCTGGTTTCGAACTTCTGGGCTCAAGCCATCTGCCCACCTCAGCCTCGCCAAGTGCTGTAATTACAGATGTGAGCTACAGGCCTAGCCTGTTTTGTTTTTTTATATATTCTTACACTTTATTGAGACGAGGTTTTGCTATGTCACCCAGGCCAGTCTTGAACTCTTGGGCTTAAGTGATCCTCTTACCTTGGTCTCCCAAAGTGCTAGGATTACAGGCATGAGCCACTTTTATTTATTTATTATTATTTTTTTTTTTAAACAGGGACTCTGTTTCCCAGGCTGAAATGCAGTGGTGTGATCACAGCTCTCTGCAGCCTCAACCTTCCTGGGCTCAAGTGATCCTCCCGCCTCAGCCTCCTGAGTAGCTTGGACTGTAGGTACGCACCACCACACCTAGCTAATATTTTAAATTTTTTAGGGAGATGGAGTCTCACTATGTTGCCCTGGCTGGTCTAGAACTCCAGGGCTCAAGTGATCCTCCTGCCTGAGTCCCAGAGTGCTGGGGCTATAGGCGTGAGCCACTGTGCCAGGTTCCTTTCCATTTTCCTAATGGTATCTTTCAGAAAGCAAAAGTTTTAAATTTTGATGAAATTTGGTGTATCAAATATGTTCTTTTTTGTTCTTTTTCAATTAAGAACTCTTTGCCTGACCTGAAGTCTTTTTTAAGAGCTGGAGGTCTCACTGCATTGCCTGGGCTGGAGTGTAGTACTGTGATCGTGGCTCACTGCAGCTTCAACTCCTGGGCCTGAAGTCTTAATGATTTTCCCTTATGTTTCCTTCTAGATGCCTCAGTAGTTCTCTCACCTAGGTCTGTGATCCATTTTGAGTGAATTTTTGTATACCGTAAGAGTTGAGGGATTCCCCCTCCATCTGGCACGTGGAAATTGAGTTGTTCCAGCATCACTTGTAAAAAGCCTGTCCTTTCCCATTGAAATCCATGGCACCTCTGTTGGCATTTACTGGCTACCTATATTGTGAATCTGTTTCTAGGCACTATTCTGTTCCATTGATCTATATGTCTGTTCCTGATACAACGATTGATTGATTTCTGTAGTTTTATGGGGCATCTCGAAATTAGGAAATATGCCTACCTTTTGGAACTTGTTTTGGGCCAGGCGTAGTGACTCACACCTGTAATCCCAGCACTTTGGGAAGCCAAGGCGGGAAGATTGCTTGAACTCAGGCGTTCGAGACCATCCTAGGCAACACAGCAAGACCTCGTTTCTAAAAAAGAAAAAGAAAACTTGTTTTGGCTGTTGCAGTTCTTTCACATCTCCATATAAATTTTAGAGTTATCAATTTCTACAAAAAGCCTGCTGGATTTTTACTGGAATTGCATTGAATCTATAGAGAATTGACATCTTAATTTCGAGTCCTTCGATCCATGAACATAATATATCTTCTCAACACACTTAAGTCTTTAATTTCTCCTAGGAATGTTTCATAATTTTTAGTATGTAGGTCCGTCACATACTTAAAGTATTTCATTGTTATCATGTTATTGTAAATAGCACTGCTTTAATTTCCATTTCTGGTTGTTCATCGTTCTATAGAGTAGTATAAGTGATTTTTATATATTGACCTTATACCTTGCAATTTTGCCAAACTCACTTAGTAGTTCCAGTAACTTTTAATTGTAAGACCTGTATTGATGTTCCTTCTTTCCTGATATTGGTAATTTGATCAGCCTGGTTAAAGGTTTATCAATTTTGTTGGTCTTTTCAAAGACTATGCTTTCAGCTTCATTCGGTTTTTTCCTCTGTTGTTTATTTTCTATTTTGTTAATTTATGCTCTTATATTCATTTTGTTTTCTTCTGCTTACTTGGTTTTAATTTGCTCTTTTTCTAGTTTATTATTTTTCTATTATTAGATGGTGTCTCACTGTGTTGCCCAGGCTGGCTGGACTGAAACTCCTGGGCTCAAGCAATCCTCCTGCCTCAGCCTCCTGAGTAGCTGGGATTGCAGGTGTGCACCACCACAACTGGCTACTTCTTCTAGTTTCTTAAGGTGAAGCTTATAGCATTGGTTTTTTTATATTTTTCTTTCCTAATAAAATCATTTATTAGAAATGGTTTCATTTCTAATAAATTTGCTGTTACACAGAGGGGTCAGGGAGGAGTATAAAGAGGCTCTAAGAGACCCCTGAGATACCCTCTGTGTGACCCCGTGACCTTCACCCCTTGGCTTTCACGGCCTTGTGCAATGCCCTCCCCTTGAGTAATTCCTGTTAACCAATAGAATATGGCAGCATCGAGGGGATGTCGCCTGACGCAAACGTGTGACTCCACCTTGCTGGGAGACCCTCTCTGTTGCTGCCTTGGCCTGCACATCTTGATGAATCAAGCTGCCTTCTTGGAAAGACCCATATGGCAAATAACTGAGCAGGAGGCCTCAGCCAACACCCCCAGGGCCGAGGCTCTCAGTCCAGGAGCCTGTGAGAGGCCCCAAACCAGAGCCACCCCGCAGAGCTGTGCCTGAATTCCCGGCCGCAGGAGGTATGTGGCCGTCACTGTTGCTCGGTGCCGCTGGGTGGTGTGCAGTTTGTTACGCAGCAGCAGGAAACCAGTACACGTGCTCAGAATATTCTGTTTGTCAGACTCTTTGCACTGCTTCCCCCTGTATAACTTTGGGTACATTGGAATTTTTCCCGTTGTCTCAATCCTCATCTTGGTAGAAGGGGTACGAAGGTACTACAGAAGCAGCATGTTTGTATTGATAAATATCGCAGCAGAAACCTTAGATTGTAACTCGTTTTGAAATATCAAGCAATAGCAAGTCTGCCCTTTCTCTCTTCCCCAAAGAAAACTTTCCCTTTGAAAATCAGCAAACTGGAAGCTGTGAGAAGCAAATTAGCTCAGTCTCTGCCATCATCAGCATCAGTAGAGGAGTTGTTTGGAATCTAGGAGCAGCCAGCTAATGCCCGTGTGTGTGAGGTGGCCCTTGATGGCAGTTTCCTAAAGCAATTCAGCCTGCACCATCCTTAGCCCAGGCAGTGTGCTATCTTCTTCAGAAGTTAGTGGTGACACTGCCTGCGATGCTGCTGGCAGACAGTGCTGCTGCCCCTGGGAGGCCCCTCCCTTCCCCCTGCCCTTGACTCCTGGGCCTAAGGCTGGTCTGGGGTTGGGACACGCTGAGGGTCTGTGAGTCCCATCTAGCTCTAAGAGTCCAGCCTCCTCTGAGCGGCAGGTTGGGAGTTGTCTGCCATCAGGTGACTTTGGTGTGCTTATGATGCTGAGACCAGATTTTGGGGTCTCCTGGGAGTCCCTGATGCTCTGGGATTCTGCTGGCTGCCCCCCGGGTCAGCCCTGGGGGAGGCAAGCAGTAAAGGGGGCTCTGGGAACCCTGGACAGAAGACGTGATGGAGCGGAAGGCCCATTGTTCGTTGAGTGATGAATTAACACTTTCCTTTATGATGATGATTCAAGTCCTGTTTCTGGTTTCTCTTTCATTTCCATTATTTGCTCAAGTGACAGAGATTTCCTGTCCCTCCTCGAAACGGTGGTGGTGGAGGTAGCAGCAGCCAGCAACCCAATGTTGGCTCCTCTTGGAGAATCCAAAAATCGACCATGTTCCAAGTGTGTAGCCTTACTTATCTCAGCAGATACCAGCATCTCCTTTCTTCTGGAAACGTGTGCAGAGTTGACACATATGATGTGCTTAGAACAGAGCCTGTAATTGTTAGCTGTTATTACTGTCATTATCTTTTTCTCCACTTGGGTTCGTAGTCAGCAGCCTTGGTGGTAACTTGTCGAGGGCCTGCCTCACACTTACTGTGGAAAAGTCACTCAGTGGGGCAGTTTGCACCTCATTCATTGCACCCCACTCTAGCCCAGCCTCCACCTCCACACCGCCCCCCCCCCCCACCCACGTCTTCTTGCTGAATGCGCAGGGATGTCCTCATTTCCAAACTCAGAGGTTTTCTGGGCCCTGGTGCTGGCCCTGTCTCCCATCGCACAGGGCTGAGTGGGCCTGGTTTCCGGCTCTGCCCTCCCTCACTCTTGTCCTGTGTGTGTCCCGTCCTGAGCCCCGTCGGTGTCACACTGGACAACTCCAGGGTCTGTCACATTCAGTATGTTTGAGAGAGCAGTGCTTTCGAAAATGGTGGCATCTTGGATTTGATGAAATACAGCCCATCTCCAGGCCAGACTTGTCTCTGCAGCTGTTTACTGCTCACATCCGCCTGGCCTGGCCCCTCTGCATGCTCCCACTCAACGCACTCCACAGTGTGTGCATCTCTTCAGTGTTCACATGTGCTCCAGGACCCCCTGCAGCCCTGTCTTTCCACCCGTTGTTCCTGAAGGTTGCCCTCTCCCTCCTAGACTGTGCATCCCCTAAGGACAAGGTCCAACTCACCTTTGTTCCCATGCCCAGTGTGGAACAAAGACTTGCAGGACTGAACGAGTGACTTGCTGATGAAGGAGAAATTGACCTGCCTTGGATGCCTCATATGGCCACATGCTCCTGTCCCAGGTCAGAAGCTGATGTATTACATTCCGGAGGAGGCTGGAGGCTACTCTGCCTCCGGCCCAGGCATGGGCTGGACTCCATCTGGAGCTGCTCGCTTGGAGGAGGCACAGGGGAACCTCCTGCAGGCAGGGCAGGGAAGAGGCCTTTCAAACCCAGGTGTTACCAGTCAGCACTGTGCCCGAGACAGAACCTCCTGTGACCTCAGGACAGGCGGAGCGCACCATGAAGAATAGGGGCGCAGTCTCCCAAGTAGCCGAGTTGATTGGGAGGGCAGTTGGGTATACAGCTGACCCTTGAGCAGCTCAGGTTAGGGGTGCCAACTCCCCATACAGTCAAAAATCCATGTGTAGCTTTTGACTCCCCCTAAAACCTGACTACCAACAGCTTCCTGACTGGAAGCCTTACCAATAATATAAGCAGTCAGTTGACACATACCTTCTATATTATATGTATTATATGTTTATAGTAAAGTAACCTGAAGAAAACATAGCTAAGAAAATTATTAAGAAGAGAAATGTATTTCCTATTCATTATGTGGAAGTGGACCGTCATAAAGGCCTTCATCCTCATCTTCATGTTGAGTAGGCTGAGGAGGATCAGGAGCGGGGGTCTTGCTGTCTCGGGTGGCAGAAGCGGAAGAAAATCTGTGTAAATGGACGGTACAGTTCAAACCCACGTTGTTCAAGGGTCAACTGTATTTTAATTTATTTTTGAGACAGGGTCTCTGTCGCCCAGGCTGGAGCACAGTGGTGCGATTACGGCTCACTGCAGCCTTGACCTCCTAGGCTCAAGCCATCCTCCTGCCTCAGCCTCCCAAAGTGCTGAGATGATAGGTGTGAGCCACTGCACCCGGCCTGTATTTAAATCTTGAAAGGTTTTTGGCAAATGTCATTTCAGGTTTAGTATGGTTGATGGCAAGTGGTTTTGTTTTTCTGACAGCGGAAGGAACGGCTTTTCCTGTTCTTAAAAAGCCTTTCTAGTTTGTGGGAATGAGAGCGCCATTGACACAGATGCCACTGCGCTTCGTGCTTGCTGCGGCGGGGGGCACCTGGCGGAGCTGCTCTCGGTCACATCCCCACACCGCTGTGTAGGCTTGCTCAAACCTTGCCCTCCCTCCGACATTGGAGGACCTGCTGAGCCACATGCAGTGTCTTGGGACACAGAAGGCAGACATGGGGTCCCCCTGACTTTCTGGTGGCCCGGTGGGGAGGACAGTCATGGAAACAGGTTGCTGCAAGGTGGTGCTCAGAGGGGGACTGACAGTGTGTGGAGGGACCCCGGAGCAGGAGTAATACTCCCAACTCTAGCAGGTTTTTCTGTGGCTCCCAGCAAAGTCTTGGAGGTGGAGCTCTCTGTCACCACCCGGTAGATGGGTCCTCGCCCTGCCGGCTCCCCGCTGCACACGGGCTGGCTTAGGTTTGAAAATCCCGTCGCCTCTTGTGAGAGATTCTATAGCCTCCTACCACATTGCGTGGCCTGGGATACACATTCAGGTCCACATTCAGCTTCCCGCGGTGTTTGTATAAACCCAGGATGGTGGTAGATGGGCTCCCCCAACGTGTGGCCTCCAGTCTCGGGCCTGTGCATTGAGGTGCTCGTGGAAGACAGTATCTGCCGGCTCTCTTCCCAGCAGCCTGTGAGTGAGAGCAGGGAGTGGCAAGCTGCCTAATGGAGGAGTTTGACTCAGCGACTTGTCCAGGGTCAGTGTTGGGCTTGTTATCTGGGGCACTCACCGATGTACCACGGGAGCTGCAGCAAGCTACGAACTGAGCAACTTTGTATTCTCATGAGACCCTCAGGCTCTTTTCCCAGCACTGTCTCGCCCGTTCTTGATAATGGGGGAGTATGGTGTTCTTTCTGATACTGGAGCCCGCGTTTCTAATCACAGCACTTCCCCCACTGGTCTAAACATCCTCTGTGGGAAAACAATGTAGAATTGTCACAGCCAGGAGCCACGTTCATTCCCGCTGTGGAAGTCACTTGGGCCTGGCCTATTAGATACCTAGGTTTAAGAAATTTAAAAATCACGGTGATTCCAGTACTTATTTTATTTCTTAAATTCTATCTGTCACATGAGCTGGATTATTTAGAAGACTCTGGGCCTTTTGATCATCGTCCTGGTCATCACTCTTAGCTGTGGAGGATTTTGTTTTTCTTTCACGGTGAAGTTTGAGTCTGTGGGTTTTTATTTTCAGTTGCCAGTTGTTCCCTGTGATCTCGGCTAAATGTGCGTATAATGATGGCCACACTTGGCGGGATGCGCCTCTCTTTTCATCTCATCTGTGCAGGGAGCTTGAGGATAGGCTCCCAGCCATGAGGAGGGCTGCCTGCTCTTTTCTGTCTGACCTGGAGATTCGGGCTGTCCCGCTGTCCGTGCGAAGGCCACCATACACTCCCTTGTCTTGTCCCTGTATGCACCATGCCTTCACAGCTGCCATCTGTGTCCCGGCAGGAATGGCCCTGCCCCCACTTCTGCCTGGCCAGGATGGGACCTGAATCCTTGATTCCACACAGCCACGTCCTTTTCTGAAGGCGCTCTAGAGCAGAAGCAGTGGTCCCTCCTAGTGCTGGGGGGATTGCTGGGCTCCCAGGCCTGGGAGGAAAGGCTTGGAGGCAGTGGGGGTGCCCAGACCTCTGGCTGGCTGTGAAGGGAGAGACAGCCCACCTGTCCCCAGAGGACCCTGTCAGCACCATCCCCTGAGCAGGTCCTGCCCCACAGAGCCAGCCCACCAGCGGTTCCCAGACCTGACTCAAAAGGGAAGCTGTTTTTCTTTTTTTTTTCTTTGACTGTATTGTAATGGATGCAAAGGCACTGTTTTTAAAATATGAATTCTACTTTCTTAAATGGACAGCGCCTTCACCAAGTTCAGAGTTGAGAAGTTACCATAGGGCAGACAGCGAGGTTTCCGTCCACTCCTGTCCCGCAGCCTCCCATCTCCCTTCCCCGAAGGCAGCAACATCCCCAGCTTCTACACAGTCGCACCATAGGCAAGCGTCCTTGGACCTCGCCACTGTCCCCAGAGCAACTCTTGGAGAACAACAGTGCAGATAAAGCCTCTGGTTCTGTGTCCACCACGTTGCCGGTGAGCCGTCTGTCGCCCTTCTTGGCTGTGCTGCTGCTCCGCCTGCCCGCAGAGCCACTGCTCACCGCAGCCTGGCCGTTTGTGACGCTGTGTGTGTTATGCACTACATTTCCACACCATTTATTGAACGATGCACTTCTGGAGGAGACTTTTAAAAATATGTACATTCTTAGCCCCAGGCTGAGTCCCATAAAGGAGATGAGAGCACACCCACAAACCGGTGCCCATAGGCCCACAGCGCCCCAAAGCGGGGAGAGCGGGAGGGTGTGAAGTGGCCCCGATGTTAGTCAAGACCCAGGAAGATACTCCCCCTCCCATGGATCCGGGCGGCTGCCCCCAGCTGCCCTCACAGGACGGTCTGGAGGGGAGAGGAGGGCTTTGTCTGGGAAGCGTCCTGCAGGCCCCACTCTGCACATCCACATGCGTCTCCACTGCAGCACGGCAGGTGATGCGTGTGGTGTCTCAGAGCTAGGATCCAATCACAGTGTCGGGCAGCCGGTTTCTCATTTTACTTATTTATTTGTGAGACAGGGTCTCGCTCTGTCACCCAGGCTGGAGTGTGGTTGTGCGATCACGGCTCACTGCAACCTCTGACCTCTACCTGCCAGGCTCAAGTGATCCTTTCACCTCAACCTCCCCAAGTGCTGGGACAACAGGCACTGTCCCCACCACTGGGCCTGGCCTGTGGTCACTTTTTAAAAGCGTGTTGTGGAACCAGGCTGCTCTGGAACTCTTTGGGAGCCGACCTTTCCAAAGAGCCAGCCCCCAGTCTCTGAGTCACGCTCAGCTCCGTTGGAGCACCCCTTCCCGCTGGGATGTGTTTTTCCCATGTAGCCTTTTTCCCTCGGGAAGGAGAAGTCCAGTCTCCCCTCCTGTTGATTGTTTTCTTCTTGGTTCAGGAAGTATACTCAGGGGAAAAGGAAAATCATGTAAAAGAAAAAAGGGGCGTTCTTTTGTTGCAGTCTCAGTTTGACTCATGAGTTAGAACTGGATTAACGTGAGAGCCTAACTTCTCTCCACTCGACGAAGATCGTGAGCAATAGAACATCCGAGAATGAATAAGTGACGTCTGCAGATTTATTTGTGGGGGAAGTCAGGTTTATTCTTGTCCGTCTCAATTCAGGAGGCTGGGCGTAATGACTAAAGCTATGCTCACTTTATATCTGTCCATTTGTTTAAAACACCAGACTTTCCATTCTTCATTGTCGTTTCGTGTGAATCGAGATTCCTAGGATACGGTTTGTTGTAGCTGGAAGCTCGCCTTTTCTTCCTCTGGGAAAAGTCTACTCTTGAAAAGCCTGCCTCACACAAAACACTGGAAGTTTTAAAACATACATTAAGTGCTGGTCATTGCCCTCCACTCCCTGGGTTGTGTGGGGCCCTGACCATTCTATGCTGGGTGCTGGTGGGAGCAGGTGTGCAGAGATGACCAGGCCTCAGCCCCGCACTGAGTCACCTGCAGAGGCCATGCCCTCCAGAGCCCAGTCTCATGAGCCCAGCCCTTCTTAGGAACTCAGCGTGTTGTCTCTAAAACCGGCAGCCGTCTTATGCAACTGACCATAGCTTAGTGTTGAAATCCACCTGAAAACACATCTTTGGCAAGAATTGAGAAACACATTCCTACCACGTTCAGGTGAAAATGCACCTCATGATGCTGTGTGTGTGCGTGCGTGTGTGTGTGTGTGTGTGTGTGTGCTTTGCTCCTGCACCCTCCTGGAGTAAGCACTTACTTTGCTAAGCAGGTGACTAAGCAGTTGGTTACTTTCCTTCTGCAGGATGTATCTAACTGGGCAACTGTGTGAAACTCGGAAGCTGAGCTGTGTTGCAATTCCCTTGCCTGGGAGGTTGGCAAGTATTTTAATAGTGCACTTCTGCAGTTCAGGTACACTCGATGCCTTTCTAGGAGTTCCTCTGTGTGTAATGACACTCTGAAAGGGGTTCAGTAAACCTATTTTGTTTTGTCTGAAAACACCCACTGACCCAGGGATGTCTGTGGATAGCACGCTCTTGGTTTGTCTTCCTGTTTTGAAAAACCACACTCAGCACCTAGCTAACCCTAAACAGTTTCCTTTTTGGCAGGAATAATTCCTAAGGGGCATGTTTGCCGCAGTCACGTGGGTAACCTGGTAGGGCTTTGTCACAGCAAGCATCTGGGGACTAGAGTGAACCCTGCAGAAATTCACCGCGTGGCCCAGGCAGCAGCCCTGGCTCACAGCAGCCGGGTGGTTAATTTTCTCCATCATGCTTCTGGTCTGATGGTTCTTTCCTCCCTATACTAACTCGGATGAGCTGGAAACTGCTGTTGAGGAACCTGGGGAGACTTTACTAGAAGAGTACCTGGCACTGGGGTTTCCCAGGCGCCCTTCATAGCACCTCCCACAGTCTGGGCTTTCATGGGGCTGCGTGTCTGCAGCTCCTCAGGGCGGGGCAGCCTGCTCTGCCCCGCGCCGGCCCCCTGGCAGCTGTACTGTGGGTGCAGGCACCCCACGTCTAGCATCATGCCTGGTATTGGGGAGGGTGCTACGTAAATCTATACTCAAGGGCTCCTCAGAGTTACAAAGTGAGCAGGTCTCTGTGGGGAATGGGTGGTGGATGCTGGAAGAGGCTGGAGAGCTTGGAGCCTGCTGCCCTCCAGGGGCCAGGGGGAGATGCGGTGGTGGGGGAAGACTGTGAATGGCCACAGCTGGATAGACTCGGTGAAAAGCTGTGTGATTCCACTCATAGGAGGGCCCTGGAGGTGTCAGATTCATAGAGGCAGAAAGCAGAATGGCGGAGGCCAGGGGCTGGGGGAGGAAAGAGGAGTGCATGTTTTGTGGGGACAGAGTTTCAGTCTGGGAAGATGGCGTCGCTCTGGGGTGAGTGGTGATGGTTGCACGGCAGTCTAAGTGCGCTCACCGCCCCTGAGCTGTGCGCTCACAGGGATTAAAAAGGTCAATTCGATGTTGTGTATATTTGATCACAATAAAAATGTGAAAAAAAAAGGGGCGACTTTACAAAGCTAAAAATTGGATTCCCTGCTGACTGGAGACTTATAGCTTGATGGTGACGCAGGTCCAGGCTTGGAGCTGCGACTGCCCACTCTAGTCCAGTGGGAGAGGGTTCGGAGACTCGGGCACGCGTCTGCTGCCCAGGAGTCCTAGGCGTCCACGGAGCAGCACAGGTGGCCCGTGGCCAGCTAACCGCACACTAGAGGGAGAACCACGTATGTGGGCTGGACAGCATTCAGGAGATCTTGACCAAAATAGTTGAGAAACTTCTTGTGCAAGGATGTTTTGTTTAGACTGGGAAGCCTGGATTTCCTTGCATTTCAGATCATTGTATTTTTTAAACAATAAAATGTCAACTATGGTAATTTTTCCCAAAGAGTTACACGCCTGTTATTCTTTCGTCAAGTACTTACGGAGCACCTACCTGCTGGATGCTGGGCATTGTGCCCAGGGCTGGAGGTGAAACGGGCAGCCTGAGGCCTCCAGCTCACTTGGAGATACGAGCACGTGACCTGGCGCTCCCAGTTCGGTGAGGTGAGAAGCGTGCTGAGAGGAGACACTGGCCTGCTGAGCACTCGCTCCAGGGATCGTGGAGCGCCACTTCGGGGAAGGCATGGAGGGCGGCGGTGAGGGACACCGTGTGGCTTTGGGGTGAGGGTTGTGATTTTTGCCCTGGAGGCCCTCCAGGTCTGGAGGAGAAAGATTAGGAAGGACGGTTAAAATATGAGGCATTACCTGCTCGCTTCTAAAGGTAAGCATGGAGTACAGGGGAACAGGGCAGAGGGACACCCAGCGCAATGCAGACAGAAAGATGGGCTGGAAGCCAGGAGGCAGTGCCCCCAAGTTGCAAGGGGTCACTAGGGGTCAGTGAAGCAAGGGTGGCCCTGGGCACAATCTGGGCTGTGGTGTGGTGGGGAGACTGTGGCATGTTATGGAAGTGGTGACTAGTCTAGCATGGCAGAAGTCTGTGAGCTCAGTGCAGAGTGGTGTTTCAGGCAGGGAAGGACGACATCACAGGAGGCCTTACGTGCCACTCCAGGGAGGTGATTTACAGAGAAACCTGAGCGATTCTGCCTTTTTTCAATATTGTGCATATGAGCACTGGTAAAGTAACAGTAGTTTTTAAATCCCATATAGTAAGCAATATATCATATTTTGGCAATTTCCAAACTTACTAGATCGCTATAATTTTCAAAATCTTAGAACATGAACCATACACATTTGAATTAAGACCAAAAAAATCAATTATTTCTGCCGAAAAATGATCATTTAACAAAAGCCAAAAGGAAATTAAATATTAACAAAACAGCACAAATGTGTTTGAACTGATAGGACTGGATACCAGCTAGCTCAGGGACCGATGGAGGTTTGTGTTGATCTGTGGGCCATGTGTTAGTGCTACCCTCTGGCCAGCCCTCCGCGCCCTCATCCACTGGGCACCGCCCAGTGGCTCTCTGAGGAAGGGCGCACTGTTCTCAAGGGAATTACTCCATAAATGTTTAATATTTCCCTAAAACATGTATCAAAATAAAGTTAAATTATGGAAATAAGTGGGCTTTTTGTGAAAGTAAGTTTTAGAATAAAATGCGGCAGTTACTTTGCCATTAAAAGCAATCAGTATACAAGGTGTCCACCAGCAGGATGCTTCCCAGATGATGGTCATTTTGTCATTTAAAAAAAACGGACTATTTAGATCTTACAGAAGGATAGGTACATGTGTAACTATGTCAATAGTATGTTAATAGGATTTGTCTTTGGGTGCAGAATAGGTTGTTTGCCCCCTTTTTAAAGTGAAGCATGGACTTGGATGTGCAGACGTATTTTCTAGCTTGTGAACTATTTGGGAACATCACAGAAACATTAAATGTTGAGTTGGAAGTAACTGTTAGACACTTGATATGTGAGGATTTGGGTGTAGATGTGTTACACAATGGAAAACTTTGGGGAAACTGAGAGTTTGAGTTCCAGTTTGAAGGCAGTCAGGGCTGGGCGAGAGGGAAGATCCAGGGACGGCTTTCTCTGGACGCCTACATGTTGAGTTAAACATGGCTTGGGAAGCCAGTGCCTGGGCTTTGGTGTTAGGGACAAAAGTCCTCAGGGACAGTCGGCACTGCAGGCTCTACGCAGGCAGGGGAGAATCCAGGCACTCACTCTCATGTTTGTTTTTGTTTTTGTTTTTGAGACGGAGTCTTGCTCTGTCGCCCAGGCTGGAGTGCAGTGGCGTGATCTCGGCTCACTGCAACCTCCACCTCCCGGGTTCAAGCGATTCTCCTGCCTCAGCCTCCTGAGTAGCCGGGATTACAGGCACATACCACCACACCCGGCTAATTTTTTTATATTTTTAGTAGAGACGGGGTTTCACCATGTTGGCCAGGCTGGTCTCGAACTCCTGACCTCAGGTGATCCGCCCGCCTCAGCCTCCCGAAGTGCTGAGATTACAGGCGTGAGCCACCACGCCTGGCCAACTCTGATGTTTCGTACATTTCAGTCCAGTTGTTTATTTAACTTTTTGAACATGCACACGCTTAAATTTTTCATTCGAGAACGTGACTAATGAGAATTGCTGCCTATGTTTTGACGGCATGGTTTGTTTTGTTTTTTACCTCGGAGCAGTTTTGTGCAATGCCTGCCCCTCTCTCCCTCTTCCGTAAACCCAGGGCCTGACACCTAAGCTCTGAAACAGTTCCCCATTCTCTGCCAAGCCCAAGGCCAGCCTGGCTCCCTGTGGCTTTGTGCTTTCTTCGGATAATTCACCAGTTCTTATAAGCTTTACGTTAGAATCGTTGTGGGGTTCACAGAGGGTCTTTGGTCCTTCATATTCTCCAGAATACGAATACGTCCTCCTCGTCACCGTGACCCTTGCTAGACCATGACAGCCGAGCATGATTTAACTGCAGCCACACCGGAAGTGCACTCTACAGACACACCCGCTGTGCCCTGGGTTGAAATGCCCCTCACGGTAACCTGACGCTCATGATTTATAAATGGGGCCGCCTGTGTGTCTCATGCATTTAAATTGCTTCACCTGCATGAAGAAGGGGGGTGGCATTTGAGCAGTCAGTGCCGTTCCCTGCTGGTTTCATATCACCTGGTTTTCAGTACTGCTGCTGCTGTGGGTCGGGGGCTTCGGAGTGTGACAACCTTGGACAAGCCTTAACAAGCCAAGCCATGGCTCCTGTGGGTGGAGAGCTGAGCGTGGTCACCTGCACCTTCACTCGGAGATGAAGCAACAAACCCAGTGCTGGAGAGTCAGTTTCGGTTTGCAGAGTGCCTTCCGAGCACCTGCTAGGTAGCGGGCGCATTCCTGTCCTCGGGGAAGGCAGACCAGCGCGGGGACACACATTTAAACAGCCAGTATCATGGTCACCAAGGGGGACAGCCGTTCCAGGCTGGGGAGCAAAAGCTCACAGTGACGCAATCCCAGGAGGTCGAGTCCTGCTGGAGCCTGGCTGTGCTGGGGGGAGGGGCCAGAGCGGAACGTGGAGGTGAGCTGTGTCCAGCTTTCCTGTGCCAGTCGAGACCTCTCCAAAGCCTGTTGTCATCAGTGTAGTTATCAGGGAGGTCACCTCAGGCCACCGCCACAGCCCTGACAGGGTCTAAGGGCCCTCTCCTGGCAGCGCGCAGGAGAATATCCCACGGCAGGCAGACTGCATCAGGACCTGGGGTAGGTTCAAGCTGGCAAGTAACACTCCCTGCCCACCTCTGGACCCTTTGCTGGTGCACACGGAGTCCTGTTGGGGAAGCCAGGCCACCTGCGACCCTGTTTGGGTAGAAAGATGCTAAATGTAGTAACAGGAAAGGGAAATGTCAAAATGGGGTAGCAAATAGGGTTCAAATTGCCAGCCATGAGCAGGGAACAAACAACGGACGCCCTTCTTCCACACTGGCCAGGAAGCCCACCCCGCACCCTTCAGTCCTGGGAAGAGCCCAAGCTAGGCCCACGAGGAGGTGGCCTCTGTCTCTAGAAACCAGGGCTCCAAAGGGAAAGGTGACCTCCTTGAGGTCCTGACGGTGAATGAAGAATGTGAATTGGAGGCCAGCACTTTTCCTTCAAACCAGGCTGCCTTCCACCAGCACCAGCAGGCTAGGGCTGAGGTTTCCGAGGGACGAGATGTGAATTAGGCCTCAGTGGACATAGAGAAGAACAGTCCCCACTCCCTCAGGTGAGCGATGCAGGCCCCGATGTTGGCGACGATTCGCTAATGGTTTATGCCAACAGTGAGCTGTTCAGGATGACTCAGTTCTCATAAAAGCCTGGTGATGATGTTTACAGATTTCTGCAGATCAGGAAACGGACACTCAACAGAGCTAGTAGATGGTAGAGCTGGGATTCAGACTCGGAATTCAGCCTCCACTCAACCATGGGGCCCTAGTGCTGGCCTCTGAAGCTCAGCTCAGCCCAGAGTCAGGTCCAGCCGCAGACCTGCTGGACCTGCCTAGCCAAGGCCCTGCACCAGCAAAACGGGAAAAGCACAGCAAAACGGGTGCCACGCTCCATAGCCGTTTCCCAGGGGCCTGCCGTCTTGGGCAGAAGTGTCATAAAGGGAGATATTGTTAGAGGGTTTTTTATTTCATTTTATTATTTATTTGTTTATTGTGAGACAGTCTCACTCTGTTGCCCAGATTGCAGTGCAGTGGCGCACTCTTGGCTCACTGCAACCTCTGCCTCCCGGGTTCAAGCAATGCTTGTGCCTCAGCCTCCCAAGTAGCTGGGATTACAGGTGTCTGCCACCATGCCCGGCTAATTGTTTTCTATTTTTGCTGCAGGTGGTGGGGTTTTACCATGTTGGCCAGGCTGATCTCGAACTTCTGGCCTCAAGTGATCTGCCTCAGCCTTCTAAAGTGCTGGGATTACAGGTGTGAGCCACCGCACCTGGCTGTGTTTTTTTTAATTTTTAAATACCCAAGATCTTTATTGATAAACTGCAATAGTAACCATCAGTAAGAATTCATTTTTTCCTTAATTTCCAAAAACTTGCTAGTTTTAACTTAATAGCATTCTCAAGCCACATCTAAATCAGTGTGTGGCAGTAGGCAGGGTACAATGAACGAATGTCTGCAGCCCAGCTGTGTGCTGGAACCAGCTCATCCTGGCTCCTGAGAGCCAGCTTAAATTTTCAAGAACTTTGCGGGCTGGCCGTTAACACATCCATTGTGAAAAAAGTTACTTGCTTACAGTTGATTTAGGTTAGCAAAGTTAACGCGCACTTAGCACTTCCTAATGCCCGACTCCCTTTCGCCTTGGTGTGTCTGCCTGCTGTACCTGCGGGGCAGAGGTGCCGCTCAGCGCTGGCTGCTGCTCCTCTCCACTCCTGTTCAGCGACGTCACCTCAGCAGCTTGAGATTGGGCGGGGTGGTAGCATCTACACCATGGAAAGTGGCAACCACTGAAAGGAGACGCCAGTCCAGCCCAAGCTGGTCGTGAGCGTTCACCCGGGAGCCATTGAGTGCGTGTGTTCCCGTTGCAGCTCGCGAGCGCTCACCTGGGAGCCACTGAGTGTGTGTGTTCCCGTTGCAGCTTGTGAGTGCTCACCTGGGAGCCACTGAATGTCTGTGTTGAGCCACTGAATGTCTGTGTTCCCGTTGCAGCTGGTGAGCGCTCACCTGGGAGCCACTGAATGTCTGTGTTCCCGTTGCAGCTTGTGAGTGCTCACCTGGGAGCCACTGAGTGTGTGTTCCCATTGCAGCTCATGAGCGCTCACCTGGGAGCCGTTGAGTGTGTGTGTTCACGTTGCAGCTCCTGAGTGCTCACCTGGGAGCCACTGAGTGTGCGTTCATGTTGCAGCAGCAGCATTCCCTGTCTTCACCTGAGGCCTTGGCGTGATTGTTCCATGCTTGGGCATTTGGGGTGTTTCTGGCCATCTGTTATAATCAAAGCTACAAACAGCAGTATATAAGGGTGGCAGCTGGATTTCCCATCTGTCCCTAATTCAAACCATAAAGGCTTATAGCTGAAGGGGACATTTGCTGTCATCTTGTCCAAGCCTTGGACGTGAACCAGCCCATGGCCAAAGCATGGCGCACAGAGCAGCGGGGCTGGCGTGTGATGGATTGTTGAGGTTCCCCGGCCCCATGTGTGGGAGCCTGAGGGGGGTTCCCCCGCCCCCTCCAGTCCCTAGCATCTGTATGAGCTTAGGCAGATGATATAATCCATTGGAGGCTCAGCTTCACCCCTGAAGACCCCTTCTGTAGGCCAGCGGCAGAGGAGAGATGCAGAGCCTGAGTCGGGCACTTGGCGTGTGGGGCCTGGCCCCACTGGAATGTACTGTTCCTGCCATTTTCACTGGGCCTGGGCAGTGCTACGTGACCTGGAGCCTTGGTTACCCAGGCACTACCTTCCAGTGCCCATGGAGGGAGGAGAACCTTGGTAAAGAACTGAAGTGGGGTCTCCTGATCTCGGGCCATTTGCCCTCACCAGGCGCTGTTGAGAGGCGTCGCTGTGTACTGGGCCTTCGCGCACACAGAGCAGTCTCATGTGGCAGTAACTTCCTAGTGGGATCCATGGCTCGGTGCCGTGTGGCAAGAGTGTTTCCTACTGTGCCTGTCAATGTAGTGGGCTGGGCAGGGCCCACAGTGGCTCTGTGTCTGATGGGGGAGGGTCCCCCATGGTCCCTGGGTCTCTGCCTGCACCTTGGCTCGAGGGTTCTTTGTCTGGAAGATGCCAGGTGGCCAGGTGACCCGACCACTCGGTGTGGGTCCCGCAGTGCCAGCCGTCCGCCCACCTGCTGTTGCTGGGTGCTCCCCCACGTGGCATCCGACTCCAGGTAGCTGCGCGGCCCTCTTGGAGCAGCCCCTCCTAATGTGCCCTCTTCATCCAGTGGTGACCTTGTGATCCAAGCCTTTGACCTCGGGGACTTAGCTGGTCATCTGGTCCAGGGAGTACTAGGTTGGACCAAACCGGCCTCCTCATGGTCCTCCCCCCACCAACTTGCAGCGTGGCCTTCACGGGGACCTGCGTGTCCCAGCCCAGGCACCTTTGAGGGGTCCCTGCTGCCTCTGGCGCGAGGGGCCACACTCTCAGCCCAGAGCCAAGGCCTTCCCGGCCTGGCTGTCCCTGCCCTGTCTCCGGCGCTCCTTCCCACACTGTGCCCTTCATCCCACCCTCCGCACCCATCCTGGGACCTGCCAGGTCCTTTCTCTTCCGGGGTGACCTTAAGCCCTAGAAACGTGACCGAATGTGGCTTCTCCCACACTAGTGTTCTTTGCAGAGAGGGCCTGTCAGGTGCTGGTCTTTCCCTCCATTTTACAGGGGAGAAGAGAGAGGCCGGGCGGGGTGGGGGAAATGCCTCACTGGGTGTCACACGCTGTTGCCGCCGCCAGCACAGCGTCCCCGGAGCAGGAGGTGCTCTGCCCCAGCATCCGCATTCCTGGATCCCCGGGTGGGGCAGGCCTGGTTCCGCGTCGTTGGGGCCGTCATCAGTGCCACGTTCCCAATTTGGCTGGCAGAATGCACTCACCACGCCTGTGCCACATGCTCTCTGGCAGCATTTCTCTTCTTTTCATTTCTTCAGAAAATGGACAGTGTCAGCATTGCACTTCCCTGGGCAGGAGACTTTTCAGGTGGCTAATTCCACAGGAAGATAGTGTCAGGTATAGGTGCCGGGGCAGCGGCCGGACTGTCCCCAGACACAGCGTGCGCTCGGGCAGCAAGGCCGGGCGGCAGAGGCAGCACTGGCCTGGGCGCTGCTCCTGGCGGCCCCCCAGCCACCAGGGCCCTACCTCCCCCGCTGCTTACCCCATCCTGGAGCTGGGCACGCTTGGGGCTTCAGACCTTCACGTGGCCACCGGAGCTGCTGTCTCAGGACCCCTCTCCGGCACAGCTGTTTGTCTCCAATACAAGGACTGTCCTGTGAGTGTGCAGGGCCCTGTTGGCCGTGCTGGGAACCCTCGGCACCCATGGGTCTTTGCGGCCGCTTCCCTCTCTGCCTTCTGTCCTGAGAGGCTTTCTGATGGAAGGGCGGGGACTTCAGGAGCGGCCCTCCCTTGTTGAGATGGGGTGCTCTGACAGCACCTTTAACTTTAAAGACCTCCAGGGCCCAGCCCTGACAGCCACAGTGGGTCTTATTTGAGTCGGTGATGCAGAAACAGAGGCCTGTGCTTCTTCAGCTTCTGGGAAACCTACTTCCAAGAGTCTACTCACCGGGCCGGCTGTGTTGTGGAAAATAGTCTAATGCGGCCTCTGACATGTAATTCATTTACCGAGAGTAAGTAGACTTGCAGAGAACTTTCTTATCATCGTGTAATGGTGCTGTGGTGTTGTCCTTCCAGCATTTTGAACTCACTGCCCATGGATGTCATCAGAGCACCACGGCCTCGGGAGTGCAGGCAGGGATCTAGTGTCCAGCGCTGAGCTGTGCGCACCATGTTCTCCTTTAATCTCCATAATGCCCACCTTTCCCAGCGTGCCCCTTTACATGCAGGGCAGCACGTTCAAAGCCCAAGCTGCTCCAAAGTCCCGCAGCCAGAGTGGGGTGGGCTGCAAGCTCAGAGCCGAGCATTTCTGCTTGGAGGCCTTGTGGCCCCTGCTGTTGGCCAGGCTTTGGCTGTGAGGGAGGTGCAGGTAGGGAAGTCAGGCTCATCACCCAGTGGGTCTGTTGTCAGGGCCCACCTGGCACGCACTGGAGTGGCAGCAGGGTCTCTGCCATGGGTGCAGGCCGTGGTCTGCGGGTGCCGTCACCTGCCACGTGCTTGTTGAGAGCCTCCTAGGATGCGGTCCTGGATGGTCCCACTGCCTTGAAGCTTGTGGCCTTGACAAGGGAGTGCCTGGACACCAGGGGAGCTGCCCCTACCCGGGGAAGGCACTGGCTGGACCCTCCCCAGTGGCCGTGGCTGAGGTTCTGAGCGGGATGTGAGCCTGGTGTTTTCTAGAAGAGGAGGTAGGGTGGGGTGGGCGGTTGGAGTCTGGTGTGGAGAGGGAAGCGGTCTGGCATGGGCTGTCCAGCCAGTGGGTAGGGTAGGGTGTTGTGGGCTGCAGGCATGAGGCAGGACTTTGAGGGCCCTGGACGCCACGGCAGGTGCAAGCAGTGGGTTTTAGGTGGTCACTCTGACTGCAGGTGGCGGGTGGGTTACGGAGGATGAGGGAGGAACCAGGGGTCAGTTGGAAGCCTGCTATGCTCACAAAACTCTGCTCCTGAGAGTGCAGCTCTTTTAAGGGCACTAAGCAGTTATTGAATGTCAGGTAAGGGGGGAAGGTAAAGTACTTCAGGCAGAGGCAGCAGTGTCTTCGAAGGTCCCATGGGCGGGAGGAGCCGATGGGGAGACAAGTGTACGGCGGGGATGTGCAGCCGAGGAGGCAGCGGCACCTGGCGCCAGGTGGGCTGTGGGGCGGGTGGTGTTGGTGCCCGGGGTCCTGACAGCATGAGTGGTGGGTGACAGAGCCTTTTCTCTGAGTTAGGGGACCCCAGAGGAGGTCTAGATATGAAGCGGCACATCCAGAGATGGGTTTGGGATGTATTGAATTAGAACTTTCCTTTCTCTCTTCCAAGGCCTGGGGTAGCTGTTGGCTTCTGGAACTGATTGACCCCTGAGCTTAGCCAGGGCTGCAGGACATGGCCTGACCTGCATTTTGTGCTCTTCAGGAAGCTTCCGGAATCTCAGGCCAAAGGCCATACGGTTGTTTATACAGCTACGATAACATCACTGTGTCATCACAAAGATGTTTGCTTGTTGCAACATCTGTTTTAAAGAGCCGAGAATGGGTGGCTGTGCTGATAGGGCAGAGAGGAGCCCATGCTCCAGCTGCGGGGAGTGCCTGCCCGAGGAGCTGGCCAGTGAAGACAGGTGCCTGCCAGTGAAGACAGGTGCCCACAAGCTGGACACAGGGTCGGCCCTGAGACAGGACAGCAGCTGCGGAATGTTCCCGCTGGCTTTCTGGAGCGCCAGCGTCCTGCTTGGGTCTGGCCAGGGGCCTCTAGCCAGGCTGTTGAGGCGCCCCTCCTTGTTGAAGAGGAGAAACAGTGGCCCCCTGGGAGTTGCTGGGAGGTGCCTGGCACAGGGCGGCAGGGACAGCATCATCTATGGGGAAAGCAAGCCCAGCCTCAGGGCTGTCCCGTCCAAAGACCCTTGTGAGTCCACTGAGGTCAAATCAATGGAGTCTTCAGAAAGGTTAGAATGCTCAATTTCAAAACTGCTGCCTCCACCCAGATCACTCCATCTAAAGCTTGCGGTGAGCCACAGCCTCTCGGGCACCCAACAGCTCCACTCCACACAGCTCTCCCCTCAGGGCTCTGCCTCACCCTCTAGAAATGAGGCGCTGGGTCCTGGGTTTCAAGTTTCAATTCCTCCTCTCCTACAAAAGGCCAAAGCCCGGGAACTTATTGTCCCCGGCCCTTCAATGCCAGATTCTCCCACAGGGTTCAGAGAGCCATGGCTGGCACTCCGGGAGGGGCTGGGTGGGCCGTGGGTGTTGGAGTGGGAAGGCGGCACATGTGAGAACACTCAAGGTGCTGCTGTCCCCTCCACCCTAAATGACGGGCCGGTTTGTAGTAGGCTCAGGAAAAGCACCTGAGCTTGCCCCTCTTTTCACCCCCTCCCTATCTTCCTGTGGCTGTAGTGGTTCTGGAACATTCCTTGCAGCTGTGGGGCCCTCGCCAGCACAGAGCCTCAGTGCCGGGGGCCCAGTGCCAGTGGCCCTTCCCCTCTTGCAAGCAGGTGGCCCGAGCCCTGGGGGCCCGGCTCCCCCGGCCCAGTGTCTTTCCTGTCTGGGGCCCTTCAGAAGTGGCTCCTGACAGTGTTCCTTGACTTAAATTCATCAGAGGTCACTCAAGGATGCTAAGCCTTTCCCACGCAGGACTTGTGCTCACGAGTTTCGCCGCACTGTGGCATTTGGTCCCAGCACACAAGCGTATCTTGATGTGGAAGCTTTGTCCATTGAAAGAAAGAATGCAAGTTCCTGTTCCCATTGCGGATCTTTTGTTAAACATTTATAGGCGACTTTCCCACTCCTTGCCCTCCCCACCCCCCGCCAGTCTCCCCTCACCAGAAAGTCCCAGTTTATCACACACGGCACTGTGAACAGGAGCCGCCACACGTGACCCGAGCGTCGCCCGTGACCTCACACAGCCTGCGGCCGAGCGGTGACACAGTATTTCCTGTGAACGGAGAGCCTTCCTGGTCTCACCATTGTTGTTCAACTTTTCCCTGGGAAAAAACAAAACTTATTTACTGGGCCCAGCGTTGTGTGTGTTTGGAGCCGGGCTGGGAAATGCCCCGTCAGAGCCGTCCCAGTGGCAGCCCCCTGCTACGAACGGGGGAGACCGAGTTCTCACCGCCGGGGACGTCAGAGCAGGACCTGCGAGGCAGGGAGGCGGCAGCTGTGCCCTCCCGGGGCCGTTTTGAAGATACGATGAAAAGTGTTTATTTTTCTTGCCAAGGTGCTTAAAACAAAGGAAGCTGTCCCCTGATACTCGGGACCACTCACTCCTGCAGCCTGGCTCTGTGGGCACCCGGCAGGCGTCCCGTGGCCGTGCTGCCTCAGGTGCTGGGGACTGAGATGGAGTCGCTGACTTCCTATTGGGCTTGAGCTTTCCTTGCAGCCTGGAATTCACTTTTAGGCTGACTGGGGAGGGAAGAATGAGACAGACACTGCTGGCCCTGTCCCGGCCCCCCGGCCTGTCTCTCCATCCTCGGCCTGACCTGCTCATGGTGTCTGCGGCCTTCACCCCGTGACCACTCCCGAGGGAAGCCGCCTGCGACCCTGGCAACCCTCCTGCCTTGTGTACCCCAGTCGTGGGTCTCCTGCTCTGGCCAGATTCTGGATTCCTCCAGAGGGGACAGGCCAGCACCTGGGGTGGCGCCAGGCCCACCGAGAGGTTCAGCAGCGACAGCTGTCGTTGGGTGTAGATGCTTGGTGCCAAGGCGTGCCGCCCCTTCCAGGGAAAGCACGTGGGGCAGGGCACCTTGCGCACCAGCATTGAGAGCACCCCAGCAGGAGGCCCGTGTGCTGCTCGCCGCACTGAGCATCGTGGGTGGGAGGCACGGGCGGTGGTGCCACGGTGGGCTCTGTGTCTCCACTGATCCCCTTTGAATGTGCCAAGTGCCAGTCCCGACGTGTAGACTTGGGGTTGTCCAAGCAGAGGGGAAAGATGGAGAAAGGAAGCCCCACAGTGTCTTGTTGAGGATTGGAACGCGGGCCCTGACACCGCAGGGTGTAAAGTTAAAATCACGATGTCAGGCCATGAGGAACGGTCCAAGGCTTCCAGGCACAGTCCATGGCAGCTGTGTGGTTTGAGGGGCTGACCTGGGTCCCAAGGCAGGCCGGCCAGATGTAGGGGTGAGTTAGTGGGAGTCAGAGAGAGGCGTGGGGAGGCCTGACCTAGGGCTGGGGGCTGGCAACACAGGAGAGACCAGGGCCGGGGCCGCACGGAGGCTGGGGCAGCTGTGGGGACTATAGGAGTCAGAGCTGAGGGCAAAGGGGAGGAGGCTGGCGGGTGGAGGTGCCCAGGGAGGCCTGGGGCCGGGTCCCACCAGGCTCTGGAGGGGCCTGTGGGACAAGGGTGGAGAAGCAGCCTCCACAGGAGGACTGGGAGCCGAGGGCCTGGCCCGGGCCTAGCGGTTCCCCCCAGTGCCCTGTGCCTTCTTGTCTCCCGGGGTGAGAAGCCTCCCTTCTGGGCTGGGGACGGCTGCCTGGTCCAGGGCTGCTCCGGACCCAGCGTCTTCCCGGCTCCCAGGGTTGGCAGCACAAAGGCGGGACAGGCCTGTGCACGCAGCGCCTCCTCTAGATTAGGTGGGCTGGGTCGCACCTGCAGGTCCTCCCCACCCTCCTGACACCCAGCCAGCGCTTGGGGCAGAAACCAAGTAGGAAGGTGATGGCTGGAAGAGGGAATGCCTGGGTTTCTCTCTTGGCACCGCTTTTAACCCGACTGTTGGCCTTCGTTGACGCAACACAGGGTGGCTGAAACTTGGATAGTTAACTCCACTCTGCCTTTCTTGAAGAACCCACAGGCAGAGTTCGGGTGGAGTTAGGAGATGGGGCGGGAATTTCAAACCCTCGTGTTAAATAAAACCATGAACACTCTCAGAGGAATATAGCAGTGTAGTCTATGACACATCATTCACAGTGTCTAGGATACAACTCAATGTTATTAGACATGTTTTTTTTAAAAAAGAAAAGGCGACCGTTGCTGGAGGACGGCAGCAGTGGAGGCTGACCCACGATGATGTCGCGTGTCGCACTGGTCAGATGGGTGTGCGTAACTACACCCAAGGACAGAAAACATGCTCAGAATGGAGAGCACAGAGTCCCAGCAGAGAAATGGAAGCTACAGAAATAGAGCCAAGTGGAAATTCTAGGTCTGAAAACTACAGTATCAAAATAGAAAATGAACCAGATGGGGTTAACAGCAGATTGGAGGGGACAGAAGAGTCAGTGGACTTCATGATATGTCAACAGAAATGATCATATAGAGATTAAAGCCTGAAAAAAGAAATGAAGAATGCTCCAGGAAACAGAGGGATGATCTCAAAGGTCTGATGTCTGTCATGGGAACCCCAGAAGAAAGGAAATAGAGAATGGGATGTAAAACCTTTGCAGGGGCAGGTGCAGTGGCTCACGCCTGTCATCACAGCACTTCGGGAGGCCGAGGTGGGCAGATTGCTTGAGCTCAGAAGTTTGAGACCAGCCTGGCCAGCATGGCAAAACCCTGTCTCTACAAAAAATACAAAAATTAGCCGCCGGGTGTGGTGGTGCACACCTGTACCCAGCTACTCGAGAGGCTGAGGCACAAGAATTGCTTGAATCCAGGAGGCCGGAGGTTGCAGTGAGCTGAGATTGTGCCACGGCATTCCAGCCTGGGTGACAGCAAGACCCTGTCTCCAAAAACAAAACAAAACCAAAAAACTCACAGCTTTGAAGTAAGACGTAACGGGATGAACGGGATGTTTTCTAAACTTGGTGAAACGTATAAATCTACAAATTCATAAAGCTCCAGAAAGCCCAACCAGGATGTGTGTCCAGAAATCCCTGTCTAGGCTTGTCATTGTCAAACTGCTGAAAAGCAGCAGTAAAGAGAATCTTTAAGGCAGCCAGAGAAAAAAGGATCCATGACATACAAGGGGACACTCATGGGAATCACCACAGCCGCCCTGTCAGAAACCATGGGGTTCAGGACACAGTGGATCACATCTTCGAAGATCTGGGCTGGGAGGAATTAACCCAGAATTCTGTGTGCAGCAGAAATATTCTTCAAGAGTGTAAGTGTAATAAGGAGAGTTCAGACAGAATCCAAGAGCATTTGTCGTCAGCAGAGCCCCTCCTATTAGAAATGCTAAAAAAAAAAAAAACTACAGAAAATCCTTCAGGATTAAGCGAAGGGATATCAGATGAAAAGTCAGAGTTTTCAGAAAGGAAAGAGGACTGCTGGAAATGGTAAAGTGGTTTGGTTCAGGTCAGCTAGTGTTCGAGCCCTCTGTGGGTCACAGGTCCCATCTGGTGCCAGACTGGGGTGAGTGGTGGAGAGAGAGGAGTGAGCAGCTACGGCCCTCTGGGGGCACGGTCTCTCGTGAGTGCATGTGGGTGGCCGAGGTGGCTTCAATGCTGTGTGGAAAACGCAGGACCTGGCGTGCGCAGGGTTGGCGGGGGCCTCCTGGGTGGATGGCCCCCAAGGAGTTTGAAAAGGGACAGCAGGAGGGGTTCCCAGGCAGGGAGGTGAGAACCAGCGCGCTGCTACAGGAGGCACCGAGAGCCCTTCTGGGTGCCCAATCCAGAGGAGCCAGGACCGCACACAGGCTCCGCAGCTCTGCGAGGGGCTGCCTGGCACGGGTTTGCCGACATACATTGGTACAGTCTGCATGTGGTGGGAGTAATGACCGCTTCCCATTCTTTCTGAGGTTTTGAGTGTTGCGCCCTCTGCGTAGTTTTGATAAAGAGACTTTTCTGAGAAATAGGCTTCCTGATGGATCATTATTAACAAGGGCAGGGACTCAGTTCCGGTGAAGCTGAGGAACCCGGGTCTGCCGTGTAAACTCTCACCCATCCAGCGGACACGCGTCACATACTTCTCGTTTCCTGAAACATCAGTCCTTTCTGCTGACTCCGAGTAGGAATAAAATGTACCCTTCCTGAAGTTGTGTGCAGTGCAAAGGTCAAAGCAAACACCTTAAATCCTCGGCCGAATGCATACATGTTTTAGTGAGCACATTAGCAATAATTTTGAAAGGTGCTTCCCTCCTCCTCTGAAAATGATTTCCTCCTCCCACACAAGTTTATTTTTCTTGCTAGCTCAACACAATATTCTCAATGGCTTTTGGCAGTGTACAATGTTAGCCAGATGAGCCGCTGGCGTGCCAAGCACCTTTATTTCGTAAGGAAGTGTTTTACTGACGTATAGTATGGGGAGAGGGCACAGATCTCAAGTCCCCTGTGGGATGAATTGGCACCGCGTGACTGGAGCGTGGGACTCCCATCCAGATCAAGAACAGACACCCGACCCCGCTTCAGCCACTGCCCCCTGCCCCCTGCCAAGGGCAACCGGCACCCAAGTTCTCACAGTGGAGGGTCCTTTCCGCGCCTTTGGACATCACACGACAGGCGTCAGAGGTGCGTGGTCATCTGTGTGGCTGCTTCGCTCAGCGCTGTGAGTGGGCTCGTGCTCACGGCTGCACAAGGCGGCCGCTCGTTCCCGTGCTGTGGTGCTTGTGACTGCCGACACTGTTTGCCCGCCTGGTTGGTGATGGACACGCGGGTTTCTGTGATAGGGAGGCAGCGTGTCAACTCAGGGACAGAGTTTGAAATCAGGTAGCCCTGGGCTGGAATCCTAGCTGTGTGACCTGGGGTGGATTACTTAACCTCTCTGAGCTTCAGTTTCTCTGTCTGCAATAGGCACCATATTTCCTACCTCCCTGGGTGGTCAGGAAGGAGAATGTGAGCATGACAGGTGCCATCTGCAACCCCTTGGCTCCAGCTGGAGACACTCATGGTGCATCCCCCTGCCCCCACTCAGTGGCCACACAGAACAGCCTTTTGCTGGCTGTGGGGACCCTCTGCAGGACCCTCCATGGTACATTTTCAGCCAGTGAGGTCTAGAAGTCGTGGGCCCTTCCTGCCTCTGTGAAGCTGCAGTCACCGTCCTGCTCTTGTAGACTGTCTGGTGTCAAGGGACAGTGGCCCTGTGCCTGCCACCCTCAAAGTGGCCTTCAGCAGCCCTGAGGCCCTGGACAGCACCAGCAGTGTGGAGGGGCTCAGCCCTGTGTCCAGCCCTGGGCGGGGCGCCCTCCATGTGCCTGCACAGTCAGTGTGTGCTGCCCCTTAGGCTCGGGCCAGTGCAGGTGGAGCCCACTGGCACTCCAAGGCCTGGCTGCTTTTCTCTGGCCATCTGATGCTTACAGCTGGGGCTGGGTTGATTTCAGGTCATCTGGCCTTGCAGAAAAAGGAAAGTCTACCCCGTGGAGACAACCTGAGCAGGGGATGTGCGCATGCGTGCGTGTACACAGAGGCACCTGCCTGTCGCGGGGCTCCCAGGAAAACTGTGGCAGAGCCCGGCCAGTGCCTGCGTGTGCGACGGCCCTCGTGTCCCTTGCAGGCCTTCCGGAGCAGTACTACAGCCTCACCTGGTTCCTGAGCCCCATCCTTGGCCTCATCTTCACACCTCTCATTGGGTCTGCGAGTGACCGGTGCACCCTGAGCTGGGGCCGCCGGCGGCCCTTCATCCTCGCCCTCTGCGTTGGCGTCCTCTTTGGCGTTGCACTTTTCCTTAACGGCTCTGCCATCGGTAAGTTTCTCGGCCACACCTGGTGTCCTCACAACACAGACGGGGTCCTGGCCCTGGGTAGCTCCTCTCATTAAAAGCTGAATGGTGTTGAATATTCAGGCTGACCCTCTGTGGGCCTGGCTGGGCTGCCGGGGCCACCCTGGCGGTGACCACCCCTGGCAGCGCCGAAGCTGGCCCCATGTGGGAAAGCCGGAGGAACCTGTTCACAGGGAAACGCTTCCTGTTGTGATGGTTTGTTTTTAATGCGTATCTGACACCACGTCCTGTTTCCAGCATTCTTTCAGAAATTATCTTGTCTTTTTTTGTTCTCCTTTTCTTCGACTTGGTGTTAAAATGTCCAGAACCTGGTTTGATGTTTGTGTTTTGCCTTCTTGGTTGTTGTTTTCTTTTGAATTAAAGCAACTCTGTGTGGGAAAATAGTTTTTGCCTTGAGGGCACCCATCAAAACTGTTAAAACATTTTTCTGGCAAGAACTTTTTGAGACAGAGGAGCTTAATCTGTGTTCTGAACTAGAGGAACTTGCCCCGGGCCTGCACTGATGCGGAGGGAGCTGAGGGAGTTAAGCGGCAGGAGGAGAGGCCCCGGGACGCTTCTCAGAGCCTGAGTGGGCACTGGCCATGGGGTGGGCTTCGTCGCCAACAGGCGATGCCTCTGACTGCGTGTGGGGGTGCGGCTGCCCTGGCGCCTGCTGGGCGCGGAGCTGCCGGCCCCCTGCCTGTCCGTGTCCCTCGAGAGCAGCCCTCCCCTCCCTGCTGGAACAACGTGGCTTCCCAGGGCTGTGTCCTTGGGGGTGGTCCTGCCCAAATGTGACCCAGATGGCAGCCAGCTTGGGAGCCCCAGCCCCTCTGCCTCGGAGCCGTCGCCTGCCCGTGGTCTGAGGAGGCCAGCAAGGACCACCTGGGCAGAAAGCCCTTCTCCCGCGCCTCCCACGGACAGGTGTGTCTGTGTTCAGGCCTGGGTCCCGGGCTCTGGCCCGCAATTCCTCTAATCTTGTCAGGAGGGCACTGCTTGTCTCCCTGGTGGGAAGTGGAGACCCAAGGTGAGCCTCAGCCATCAACATTGATCTGGATTCAGGGGCAGACTCCCCTGAGGCAGGAGGGACATGGGTGGGACTGCTTTTGAGTGCCGGCAGCCCACTGCAGGAGGACTCGTAGGTGAGGTGCGGCCACTGGCATCTTTCTCTCTAGAGCCACGTCTCCTGAACCCAGGCTGCCCCGAGAACTTGTGTGCAAAGCCCCTAAAGTTTGGGGTGTCGTTTCCTTTCAGACCTAGAGCAGGCCCAGCGAGACCCCCTGCGCCTGCCTCGCGAAGCCTCATCAGTGTCCCCTGCGGGTTGTCTGTGGCATGAGCGCCTTTCCCTGTGGGCGTCTGCACTACCATGTGCGGCCTTCTTAGCGACAGTGAATTCATGCTTCCAGCACAGCAGCCGTCCTCTGATGGCCGGGGTAGAAAGGTCTATTCTTCCCCTTTCTGTTTGAAAAACATCAAGGGCGCGTAAACCCTTGGAGGTCTGATAAACAGCTAACCGAACGGGGAGAAAAACCCTGGAACCCTCAGAAGTGCGTGGAACAAAGCCCAACTCCTTTCCGCTGCCTCTGTGCCTAAGAGCCTCTCTCTTGTGCTGGAAGGCTGGCATGGTTTTGTGGCCGTGCCCCCTCCGCATGCCCCTTCCATGTGGCTGTTTGCTATCAGGCCCACCCTGGCCAGTGCTTGAGGACCTGACCGCCCTCCCGTGTGCTCTGCGCAGGTCTGGCCCTCGGCGATGTCCCCAACCGGCAGCCCATTGGCATCGTGCTCACGGTGCTGGGAGTGGTGGTCCTGGACTTCAGCGCCGATGCCACCGAGGGGCCCATCCGTGCCTATCTGCTGGACGTGGTGGACAGCGAGGAGCAGGACATGGCCCTCAACATCCACGCCTTCTCTGCCGGTAACGCTGCCGCACCAAGGCTGGGTGGCCGGGTTCCAACGTGCCCGGGCCTGGTGTGGGGAGGGGACAGGAGCCTGTGTTGTCAGCGCTGCCTCATCAGGCTGCATGGAGGGTTGAGGCAGTGGGCAGGGTCTTAGGGCTGGAAGGTAACCAGGGGCAGCCCCTCCTGACCACCAAGCACAGTGGGGCCAAGGCACTGAGGAGCTTCAAGGGGCAGGAGGCCAGGCCTGCAGAGGGTGACATGCATGCTGGCACAGTGAACCTCCCAGCCCTGCACTGACCTTGCCCTCCAGCAGGGCAGTACTCCCATCCAGGGTGAACGTGGCCAGCTCCGTATGCAGAGGGAATGCCCTTCAGTGCAGAGAGGCGCACACTTGCATCCGTCCTGGGGTAGTCTGCCCTTCATTGATCAAGGGGCAGTTCTGTCGGGTCAGAATTCTCAGACCCAGCAGCAGCTGCAGTTTCTTGTTTTGTTTTCCTACTGCTTTCTCCTTCTCCAGCCCCTGACTCCCATCATGAGGGCAGCCCCGGCCCCCTGTTAGAGGGAGAGGCCCTCCCAGAGCTTCCCCCCCTGTGGCCTGGTGCCACCGGCTCACCGGCTGCTGCTTCCTCCCACGCAGGCCTCGGCGGAGCCATCGGCTACGTGCTGGGTGGGCTGGACTGGACCCAGACCTTCCTGGGCAGCTGGTTCCGGACCCAGAACCAGGTGCTCTTCTTCTTTGCCGCCATCATCTTCACGGTGTCCGTGGCCCTGCACCTGTTCAGCATCGACGAGGAGCAGTACAGCCCGCAGCAGGAGCGCAGCGCTGAGGAGCCCGGCGCCCTGGATGGGGGCGAGCCGCACGGCGTCCCTGCCTTCCCAGACGAGGTACAGTCGGAGCACGAGCTGGCCCTGGACTACCCGGACGTGGACATCATGCGCAGCAAAAGCGACTCGGCATTGCACGTGCCGGACACCGCGCTGGACCTGGAGCCCGAGCTGCTGTTCCTGCACGACATCGAGCCCTCCATCTTCCACGACGCCTCCTACCCCGCCACCCCCCGCAGCACCAGCCAGGAGCTCGCCAAGACCAAGCTGCCCCGCCTGGCCACCTTCCTCAAGGAAGCCGCCAAGGAGGACGAGACCTTGCTGGATAATCACTTGAATGAAGCTAAAGTCCCAAACGGAAGTGGCTCCCCCACAAAAGACGCCCTCGGCGGCTACACCAGGGTGGACACGAAGCCCTCGGCCACGTCGAGCTCCATGCGGCGGCGGCGGCACGCGTTCCGCAGGCAGGCCTCCAGCACCTTCTCCTACTACGGCAAGCTTGGGTCCCACTGCTACCGCTACCGGCGCGCCAACGCCGTGGTGCTGATCAAGCCGTCGCGCAGCATGAGCGACCTGTACGACATGCAGAAGCGGCAGCGGCAGCACCGGCACCGGAACCAGAGCGGGGCCACCACCTCCAGCGGGGACACCGAGAGTGAGGAGGGGGAGGGCGAGACCACGGTGCGCCTGCTGTGGCTCTCCATGCTGAAGATGCCCAGGGAGCTGATGCGGCTGTGCCTCTGCCACCTCCTCACCTGGTTCTCTGTCATCGCCGAGGCCGTGTTCTACACCGACTTCATGGGCCAGGTCATCTTCGAAGGCGACCCCAAGGTGAGTGCTCGGCCACCGGAGCGGGGCCGCTCTCTCTGCCCACCTGCGGCTCACGGAGAAGCTCACGGGCTGGGCCGGGGGGCCTCTTCCTCGTGCCCACGCGTGTCAGGGAGGCCACACAGTGCCTCCCGTGCAGGTGAGGGACCCGCGGCAGGCAGCTGGCCCGCGCGCGCCTCTGGGAACTTGGTGGGGGCCGTCCTGGGGTCATGGGGTGGGTTGCAGTGAGGCCCGCGGTGAGCAGTCGTGAATGCTGATACTGGTGTGAACGGGGTGTCTGTTACTGTGTGTCAGACTACCCCAAAACGGCAGCTAAGATAATGGCCTGCTGTTGACCATGCCAGGCTCATTGGTGGCCCTTCTGGCCCCTGTGGTAACGGCTGGGTCACACCTGTGGCTGCGTTTGCCAGGAGAACCAAGGTGCCCTCAGCACACGCTCGGGCCTCCTGTCTCCATACGGTCCCTCCCTTTCTGGTCCAGTCTGAGCTGCTCCATGCAGTGGCTCCGAGAGGGCCACGGCAGAGGCTGCGGGAGCGTCACTTCTGCAAGTCCAGACCAGCCCAGACTGGGGACCGGGAGACACACAGAACCCTCCGCCTCTTGCCGCGGTGGCAGAGTCACGTCACAGAACATTCGTGGTCTGGGAGGCATGGAAATGCTTTACAGATAGCAACCGACTTGGGCTGGGCTCTCCTCCTGGATGGGACTTTCCTGTCACCGCTCTTAGAATGAGCAGCCGGCCAGCAGTTCCCATGGGAAATACGCTCCTGGCCTGGAGGGCCCAGCAGATGCCCTCGTCAGCCCCCGTCTCATTTCCGGAACAGGCCCCCTCGAACTCGACCGCCTGGCAAGCCTACAACGCCGGGGTCAAGATGGGCTGCTGGGGCCTGGTCATTTATGCCGCCACTGGTGCTATTTGTTCAGGTAAGAGCTCCCCAAGTCAGGTCAGCACTCGCACCCCAGAAAACTCAGTGATTAGAAATGCAGACGAGAGAATCCTGCACCTTAGAAGCTGGGGCCATCAGTCGCACTGACTTCTGGGTCCCTCAAAACAGGGCCACCCCTTGGGGAGAAGCATCGAAATTCCCATGTCCTCGTTTTAGGGAAAAGGCCGCTGTGGGCTGGCACCAGAAGCAGTGTGGTTCTGAGACCCTTTTGGGGCCTGTCCTGCCTGTGCGGTCCCATGATGCTGTCCCACGTCAATGGTGCCTCCAGACACGCTGTCCCTGGCCCCAGCACAGAGCTGGATGAAGGCCTGATGATCAGAGCAGTGGAGGAGCAGGGCCCAGCACGTTTCACCCTGAGGGATGGGGCCGGGGTGACAGGCTTCCGTCCTGCAGCGAGGCTCACCAGGAACCAGGGGTAATTGGGTCAGGGGTCTCTGAGCCGAGTGTGAATCGGGCTGGCCTGCCTGGACTCTGAACATGGGGAAGGCCAGCTTCATTTCCGCCTGAGCCAGATGTGAGGATGGCCGAAGTAAATGCCTCTTGGTCAGCAGCAGCCGGCGCATTGGTAAACGGCATTGTCACCGCTTGAACAGAGGAATTCTCAGCAGAGCACTTTCCCAGGGGAGGTGCCGTCTGAGCTGCCGCATCAGGAAGGGTGAGGGAAGAACAGAGCGGTGCCCATGAGAAAAACCAGCAAAAATGTGTGTTCCCGAGGCAGGACTGTCCACTGCTACCCACATCAGGAGAAGAAATCGTCCTGGGTGTACGGCCAGAGAAGGCCACTGAGCGGGCCCAGATTGGCCTGGCAGGGCAGGGGGCCCCTGGGAGCTGCAGGAAGGGCGGGGTTATGGGGTCTGGGACAAGGAGGGCCAATTTCTGTCTGTGGTGCTGGAGCCACTGGGCATCCCAGCGGGCCCGTGAGCTACAAATACGTGCCGGAGGCCTGTGCCAGCTGTGCCTGCCTGACCAGGTCTGGGTTCAGCTGGAAGGAGTGGAGGTCGGGGGGATGTGGGGGGCGAGGGGAGGGATGGTGGAGGGAGCCCGACAGGAGCCAGCCGCCTGCCCACTGTCCTTGTCCCTGTGCCCCTCTCTGCAGCCCTGTTACAGAAGTACTTGGACAACTACGACCTGAGCGTCAGGGTGATCTACGTGCTGGGGACGCTGGGCTTCTCTGTCGGCACAGCCGTGATGGCCATGTTTCCCAACGTCTACGTCGCCATGGTCACCATCAGCACCATGGGCATCGTCTCCATGAGCATCTCCTACTGCCCGTACGCCCTGCTGGGCCAGTACCATGACATCAAGCAGGTGCGTCCACCGTAGCCCTGAGATCTGCGCTCCAGCCTCCTGAGTGCCTTCCCTCCATACAGAGCAGAGCCCTGTGCTTCCCCGGGGGGACGTTCACGACACAGATGGCCCTCCTTCCTCTCCGGTTCTGAGATGGCCCCTTCCAAAGCCCACAGAGCCACCACCTGCCCCTGATCGGTCCCTGGCCACAAAGGGTCTTCTCCTTCAGCCGCCCCCACCCCCCTAGCACCTCCAGAGGCTTCTGGAGGCAAAAGCACTGTCCCTGCCCCTTTGGTCCCCTCAGGCCCAGTCACATTTCCCTGAGGGGGAAGCTCCAGCCCCGTGTTTTCCACTTGGATGGGAGGAAAGCCACCCAGGTATGCCTAGACTTCCTGGCGGCCACGTTTAGAAAGTGAAAAGGCCAGTGAAGGCCATTTTCATAGCATATTTATTCAACCTGGTGTATCTAAAACATTATTTCAGCATGTACTCTATATGAAAAAAGTCATCGAGATACCTTACACTCTTGCTCATCGTTGAAATTGTGTGTATGTTACATCACAGCACATCACACATGAGACGAGCTTTATCTCAAATGCTCAGTAGCCGCAGCACAGGCAGACTCTTGCCTCTTTCTGGACTTTATGCAGCTGAAACATCTGGCTTCATCCTCTAGGATTCACTCACGTGCTTGCTGGCGGCAGCACGGCCAGCCTTTTCATGTCACAGTGTATGGCCAGATGCACCCTGCTTTGTGAGCCTTTGGGTGCTTCCAGGTTGGGGCCGTCACAGGTAGCACTGCATGAACGTCCCTTGCCACAAACACCTCCTGTTGTGCCCGTGCTGTTGGCTGACAGTCTCCTTGGAGTAGTGTGGTGTGTGTGGTTTGAGGTGGGGGTTCAAGACTTTTATTTTTTTCCCTACATATGGGTGTCTGCCTAGGTCATGACCCAGCACTGCTCCCCGCCCCTCTGTGCAGTGCCACCTTTGCCATAAATTGGGCTTCCGTGTAAGCATGTGTTTCCGCTCTCTTCTCTTCCGCTAGTCTCTCTATTCTTGCACAAATGTCAACTGTCTCTCACTAGTTTTGTAATAAGTCCTGAAAACTGGTAGTAGAAATCCCTCAACTTTGTTCTTCTTCAAGATTGTCTTGGCTATTCTCAACCATTTATTTGTCATCTAAATGTTAGATTCAGCTTCTGGGCTTTTAAAATTAAAAACAAATTATATGGGTCAATTTGGGGAGAGTGAATGACTTTGTAGTATGGAACTTCCTATCCCTAAGTGTGACATACCCTTCTATTATTAATCCTCAGTGCATCAGTGTGACATGCCCTTCTATTATTAATCCTCAGCACATCTGGAGATTCTTTGGGCCATCTACTTACACAGCCACATCATCTGTGTCTAATGAGCTCCGTTTTCTCCTTCCTGATCCTTCGTACCTGTTACTTATTTTCCTTGCCTTCTTGGAATGGCTGGAACCTCCAATACTAAATATGTAGAAGTGGTGTTTGCTCTTTCAAACTCAACAGGGGAGTATTTAATATCTTACTAGGAAGTATGATGCTTTTTTTTTTTTTTTTTGGAGACAGAGTCTCGATCTGTCGCCCAGGCTGGAGTGCAGTGGTGCAATCTCGGCTCACTACAACCTCTGCCTCCTGGCTACTCAGCCTCCCGAGTAGCTGGAACTACAGGCGCCTGCCACCACACCCAGCTAATTTTTGTATTTTTAGTAGAGACGACAGTTTCACCATGTTGGCCAGGCTGGTCTCAAACTCCTGACCTCAGGTGATCCACCCGTCTCGGCCTCCCAAGGTGCTGGGATTACAGGTGGAAGCCACTGTGCCCAGCCCAGAGTATGATGCTTTAATTTGTGTTTTTCTGAGAATGTGTCCATTTCATCTGCACTTTCAAGATTATTAGCATTAAATTGTTCTCTTATGATCTAATGTGATGGAACCTATAGTGATAACACCTTTTTCCTCCCGTGTTAGTTATCTGAGACTTTATTGATTTTATTTGTGTTTCAAAGAACTTTCGGCGTCTTAGTCCTCCCTGCCACGTGTCCGCGTGCTTGCGCGTTCACTGCCGCCCTTTGCTGTCTCCTGCCTTCCGTTATGTCTTGGTTTAATTTGCTGTTGCTCATTTCTTAGTCTGATTTCCAGGCTAATATTTGCATTTAAGGTCAGTTTCCCTCCACACACACCTTTAGCTGCACCATGCAGGTTTTAATGTTGGGTTTTCTTTTAAAAGATTTTTATAATTTTCATTACGATTTCTATTTTGAACCATGAATTATTTAGAAGGACACTGATGAATTTCTGACATTTGGGCTTTTTCCAGTTGTCCTGTTGTTACTGATTTCCAGTGTGACTCCTTAATGGCCAGAGAACATACCCCATGTGGTTGCAGCCTTACAGTTAGCTGAGGCTTCCTTTGTGGCCCAGCACATCACGCGTGTTGGTAAATGTTCCGTGTACGCTTGGAAAGAATGTGGGTCCTGCACCTAGTGCCCCGTCTCTGTCTGTGAGGTCAACCTTGACATTGCTTAGCTCTTCTCTTCCTGCTTCTATTTTCTGAAAGGTAGATAACCATCTCTCACTGTGATTATGGCACACACATTTAGAGCTGCTTTGTTTTTTAGCTTCTTAGTGGACTGACCTTTTTTTCACTATCTCTAGGAAAAAGCCTTTGCAGAGATGCTAATGGTAGTAATATATGTACAGCAGTTTTCTTTTGTATCTTTGTGCAAGAAACACAAGTGAAACTGCTCACTCTTTCCGTGGGTCCAGCCTTTGTTGCACGTGGCCACCTGCAGTTATACTTTGGGAGGCATCAACCTGGGCTCACAGCACCCCTCCCCACTCAGCCCCTGCTGGAGACCACCAGGGTGAGGGGGAGCCCGCCTGGTGGAGCCTGGCCCTGCCACCTCTCCTTGAGACTGGAGGCCAGATTCCTGGGAAGCCCACGTCCCGACTGGATTGACAGAGTTGCTTCCACGCCTGCCCTCTCCTTGAGCTAGAACTTCCCACCTCTTCCGCCTGTACAGTGCTGGACAGGAGCTGGGGGATTGAGGGTGCTCAGGCAGGAGTGGTTGCCAAGAGACTCGGTGGAAGACGGGTCATGTTTCCAGGCTTGTGGGTTAATACTCACAGTTGTGAAGCACGGGTAGCAGCCACCTTCTCCAGCCGCTCACCGCCTCGTGTTTCCTCTCTTGCAGTACATCCACCACAGCCCCGGGAACTCCAAGCGAGGGTTTGGCATAGATTGTGCCATCCTGTCCTGCCAAGTGTACATCTCGCAGATCCTGGTGGCCTCTGCCCTTGGGGGCGTGGTCGACGCCGTGGGGACTGTCCGCGTCATCCCCATGGTGGCCTCTGTGGGCTCTTTCCTGGGCTTCCTGACGGCCACATTCCTGGTGATCTATCCCAACGTGTCAGAGGAGGCCAAGGAGGAGCAGAAAGGCCTGTCTTCCCCGTTGGCCGGCGAAGGCAGGGCCGGTGGGAACAGCGAAAAGCCCACCGTGCTGAAGCTCACGCGGAAGGAGGGCCTGCAGGGACCGGTGGAGACAGAGTCCGTGGTCTGAGCCGCACTCCCGTTTACACACATTCCAGTGGGCGGGTGGGCGGGCGGGCGGGCGGCGGGGCCAGGCCATGGGCGGGAGCAGAGACACCGCGGAACCCTGCAGATGCTGTGGCCGACCCGGCAGTGCGGGCCAGAGCCCCTCCGCCCCCATAGCCACAATTCAGTAGTCGTAGGGTAGGTTTGAGCTACTAAGCAAATACCACACTAACCACTTTTTCGATAATTAAAAGAATCATTTGAAATATTTTTTTTAATTGAAAAAGATATTTTAATTTCAGCTCTTTTATTCTGCAGGTGTATTATTCTGCATGTTTTTAAATGATATAAAACATTTATATAGACAATAAGCAACTTAGAAAAAATAAGATTTTGCATTTCTAAAATTATAATTGAAAACAAAATCTGACATTCTCTGCTAAGTCTTATCTGAATGCTTCAGATAATGGTAGTGTAGTCAGTGACTAAAATATTTTTATCAAATTTCCTCTCTGTAGACGCCTGCAGGTATTGACGTCTGTCAGATCTCGTCACATTGGCTGGTGCCGCAGCTGTTGGAGAGTATTTTTCTTTATGATTATTTTAGAAAAAAAATTTTCTTTTCCACAATGTGGTTCTCTTAGAAGAATGACGTATCTTCTTTTCCTCAGCGAGTTGGACACATTGTGCCCAGGGCAGCCCTGTCCTTGGGCAGCGACCGCACACCAAAGCTGGGAGGAGGCTGGTCCGGGGGGCCTGGGCAGAAGACAGTGATTTGCAGGGGTGGCTCCCAGACACCCTGCCCAGGGATGGGCTGGGCACCACCTGGGGGCGGAGCGTGAGCTCCAGACGAGCTCCTGCGTGCGCGTGTGAGTGTGTCTGCGCCCAGCCATGTGACCCCGCTCGTCCCGTCTGAAGGACTCTCCTAGGAGGCCAGGTTGCCCCTCCAGACCGCTCCCAACGTCAGGGGGAAGGAAACGTTGACTTTCACTGCACTTTGATTCGTCTCTAAACCATTTGCTGGGGATTCCTGAGAGCAGAGCTCCCAGCGGGCCCTGCCTCCCAAGTCCCGCCGCAAGGCTACCTCGGGTGTGTGGATGTGCGAGGGCCTCCCCCGCTTGCGAAGGGGACATGCGTGCTGGAACCTGTCGGAACTCCATGCCTTCCTCGCCTGCTCACCTGCTCGACGCTGGAATCGGGACAGGTGCAAAGGGACGCAGACGTCTGGGACAGCTAAGGCCCGTGTCACCGGAGGGCTCCGCACAGTCGTTCTGGTTTCAACGAATAAGCAAAACTCGGGCAAGTACTGCAGCTATTTGGAAATGTTTTCCAAACCACAGTCTCTTTAGAACTAAGCCTATTTGAAACGGTCGGTGTAGGCTTACTGAGATCAGGAGACAGGGAGGCCCCGCACATCACACAGATAAAGTCAGACAATTGTAATTAATACTTTTGCTGCCTCAAGTTGTTTTTTAAATAAAGTACTTTGAAATGCATGAGAATCATGCTGCAATATGATCATTCTAGAGCAAATATATATATACACGTATATATATTTCAAGATGAAACTAAAGCAGTTTTTAAATAAATTACTTGAATTTTCTGTGTATTTAAAGGAACGACTGTTTAATGTACTTGATGGGCCTCTGGTCTTGCCGTGTCTCCTGCCGCTGGTGGCACTTTGTAGATTGTGTGTTTGTGTCCGGGTGGCAGTTGGGTACCTGCTCACGCACGGTGTGTCTGCCAGGCCACGGTGTCCCAGGATCGCAGAGGGCTGACTTTCAAGACTTCAAGAACATTTTCTGGATGTGTGGAAACTTGAGAATGGCCTTGTGAATCTCGTGCTTGGACAGGGCAAGTCCGACTACTGAAAGTGCTGCCAGCTTTGCTGCGAGCCCTCCGGCCAGCGGGAGCCCCGTGGGCTGGGCACTGTGGCCCTTCTTCTCTGGGGGACGGCACCCCTGGCTTCCTCACCTCGGCCGGGCGTCCGTGGCAGCTCACTCTATGCAACTTGATCCTCTAGCGGCTTTAAGACTGTAGATCCCCTCTCTGAGACCTGGCTGTACTTGTCAGGATCTCGAGGCGCAGCTCCCGTCTTAGCTGGTTTCTCCGGCTTCTCGTCCTGACGACTATAAAACAGTTGGAGGCAAGAAAGCAGCGGATGTGGGGTGGCAGTGGCCTGACCCGAATCAAGATCCGACCCAAACCACACCAAATGTGGGTTCATCTGGGGGCCACCCCTTGCCTGAGGCTTCCCACCCTCATCTGAAGGCCCAGGGGCCGGATCCAGGGCTCACCAAAGCCGATTCCTCGCCAGCTGGGAGTGCAGAAGTCTCAGGGCCTGGCTGCGACTTGATTTTTAGGAGGAAGAGGGGCTTCGCAACCCCCCTCTGAATAGTGTGTTAACCCTTGAGATCCCAGCCTCGACTAATCTGAAGTAAGGACAACAAAGGCCATTCAGTGCCCTCCACATGGCCTTGCCACAGTCACTGTCAGGGTATGAACGTGCCGGAAGCCAGTGCCAGCCAGGGACAGGCGTGACTGTTGTGTGCTCCTCGGTGACAGGAGTCGGTGGCTGCACACTTTGTAGACTCGTCAAGCTGTCAGCACTTCAGGTGTTTGCAAGCAAAGCCCTTCTTAGTGTGCAGGTCAGTGTGCAGAGCCCAAATGAGGGGACCGCAGGGGCTGGGGTCCAGGGTCAGTAGAGTCGGTTTCTGGAGCTGCCTTCCTGGGAGGCAGGTGTGGGTGACCGGGGCTCTGGCGGTGCGTGTGGGCCCGGCCTGGCCACAGCGGGGACCAGGTCACGACATCTTTGGCCTCAACCCCTCCCCTGCACTGAGATTATTTCCAGATTGCACTCACTTGAAACCGTCCGTGTCGTCACCTTGTGTCTTAAGGGAAGCCGAGAAGAAGGGCAGACGGGCAGGCTGTCTTGTCTGCAAAGCGCCATTGCGCCCGCAGCTTGTGTGGGTCAGGCTGCAGCTCGGGTGTCTGTGGCTTCTAACCTTGTACCTCAGACGGATGCAGTAACAAGGCGGGGCTGGGGACGCCGGTCAGTGTCAAAGGGGAGGTGCTCTGGCTGATAGCCTTGCCCGAGAGGGACGAGGAGGCCGTGCGGGTGCCCCCTGGGGAAGCTGGCCAGCCATCCAGTGCTGAGGACGCAGCTGGAGTTGGGCTCGTGGCACCCTTGGGGTGTGGGCTGTGCAGGCTGGTGGCCTGGGTGCCTCTGCACACTGAGTGGAGTGTCAGGCAGGGTGTGTCGGTTGGTCGAGTCTTGTGTAATGTGCGCAGACCAGTTACCAAACTAGGATAATGTTGGTCTCATTTGTGGTGGTTTTGTTCCCTATACAAGTCAGCTAAGTAAAGACTCTTTTAACGAGCTTCCCCTTAACACATGGCAGAAGTTTCCAGGTGCAGGAATGCGAGCTGGCGGGAAGGGGCAGAGGCCGTGAGCTCTCAGCTGGGCCGGCCTGCCTGTGTCCCCTTTCCTGGGTCTGTCGGCAGACTGGCATCATGACGTTCCCTGGTGGCTGAAGAGCTAGCTTTGGAGTGTTGTTTTTCTCACTCTCAGGCAGGGGCCTTAGCTGGAATCCTCCAACCTGCCACTGAACACGTCAGTGCTGTGTGCTGCCTCTTGGACACCTGCCCTTGAAAGCCTCAGGCCCCTGGGAGAAGCACTCTGTCCAGTCCTGTCCCCGGGGGGGAGGCAGGGCCACTGAGCCCTCCTCAGATGGTTAGTGGCTTCCAACAGCCATCAGGAGTGTTTCTTGAATGCCCCAGGTGTGGAGGACTTGGTCTGTGACCACCTAGAACCCCAGAGCTGAACAGGAAGCCGTCCCTGCAGCAACAAGAGGGCTGGAAGGGGGAGCTGCAGGCCACCCTCGGCTCTCCCACTGCTGGGGCGGTGATGTTCGGGTGACATGTTTGAAAAATACTCTTAAAGATACCAACTGTTCCCTTATATGGCTAATGGTTTGTGCAGCCACCAGCGATGGCGGCCCCTATTAGAGACCAGGTTTGTTAAAACACCAAATATTGCTGTCCACACTAGACATTAACCGGCTTCAGAAAAGATGGACACCTTTTCCCACGCTGTTTCGCTTCTTAACTTTGGTCCAGCTTTAGCCACCACACAGCGTGTGAGGGACTGCTGCTGCGGAGTCAGCCTCGTTTGTCCCTCCGCCTCCCACCAGCACGCGCCGCTTCTGAGAGACACCAGCTCCCTGCCTCCAAGCCTGGTGCCACAGGCCTGTCGTGAGGGACCCCTGCTTCCGAGAGCTCCTGGGGGGGTTCTGCCCTTCACCACCTGGGAGAGGTGTCAGTTCAGTTCCGAGTTGAACAAGGCCCGTGCACACAGCATGTTGGGGGCCCAGCCCAAAGTTCTTGTCACCTCCTCATGCAAAGCCAGCCATCACCCTCCGGCCAGAGCTCAAGGTGGCCCCTTGGCCAGCCCCTCCTTGGGTCCTCCAGGAGGACTGAGCACCCCTCCTAGCGGCATCCCTTGCCCTCCACAGTGCTGCCAGGGGCACGTCGCTCTGTGCCGTGGACTGAGACCATCCCCTGGTGACAGAATGACCCGTTTGTTGGAAATGCCTCGTTGCCAGAGAAACTCCCCAGGCATCTCGGAACGAAACTATTTAGTTCCATTGTGAACTGGCCACGGGACAGCTTTTTATCAACTTATTAAGTTGGAGCACTGTAATCGCGCTTGCTGAGTTAGCAGTGGTGGTAAGCGTGTGTTAAACACATAATGTTACGTTTTAGGAGAGAGAGGTCGTAAGGAAGTGTCGTGTCGCTCATGACTCTCTTCTATTAGTTGGGTAACAGTGGCCTCATGTTTGTGTCTGTGTGTACACAGAGCCCTTAGGTTCTGCTCTGTTTCTTTGCCAGGTGAATGTTTGTGGCATGCGCTGCTGTCCGCGCCCCTCTGTCCTGCGCAGGGTTCAGCTGTGCGGCGCCCTGATTTCCTCCATGCACACAGAACCTCCTTGTGTCTGTTTCTCTGTTCCTCTGTGGCTGACTCAATAAACTTTTCCCTCTGACATGATGATGTGGGTGTGTCTGTCACTTCCCTGTGGCCTCCTGCCCTCTGCCTTCCTGGAGCCTGGTGGGTCTAGTGGGCTGTCTGAGGCCTGCGGAGGGGAGCTGGGCCCAAGTACCAGAGCATTTGCTTCCCAGAGGGCCGCCAGCTGGCAAATCCGGGGCCTGTCCCTGGAACCCACACACAGGCCCACTCAGGTGGGGTTGAGGCCTGGGCCTTCTGCAGGCCTGTTCTGGTGGAGCCGGGGTGGGGCCCGCGGTCTACCTCTGCTGAAGGGTCCCTGACTGTCCCTGGAGCCAGTGTCTTAAGGAGGCAGCCTGCTTGCTGTTGCTGCCAGCAGGAGGGGCCACGCTGGGCTGAGGACGGGGTGGCCCGGTGTGTGCACCTGGCTTTGGCGCCCCAGGGGACATATGGGGTCCTGGGGCGGCTGGAAGAGCGCTCCATTGACCTTCCTACAGGCAGAGTGAGTCATCTCTGTCCTCTGGCACCCCACTGAGGGCTGTGACTGGCAGTTGGCAGTGGAGGAAATGAAAGGGAGGGGACTTGCCCCGGGTTACCCAGCTGCTGGGGTTTGAATCCGGAAGCAAGTTTTCTTCAGTGGCTCTTCTGATTTGTGGGGCGTGGAAGGGGTCCCAGCAGGGCCGGGGTGTGGAGTAGAAGGGATCTGCTCAGACGAGGGAGAAAGGGACGAGGGACTTTGATAGTTGGGGGGTGTCACCACGGGGCTCCTGGATGGGACCTGCGCAGTTGGGGGCCCACGGAAGCCAGGAACCTCCGGACCTGGGGACAAGTCCCAGCTGGGCCACTCTGGCGCTGTTACCTGGGCGCCCTGCTGCAAAACGCAGGCTGATGGCCCTGTGGTGGGGACTAAAGGGATGGTCGCTGTCCTTCGGCCAGACGGGAGTGGGGCGGTGAGCCAGGGCCGCCCAGACTCTGCACCCAAGACCCCATTTGCCATCTGGGACCCTGCCTGGCGCCCTGGCTGACGCGAGCCCGCGGCATCCCCTGTCGTCCACCCGGTGCGTGCGGCCCCGCCATGTCCCGCCCCGCCGTCCCTGGCAGGGAGGGGCTGTGGAAGCCTCCGCCCACCACGGCACGCCCGGCACCCCCAGACTCGTGGCTGGGCTTTGGGAACACAGGTGGAGGCCCAGGGCGCGGAGGGCGGCGGGACCCAAAATCCAGGCGCTTCCCTCCCAGGTGGGGGAGGCAGCGAGCGAGAACAGCTTCCTGCAGGGGACGCCCGGCCACCGCGCCGCAATCCCGCCGCGGCCACAGAGACGCTCCCCGCCCCTGGACAGGCCTGAAGCAGTGGGAGCCCGAGACGCTGGGAGCCCCGCACCCCGGTGGCCGCCCGGGGCCCAGTGCCTGTGGGCGGGGAGGCGGAATCGACACCCCACCAGGACCCCCGCCCTCGGGTGGTGGGCGGCCGTGACGGCGGCGCAGGGGCCAGGGGCGTGTGTTCCCCCGCCCGCCTCACCTGGCGCGCGGGTGCCTGGCCCACCTGAGCGAGCACCAGACCTGCACCCCGCCAACCAACGCTCCCCCCGAGCGACCAGGCTAGGAGGGAACACCCGGTGCTGCGCCCCTTTCCTGGCCTTTCCCCAGGATGCTCACCAAGGATGAGCCCTGCGTGCCCAGCGGCCATCACGGGGCAAGAAGAAGTCGCCAAGACAGAGAATCAGTGACCCAGGCCTCCCAACCCGGTCTTTGTTCGTTTTTGAGACGGAGTCTCACTTTGTCACCCAGGCTGGAGTGCAATGGTGCGACCTCAGCTCACCGCAACCTCTGCCTTCCAGGTTCAAGCGATTCTCCCACCTCAGCCTCCCGAGTAGCTGGGATAATTGACGCCCGCACCCGGCTAATTTTTGTACTTTTAGTAGAGGTGGGGGGGTCTCACCATGTTGGCCAGGCTGGTCTCGAACTCCTGACTCAAGTGATCTGCCCGCCTCGGTCTCCCAAAGTGCTGGGATTACAAGCGTGAGCCACCGCGCCCGGCCCGTCTTCACATCTTTGTCTCCACACTACTAATGTTAATTTTTTTTAAACGAAATTTGAACCACTATGCAGAGTTTTGCAACCTACATTTTTTGTTGTTGTTTAGCAAAATATTTTCAACTTTCCTTGTTCCTGCATGTAGACCTACTGCATTCTGCAATAGCTGTTAGCATTCCAGGGTGTAACTTCTTTTTTCTTTTTTTTCTTTTGAGACAGGGTCTCCCTCTGTTGCCCAGGCTGGAGTGCCCAAGGTTGATCGTGGCTCACTGAAGCATCCTGGGCTCTGGCCATCTTCCCGCCTCAGCCAGTTGAGTAGCTGGGACTGAAGGTGCACGCCACCATGCCCTGCTTTGTTTCTTTTTTTTTTTTTTTTTTTGGTAGAAATAGGGTTTCCCTATGTTGCCCGGGCTGGTCTCAAACTCCTGGGCTCAAGCAGTCCTCCTGCCTCGCTCAGCCTCTCAAAGTTCTGGGATTACAGGTATGAGCCACTGTGCCTGGTCTTGTTTGCCCATTTTTAAATTGAGCTGTTCATCTTGTTACTGATTTGTAAAAACTCTATATATTTTGGATAAAAATTCTTGTCAGATATAGTATTGCAAATATTTTTTTTTCCTTAATGATATATTTTGATAAAGTCCAATTTATCCATTTTTTCTTTAGTGTTTAGCTTTTTTGTGTGTTCTCTCTAGAAAAATCTTTGCACCAAGGTGGCAAAGATGTGCTTGTTTCTAGAGCTTCTAGCTTTACATTTAGGTGGGTGAGCCACCTTGAGTTAAGTTATGTGTAGTGAGGTAAGTGTTGAGCTGCTTCCCTTTTCCATACGTTTATCCAGTCATTGCAGCACCATTTGCTGAACAGACTTTCATTACCGAATTGTCTTGGAATTTTTGTTTTTTATAGTCAACTGACTTTATGCTTGCGCATCTAGACCCTACGTTGTGTTCCATTGATTTAATTACCTATATTTATGTCAAATCCTACCGTTTTAATTATTGTAGTTTTTTAGCAAAGCATAAAGGTATATGAGTCCTCTGGCTTGAGCCATCCCACCTGGCTTGATCTTCTTTTTGAAGGTTATCTTAAATATTCTACTTTGCATTTCCATATATGTTATAATCAAATTCTCAATTTCTTTTTTAAAAATTATGTTAGCATTTTGATTGGGATTAAATTGAATCTATCAGATCAATTTGGAGATAACTAACATCTTTACAATATTTAATCTCCCAGTCCATGAAAATGGTATATCTTTTATTTCAGTCTTTAACATTTTCTCTCAGCGATGTTTTTGAGTTTTCAGTCTTTTACGTCATTCATTAAATTTATTTCTATTGAATGTTTTTTATGCTACTGTATTTTAACAGTTTACAAGTTGTTTGCTGTTAGAATATAGTAATGCAATGATTGTATATTGACCTTGTATCCAGTACCTTATAGAAAAAACTAGAAAAATATTCTAGTTTTTAAAATAGATTCTTTAGGATTTATATAAATGGCCTTGCTGTCTTCTAATAAAGATTGTTTTGCCTCTTCCAGTACAATCATCTTTTTCCCCTCAATGTTCTGCTGAACCAGTACAATGTTTATGCCCCCCCCTTTTCTCCCCCTATTGCCCTGGCTAGAATCTCTAGTACAATGTTAACAGGAAGGGGGCCCCCTCTCCCTCTCCCTCTCCCTCTCTCCCTCTCTCCCTCTCTCTCTCTCTCTCTCTCTCTCTCTCTCTCCACGGTCTCTCTCTCTCTCTCTCCCTCTCTCCCTCTCTCCCTCTCTCCCTCTCTCCCTCTCTCTCTCTCTCTCTCTCTCTCTCTCTCTCTCTCTCCCTCTCTCTCTCTCTCTCTCTCCATGGTCTCCCTCTCCCTCTCTCCACGGTCTCTCTCTCTCTCTCTCTCTCTCTCTCTCTCTCTCTCTCTCTCCCTCTCTCCCTCTCTCCCTCTCTCTCTCTCTCTCTCTCCACGGTCTCCCTCTCCCTCTCCCTCTCTCCACGGTCTCCCTCTCCCTCTCCCTCTCCCTCTCTCCACGGTCTCCCTCTCCCTCTCTTTCCACGGTCTCCCTCTGATGCCGAGCCGAGGCTGGACTGTACTGCTGCCATCTCGGCTCACTGTAACCTCCCTGCCTGATTCTCCTGCCTCAGCCTGCCGAGTGCCTGCGATTGCAGGCGCGTGCCGCCACGCCTGACTGGTTTTCGTATTTTTTTGGTGGAGACGGGGTTTCGCTGTGTTGGCTGGGCTGGTCTCCAGCTCCTGACCGCGAGTGATCCGCCAGCCTCGGCCTCCCGAGGTGCCGGGATTGCAGATGGAGTCTGGTTCACTCAGTGCTCAATGGTGCCCAGGCTGGAGTGCAGTGGCGTGATCTCGGCTCGCTGCAACCTCCACCTCCCAGCCGCCTGCCTTGGCCTCCCAAAGTGCCGAGATTGCAGCCTCTGCCCAGCCACCACCCCATCTGGGAAGTGAGGAGCGTCTCTGCCTGGCTGCCCATCGTCTGGGATGTGAGGAGCCCCTCTGCCTGGCTGCCCAGTCTGGAAAGTGAGGAGCGTCTCTGCCCGGCCGCCATCCCATCTAGGAAGTGGGGAGCGTCTCTGCCCGGCCGCCCATCGTCTGAGATGTGGGGAGCGCCTCTGCCCCGCCACCCCTTCTGGGATGTGAGGAGCGCCTCTGCCCGGCCACGACCCCGTCTGGGAGGTGAGGAGCGTCTCTGCCCAGCCACCCCGTCTGAGAAGTGAGGAGACCCTCCGCCCGGCAGCCACCCCGTCCGGGAAGGAGGTGGGGGTCAGCCCCCGCCCGGCCAGCTGCCCCACCCAGGAGGGAGTGGGGGGTCAGCCCCCGCCAGGCCAGCCGCCCCGTCCGGGAGGGAAGTGGGGGGTCAGCCCCCGCCCGGCCAGCCGCCCCGTCCGGGAGGGAGGTGGGGGTCAGCCCCCGCCAGGCCAGCCGCCCCGTCCGGGAGGGAGGTGGGGGTCAGCCCCCGCCGGGCCAGCCGCCCCGTCCGCGAGGGAGGTGGGGGGTCAGCCCCCGCCCGGCCAGCTGCCCCGTCCGGGAGGTGAGGGGCGCCTCTGCCCGGCCGCCCCTGCTGGGAAGTGAGGAGCCCCTCTGCCCGGCCACCACCCCGTCTGGGAGGTGTACCCAACAGCTCATTGAGAACGGGCCATGATGACAATGGCGGTTTTGTGGAATAGAAAAGGGGGAAAGGTGGGGAAAAGATTGAGAAATCGGATGGTTGCCGTGTCTGTGTAGAAAGAAGTAGACATGGGAGACTTTTCACTTTGTTCTGTACTAAGAAAAATTCTTCTGCCTTGGGATCCTGTTGATCTATGACCTTACCCCCAACCCTGTGCTCTCTGAAACATGTGCTGTGTCCACTCAGGGTTAAATGGATTAAGGGCGGTGCAAGATGTGCTTTGTTAAACAGATGCTTGAAGGCAGCATGCTCGTTAAGAGTCATCACCACTCCCTAATCTCAAGTACCCAGGTACACAAACACTGCGGAAGGCCGCAGGGTCCTCTGCCTAGGAAAACCAGAGACCTTTGTTCACTTGTTTATCTGCTGACCTTCCCTCCACTATTGTCCTATGACCCTGCCAAATCCCCCTCTGCGAGAAACACCCAAGAATGATCAATAAAAAAAATAAATAAATAAATAAATAAAGATTAACAAAAACTAAAACTTTGATAACAATGTTGGAGAAAGTTTAAAGAAACAGATACTTACACACTACGGTGGAAATAAATAAGGATTTGGCAATCCAAAAAAAAAAAAAAAACAGGAAGGGGGAAAGTGAATATCCCTGCCTTGTTCCCATTCTTGGGGGAAAAGCAATTAGTCTTTCACCGTTAAGTATGATGCTTGCTGTGGGTTTCTTGCAAATGCTCTTTATCAATTTGAGGAAGTTCCCTTTTTCTGCATCTATTGAGATGATCGTTATGGCTTTTCTCCATTGTTCTACTGATGTATTAAGTTACATTGATTGAGTTTTGAATGTTAAATTCACCTTGCATTTTGCAACCCCACTTGGTCACGATATATTAACCTTTAAAAATATTGCTGGTTTCGATCTGCTAATATTTTGTTTAAGAATGTTGCATCTGTGGTGGTTTTTTTGTTTTATTTTGTTTTTGTTTGTTTTGAGACGGAGTTTCGCTCTTGTTGCCCAGGCTGGAGTGCAATGGCGTGATCTTAGCTCACCGCAACCTCTGACTCCCAGGTTCAAGCAATTCTCCTGCCTCAGCCTTCCAAGTAGCTGGGATTACAGGCATGCGCCACCAATCCTGGCTCATTGTTTTTGTATTTTTAGTAGAGACAGGGCTTCTCCATGTTGGTCAGGCTGGCCTCAAACTCCCGACCTCGTGATCCGCCCGCCTCGGCCTCCCAAAGTGCTGGGATTACAGGCGTGAGCCAGCATGCCCGGCCCTTTTGTTGTTGTTGTTTAATTTAGGTTTTTAAGGAATAGGTGGTGTTTGGTTACATGGGTAAGTTCCTTGGCGGTGATTTGAGATTTTGTGTACCTTCACCCGAGCAGTGTAGACTGTACCCAATGTGTAATCTTTCATCCCTTGCCCCTCTCTCACCCTTCCCCGCCGAGTACCCAAAGTCCATTGTATCATTCTTATGCCTTTGCATCCTTGTAGCTTAGCTCCCCATATCAGTGAGAACATACGATGTTCTCTATCACTTAGAATAATGGTCTCCAATTCCATCCAGGTTGCTGTGGATACCATTATTTCATTCCTTTTTTATGGCTGAGTAGTATTCCACGATGTAAATACACCACATTTTCTTTATCCACTTGCTGATTGGTGGGCATTTGGGCTAGTTCCATATTTTTGCAATTGCGAATTGTGCTGCTATAAATATGCATGTGCAAGTGACTTTTTCATATCATGACTGATTTTCCTCTTGGTAGATACCCCAGGAATTTTGCATCTATGTTTCTGATGGAGATTGATCCATAATTTTATTTTCCTGTAAGATCTTTGTCAACTATAGGTTCATGCTGGTCTCCTAAAATGAGTTTGGAAGGGTTCTCTCCTCTTCTATTCTTCTGAAAGGGTTTCTGTAAATTCTATTATGCCATACTTAAGAGTTTGTTAGAATTAACTAGTGAAAGCAATTGAGTCTAGAGATCTCGTCTTTCTGGGAGATTTCTTCTTTCTGGGAGATTTTTGACTACAAACCAATTTCCTGTATAGACTTAAGACTCCTCAGATTTTACTCCTCCTTGTGTTGGTTTCATAAAGTTATCTTTAAGAAATTTGCATATTTTAAACTAGTTATTCATAATATCCTTGTGATGTATGTAAGATTTGTATCTCACTTCATTCCTGATACTGGAATGAAATTCGTGCATGTGTGTGTTTTTCTTGATCAGTCTTGATAGGGGTTATCAATTAGAGAACGAACTTTTGGCTTTGCTGATTGTTTTCCCTTTCATTGAGTTTTGGTCTTTATTATTACCTTCCTTTACTTATTTTATTTAAACATGCTTTTATTTTTCTATGTTCTTATGATTAAAATTTAGATAGCTGATTTGAAACCTTTCTGCTAATAGAGGCATTTAAAGTTATAATTGTTCTTAGCTACATCTCATACATTTTGGTTTTTAATTTTCTTTAAAAATGAAGAGATAGCATCTCCCTATGGCTGGTCTCGAACTCCTGGGCTCAAGGGATCCTCCTGCCTTGGCCTCCCAAAGTGCTAGGATTATAGGCATGCACCACCATGCGTGGCCTGCATCCCATACATTCGGATACATTGTGTTTTCACTATCATTCAGTTCAAAATATTTTCTAATTTCCTTTGTGTTTCTTTTTTGACTGATTGGGTTATTTTGAAGTATGTTGTTTAATTTCCCAACATAATTTTGAGATTGTTAGGCGTATTACCACTGTTGATATGCCATTCCATGTCTGTGTGGTCAGAGAACACAGTCTGTAATATTTAAATCTTGAAATTTATTTTATAGCCCAGCATGTGATCCAGCTTGATGAACATTCCATGTGCACGTGACAAGAATGGATATTCTGCTGTTGTTGGCTGTAGTGTTCTATGTCAGGTCAGGCTGGTTGACAGTGTTGTTAAATCTATATCCTTGCTAATTTTTGTTTACTTTTTCTATCATTTTCTGAGAGAAGAGTGTTAAAATCTCTATGATTGTGGATTTTGTCTGTTTTCTCCTATAGTTCTACCGTGCTTGCTTCATCTCTCTTAAATCTCTATTATTAGTTAATTCATCTTCTTGATGAATTGACCTTATTATTATGCTTTTTCTGTTTGGTTCTTGTAGTATACCATGAAGTATGTTTTGTCTGATAGCAATATAACCATACCAGCTTTTTAATACTTACTGTTGGCATAGTAAAACTTTTTCTTTGTTTTCAGACAGGGTCTCACTCTGTCACCCAGGCCGAGTGCAGTGACATGAGCACAGTTCACTGTAGCATTGACCTCCCAGGCTCAAGCGATCCTCCCACCTCAGCCCCGTGAGTAGCTGGGCCTACAGGTCCGCACCACCACATCCAGCTAATTTGTTAATGTTTTTATAGCGATGGGGGTCTCACTGTGTTGCCCAGGCTGGTCCCGAATTCCTGGGCTCAAGTGATCCTCCTGCCTCAGCTTCCCAAAGTGCTAGGATTATAGGTGTGAGCCACCACATCCAGCCTAAAACTTTTTTCATGCTTCTACTCTTATCTCATTTGTGTTTTTATATTTAAAGTGAGTCACTTGTAGACAACTTATAGTTGGGTTTCCTTTTAGACCTAGTTTGACAACCTCTGCCTTTTAGTCGGAGTGTTGCATCCATTTACACTGAACATAATTATCAGTATGGTGAGGTTGAAGTCTACCATCTTGCTACTTATTTTCTACCTGTCACATCTGGCTTTTTATTCATCTATCACTGCTTTCCTGTCTTTTTGGTGAATCTTTTTTAATATTTCATTTTGTAGCCATCCCTGTGGGGGTGTCAGTGATGCTTGGACTCCACTAACTGCACCATTGTCCTACTCCATCTCCTTTGAGCCTGCTGTCAACCTCTGCACACATGGCCTCAGCCCCTAGCCCTGGATGACCACCATTAGACCCAGCAGAACGGCAGCAGTGGTTTGCTGGCCCAGCACCTAGAGCTGCAGAATATGCTCCCTTGACCCTCAGGGAAAGATGCAGAGCTAGTGAGACTTACTCTCCTCCACCACCAAAGTGAAGGTGAGTTTACCCTCTCCCTCATCCCAGGATCCTCCCTGAATGGGCCGGGAGCTGCTGCTGACACATCTCAGGACCGCCAGCTTCAGCCCCGCTCCCAGTGCCTTGTTAACGGTGAGAGCACTAGCGGAAAGAAAGGCGGCACGTCAGGGCAAAAGCAGCTTCTGAGGGCGTCTCCAAGCCCAGCCCTGCCTCCTTGGCAGTGAGGTATGCCCGCAACCTCCACTTTGCTCTTAGTACTGGGGCCAAAGTATCCTGGGTGTAAAATGGGGATGATCCTTTCCATGCCACGGGGTCCTGAGGATCATACACAACAGTGCCCCTAAAGCGCCTGGCACAGCACCTGACCGGAGCACACGGGCAACACACAGGCAACAAACAGGAGCTGGAAGAGTTTCCTGTGGCTGCCAGAACAAACACCACAAACCAGATGTGGCGGTGGGGGGTCATGCACCCGACATTTATTTTCTCACCGTTCTGGAGGCCAGAAGTCTGAGATCCAGGTGCCGGCAGGGCCACACCCCCTCTGAGGGCTCGGGGTAAGAAGCGTCCTGGCCTCTTCCAGCTCCCTGTGGCTCCAGGATCCTGGGCTTGTGGCTGCGTCGCTCCTGCCTCTGCCTCTGTCTTCACGTGGCCTGTCCCCATGTATCTTTTCCTCTCCTCCTCAGGACATTTGTCATTGGATTTAGGGCCCACCCAGAATCCAGGAGGGGCTCATCTTCAGATCCTTAATGACATCTACAAAGACCCTTTATCTAAATAGGTCAGATTCACAGGTCCCGGCGGTTAGGACATGGACATACGTTTTTGAGGGCGCCATTCAACCCGCAACGGGAGCCATCACATTCTCATTTCTCCTTCCTTAATGTTCTCACGGGCCCAGCACACAGGCCAGGATGGAGCATTCTTTGAGGTGTTCCTGGGAGCCCAGCAACAGACTGGGTGTTCAGTGTGCCCCTGTCGGTCTCCACGTGGGCCCTGCAAGAAGGAGCCACCCCCGTTTTACGGGGGGTTCAGGGCTTGTGGCCAGATGTGCAGCTAGGCCTGGATCAGGCTCCCGTCCGGCCCCAGTGCGTCTGCCGTGCCCGTGACCCCAGGCTGTGTCTCTCAGAATCCGCCAAGATTCCAGGGCAGGTAACTGCAGAGCTCCCCCGAGTCCTGTGCACGCCTCGGCTCACACTGCAGCTCAGCAGCAGCAACGCGGGTGACAGAAACCAGCTCTGTGTCTGTGAGCCTCTGCCTCACCTTCTGGGGGATGGCACAGTATTGCTCCAAGACATGCAAACAGCTGCGGGCAGCAGAGACAGTGAGGCAACCCTGCCACACTCTCCAACCATGCCCTCCTCAGGCATGCGGAGAAAGCACCCCTTCATCTGTGCAAGGAATCCTCAAGCAGCAGACAAAATTCATGCACTGTTAATTCAGATGTTACAGTCACATCCAGTGCTAAGGGCTGTCCTTTGAAAACAGCTGAGGTAGACACATCTTCCAAGAACAAATCATAGAAATGTTACCAGGCGATTGTCTTCACAACCTCTGCATCAGTGATGGGGACTTGGGGGTAAGCTTTTGGTTGGCGTTGTGAACAGTGCCAGCTCCCTAAAGCAAGCTTGCTTTTCTGTTGTTTGAAATACTGCAGGAGAACTGAAATTCTCTTAAAATATACCGGTTTCTGGTTCAAGAGAAATACTTTTTTGCACCAATTTAATTCAGGTTTCTAAAGCCGAGGCAGGGATGGCATCACAGTCTGTTGAATGAATTCCAGCTCATTTGGGGCCTTTCCATGACAAATCATTCCTAATGGAATCTCTCCAAAGCACAGGGGAAAAAATCGAAGGCATCAAAGTGCCCTTTCCATTTCAATAAACTCCACTGGCCAGGATTCTGTTTGCATAACACAGAATAAACATGGAACCCAGGCCTGCCCAGCACATTTACTCCCTGGTTAGCACCTCTGTTCACCTGTTTTCTCTTTTATATGAGTGACCATTTCCTAAAACGCAATCAATCAATCACTGTCAAGTAAGATCTTGAAATTATCACCATGGAGAAAAGACATGAAGAGTCTGCATTAAGGTAACGTGACCGGTGCCTAGAGTGAGGAAGGAGCACGTTCAGAATGGTCCCGGGTCATTTTCAAGACCTTCCCCCCGTCACTGTTGGATGAAGTAAGGAGCCGGACATCAGTGTTTATTAAACCAGATTTATTCTCCACAAGCTGAAGATACCTGAGGTTACATGAGGACTGGCATTAAATAATTTATAAATGTATTTTTGACTGACAGACTTTTATCATAAGGATTCATGTGTTTACAAAAGCAAAATCCAACCTCTCCAGAGCTAGAAAGTGGGAAGGTGCCCGGGCTGCAAGCACAGCCTTGGGGGAGGATGAGGCCACATAATTCTCTCTGCCCACACTCTCAGAATGCCCCAAGAAGTTAGTAGCTACACAAAGCCAAGCCTTGGGGGAAAACCTGGTCCGTGGTGTGGACTCTCCAAAATGCAGACCCAACCGGAGGCCGGGCCCGCCTTTCCATCTGGAGGCACTGCAGGGCTTCTGAAAGCGGCCCATCCCAGGAGCCTGGCAAACACCCCCAGAGACCCTCAGGATGCGCCAGCCCCGGGGCTTTGTCCTGAGAAGCTGGAGCTCCGTGGCCCAGCTTGTGGATGGGTGCCCAGGGGGCAGGCCCCATGCCCTCAGCACGTGCTGACACGCTCCCTCCGGCTCCAACAACCACACCAGAACCTTCCGTAGAACATTTAAGTAATGAAGTCTCAACATTACAGTAAAAAGGTGCAAAGGGTCTCTTTTACAAATATTTATGTACAGCCAAGATCTTGTTGAGTTCAGTATAGCATGCTGCGCGTACACATACGCAGTGTGCACACGGATTCAGGGAACTGAGCGGCACACTGAAGACGAGATCACACGTGTGCACACGGATTCGGGGAACTGAGCGGCACGCTGGAAGACGAGATCACACATGATGCTATTTTACTTTTGATCCCATGTGCTTTCCTGGGCATGATATTTTAGATGGAACTTTTTCTGGTCTGTGATCTTTGGTAGAAAAAAGGTCTCTAGGATTATTATAAAAATGTTGCATCTATTAAAAAGAAAAGGGAAAAAAGACAGCTTGCCTCAGCTGGCCCAACCCCTGTCGCAAACACCTGATCGCAGGGTGGTCCCCTCCACCTGGGTAGGCCCTGTCCACCTTCTGTGATGGGAGAGAGCCCACAGTGGTTACCCGAACCACCCTTCTCAGGCCTCGCTGGAGGCCCCGGGGCTCCAGGCTCCCTGTCATGTGCTCAGCCCAGTGTTCCTCGGTGATTCGTAAGGACTGGGTGAGTGAATGAATGAAGTAAGGAAAGGTAAAACCAGAGACGTGAGGGCCACGGGTCACCTGTGACTCGGCCAAGCTGCTGGCTCCAGTGCCAGCCCCTGGTTGTGGATTCCAGAACTTTCTAGGCAACAAAGTAACCTCCCAGCAGAGGTTATCACCAACAAGACGCAGCTGCCTGCCTGAGACACACCCCAACAGGAAACACCCTTGGTGCAGTTTAACCAGGGGGCCCGAAGGCCTGAGAGAAGGTGCGTGGCCATGGGTCTCGCGGCTGGCCACACGGTAAGTGGGCTCCATGCTGAGCCTGGGCTGCTCTGCCCTGCCACCCCTCCAGGCTTCTGCTCCTGGCAGGCTCTAGGGGGCAGCCAGTCCCCACACATAGGGCACAGTTCCACTTGGCAGACTCAGCCACGTTTATTCGCCTTTCCAAATGGCGACTTTCCCCTCCTCCCTGCCCGACCCACTCAGCACGTATCTGTCCTCAGCCGAGCACAGCGTCCTCACGGTGTCCATGTGCGCCACCAGCTCCTTCTCCACGGTCTTCCTCTCGGCGTCAATCACGTAGATTTTCCCCTTGGGTGTTCCCTGCCCCAGCCCTCGGCTGCCCACCCAGACCTGCCAGGGAGAAACGGGAGGGGTCAGCAGGGAAAGAAGCCCCTCCCAAGAGCACCAGGGCTTTGCCCGGCTACCCAGAATTGACGCGTGTGCCTCCAAATCTATGTCCTTCCTGGACAGGGCCTCTGCCGCCTGAGGGTCAGGGCCGCCTGGCAGGTGCACAGGACCCTTCTCGGGCTTAGAACCTAATGGCCGAGGGGCCTCTGGGGAAGAAGACTGCACTGCGTGCTGGAAAAGTGCTGGGGTGCATCTTAAGTGTTCTCACCAAACAACAGCCACCTGTGTGAGGTGACAGATATGGTAATTAGCTTGTGATTATTTCACAATGTATACTGAAATATCACCTTGTATACCTTAGATATATATAATTTTTATTCATCAATTATACCCCAATTAAGTTATGGGGGAAAACACTAAACGAATTCCGCCCCACCCCCGCCGTGTCTCCGACTTGCTCGGGGCCTGGAAGTCCAGCTTTCCTTCCAATTTCTCCCTTTTCGGATGAGAATGTCTAACCTCTGCCTGGCCCAGCCTTGTGTTTTGGGAAGAGACAGCCTGTTCTAGCTGCGCAGGTTCACGGTGCAAGAGGGGTTGGTTCTGCCCCAGGTGGGACCCGCCCACGGCTCACCCACATCGGAGGGCTTTGGCTTCACTTGGAGATTTGGGGCTCAGAACTGACACTGGAGGGACTGGGACTTCGGGGGATGTAGTGATGGAGGGGGTGTATTTTGCATGTGGAACAGATGTGGATTTAGGGGGCCAGAGGGCAGACTGTAATGGGTTGAACAGTGTCCCCCCAAATCCATATCCTCTGAACCTCAGAATGTGAGCTTCTTTGGAAGTAGAGTCTGCAGATAGTTCAGATGTGGTCACACTGGTTAATCCAGTACGACCAGCATCCCCATAAGAGACACACACAGGGAGAGAGAGTGCCATGTGGTGCAGGCACAGGTTAGAGTGCCACGTCCACAGCCAGGGCACGCCAAGGACGGCGGCCACATGAGCGGGTGGGGGAGAGAAGGGCCTGGAGTGCACGCTCCCCCCGAGCCCCCGAGGGAAGCGGCTCTGCCGACACCTTGGTTTTGGACCTCCAGCGTCGAGAACTGTGAGAAAATTAAGTTCTGTCATTTGAAGCCATCCAGTTTGGGGGAATGCGCTGTGGAGTGCTTGGACCACACCATGAAACCAGCACATGGTGACCTGTGGGCCCGTTGGCACCAACCCTGCACGTGCCTGTTAGGAGGGGAACCCTGAGAGGCGAAGGCAGGAGGGCACGAGGGCGTGCGGCTGGCTCTCGGGAGCATGGGGATGCGGCCAGGGCAAGCGAGACCTGCCGGGGATGCTGGGGATGGCGGGCCCTCCACCCTACCTGCTTCTTCACCCGGATCATGCAGTTGATCTCAGAGCAGTCCTCGAGGGGCACCCTCTGCGGGGGCTGGGCCAGGTCCTTCAGGCTCCAGATGTAAACCTCGCTGCGTCCTGCACAGGCCGCCCACAGCTGCTCCTCCTGAAACGCAGGGCACGGTGTGGGCTATGGGCCCCGGGCCACGCACATGCTGGGCCCACAGCCCCTGCTGGGATACCTCAGGAAGGAGCTGGAAGGCCAGGAAGGAGGTACTGGTGTCTTTGAAGTTCTCCTCAATCTTCAATTCTTGATGGAGGGATCCATTCATTTTCATGACCATGATGCTGTTACCTGTGCCTGTGGAAGGAAGGAGCTAGGATGGGGCCAGGCAGTGTCATTGGCAACATAAGACGCCAGCACCAGAGCCGGCCTCACTGCTCTTTCCAGCGTGGTGATGGGGGGGATCACCACGTGCCACCTGGCGCCTGAGGAATGCACAGGTGAGGTCTACTGGGAAAAAATGCAAGCTAGAACCCTGGGTCTTTAAGAAGAAATGAGGCTCACCAGAAAACGTAAATATATGGGCAGTTTCTTAATTTTTCTTAACTTTCTTGAAAGATCATTGACTGCTTAAGCAAAAATCTTAAAGAATGTATTATTGGGAGTACCACACTTGATACTGTTGTAAGCTTCTTACCCTATCCATGAAGCAGTATCATAGTTAGTTAAGGAGGAGGGTGATCGGTTAAGGTTGCATATTGCAATTCTTAGAGCAACCACTGAAAAATAAAACAAAAATATAATGCTTAAAAACAGTAAAGAAGATTAAATTGAACATAAAAATATTCAATACAAAAGAGGGCAAGAAAGGAAGAACAGAACAAATAACAGATGAGGGGAAGAAGGACAACCGTTGGCTTGCACCCAACCACGTCGCTACCGGCCCTGAAAGTGAGCGGAACAGTGGGCAGGGGCCTGCACAGGCGCTGCTCCCAGGGAGGCGTCAGCGGGCACCGGGCACACGACAGAGTGCTCAGCACCATCAGCCATGAGGGAGCCACAGATCCAAACCACAAGACGCCACTTCACTCCCGCGGGGACGGTGTCAGTAAAAACAGGTGAGAACCAGTTTGGGTGAGGATGTGAAGAAATGAAGCCTGAGACTGCGGGTGGCGTGGAAGCTGCTGCCGCCACTTCAGAAAACAGTCTGACGGTTTTTCAAACAGTTAAGCAGAGTGAACCCAGTGCCCACTTGGGGCAGGGGAAGGATGAGCATGTTCCATATGCACACAATGGACTATTACCCTGCAAGAAGGAACGAGCTATTGATATTGATACTCAGAACGTCAGCGATGAATACTATAAACATCCTGCTGTCTGAATAAAGCCAGATACAGAAGAAGGCCTACTGTAGAGTCCATTTGTAGAAAGTTCTGTAAAAACCAAATTCAGATGACAGAACTAAGAGCACTTGTATCCCCTGAATGGCGGCACGGCCTGGAAAGGGGCACAGACGCTTTCAGCTGTGACGGAAACGCTGCGTGTCTTGATTTGTTTCATGGTTATGTAGTTTAGATGTTTGTCAAAACACAACAAACTGAGCACTTTTTGGTGAGCTTTACTATATGTGAAACACGCCTCCATTACAAAAAAGAAAACATATTCCCAGCCGTCACTCATGTAATCTGGCACATGCCGAGGAAGACCTCAAAGTGCCGGCAACTTCTGTGCTCTGGGGCGTCCAGAAATGCAGACACAGCCGCCAGGCAAAGCACCTGCTCCTCCCATCGCCCCCCTGGCAAAATCCCCAGTCTGGGTCCACGGAGAGTCCCAGGCTGCAGCTCTGTGCCAAGCAGCCGAGGGGAACAGAGCACGGGCTCGCCAGCTGCCCCCAGGTGTGGAGACGTGACGCACACAGAGGCCTCCCAGGAGGAGCAGCCATGACTCCGGGGGACACATGGGCCAGCTTCAACCCCAGAGCAGGGCACAGCAAAAGCCAAGGTGAGGGACAGGAGAGCAGTGGTGCGTCCAGGCAAGACAGGCATCCCGTCAGCCGCTGGGTAGAAAGGCAGAGGGAGGCCTGGGGAGCCCCCAGGAGCAGCAGTGCAGGTGGAGTAAAGGTTGCTGCGACCACAGAAAGGGAACCCGAGTTTAAAATAAAGACTGGAAAGGCGTGAAGCAAAGGAAAGAGGCTTTCTGCTCTCGTTCAGCATCCTTTTCCCAGAGCAGGGAGGTAGGGTGCCCGCTCTGATGGCAGGGGCCGGACTTACAGCACCACAGGCGGCCGCCGTGCAGTCTGATGGACGTCAGGCCACCTCGCGGCAGCTGGAAGCGGCTGGTCACCTGCAGTGTGCTCACATTCCACACCAGCACCATGCCGTCCATGCTGCACGAGTACACGTTGCTGGGGGCACAAAACACACACACACACCTTTAACTTGGGCCCCTGAAAACACTGTGCACATTTTAACCCAAGAGAGAACCAAGTCGCCATGAGAGAAAATGTGCTCAACACGGATAACCTGCAAACATGATAATAACATGCAAACATAATAACCTGCAAACGTAACCTGCAAACATGATAATAACATGCAAACATGCTATGAATGCAGCCACAGCCAGGCTTGGCTCAAATGTAACTGACTCGGCAGGAAAAGGCGGGTTTCTCGGGACGCCCACCTCTCCCACCACCGCGGGCCGCAGGCTCAATGAGGTGTTGTCATAGAGCCATGACATGACCATGAACTGAAATGGAACCTCGTCAGCGGTCCCCGTTCACACAAGGGACCAGGGAGCCAGCACGATCCTCAGAGCTCTCGGGTGACATGGGCTGGCTGCAGGTGCAGGCGGCTGTGGGCGGGGCTGGGCTCGAGCCTGCACCCTGCGCCACCCCTGAACCTCCTGAGCCAGCTTTGCTTCCAGACTAGCACCTCCCTACCCACCCCAACAGGGCCTGACACAGGCGCCCCCGACACTAAGTCAGGGGAAAAAGGAGTGGGGAGTGTGGCCCCTCACCCAGGGCTGGGGCTGCCTGGACCAAGTGGGCAGCCTTGTGCACTTTCCCCACCATGAGCCTCTGCTCAAGGAGACCCCACCTCCTCCTCCCGTCTCCCTGGATGCCCCGTGTCCAGTGCTGCTCCCACTGTGGGAAACAGCAGCGAACAGGCAGCCCAAGGCCAACACTGAGCACTCAGGCGATTATCAGGCGAGTCCAGGCTTCTGACACCATGGCTGGTGCACCTCTGGGAGGCTGTGCCCTCTCGGGGCTGCCCCATGCCACAGTGCCCACAGCAAGCTCAGCAGGAAGGCCGGGTGTGGTGCCTTCATCACCACGCTTGGCCCACACTGGTGTCATGGGTTCTCCGCACCCGTGAGCAGAAGCAGACCGAGGACACCACCCAGCTTTCCTCGTTCTAGATCCACTTCACTCTGTACGCCCCGCCTGGCCCCTGTGGGCACAAGACTTGGGAACCCTACCCGCTGTGCCTTCTGCCCACCCACAAGCCAAACAGTCCCTTCTCCCCAGCAGAGCTTACTGCACCTGGGTGCCTCCTGTCCGTCCTGCACAATCAAATCCGTGACACTGGAGCAGTGGGCTGTGAGCTGCTTGTTGCAGGACATGCTGTGGACGTTGATGATGTAGATGACGGAGTCTTCCGAGCCAACCCACACCTGGTTCTGGTCGGCCATCACCATGCAGTTCTAACAGGAGGCCACGGGAACGTGAGAAATCAGTCAGTCTCGATACTGGTGAAGTCATATTCTATACATTTACTGCACGTGCTGAATTAGCGGATATGGAACCACTGCTCCTAGGGGACACGCCGGCTCAGGGTCCTGGGAGCCTCTGGCCCTGACGTTGTCATCCACCCATCAGTGCATAACCTTGTTCTCCGCGTGCTCTGTTCACAGACACCTTATTGACTACGTATGATTGATTCATTAACACGAAACCCACGGCCGCCAGCACTGTCACTGCGGCCTGAACCAAGCTCATCTCACACATGCATTTTCTCTGCAAGACACGTCACCGCCTCCTTGTGCTTAGGGAGCTCCATGCTTGAGGCTTTCTTAAATGGCAAAATCACCAACGAAAAGCAAAAAATGTGAAAACTGTGGCACCAATCAGGCCGAGGAGAGGACACTTGTTGGCCCAGAAAATCCATATCAGGTGACTCAAGTTTTTCCCCCGTCTGTGCACGTGGATGTCTGTGGATCACCAAGAAAATACCACGAGTATCTGTTTTGGGAGTTACAAGTAAATATTAGCAGGTGGTCGAATTTGCAAATACGGAATCTCCAAATGATGAGACCGACTGTATGTGAACAAGCAGAACTGGCAGTGCTCCCAGTGTCTAGAGAGTGCGCTCAGGGTTTCTGTCTAAGCTAAGCAAAGTCAACATAATGATTGCTTTTAGACTCTTTGAAATCAGAATTTTTATTTTTGTTTGTTTGTTTATTTTGAGACAGAGTCTCACTCTGCCACCCAGGCTGGAGTGCAGTGGCATGATCATGGCTCACTGCAGCCTCAGCCTCCCGGCTCAAGCGATTCTCCCGCTTCAGACCCCCGAGTAGCCGGGACTACAGCCATGGGCCACCACGCCTGGCTGATGCCACCACGCCTGGCTGATGCCACCACGCCTGGCTGATGTTTGGCAGTTTTAGTAGAGATAGGGTTTCCCCACGTTGCCCAGGCTGGTCTCGAACTCCTAGACTCAAGCAATCCTCCTGCTTCGGCCCCCCAAAGTGCTGGGATTACAGGCGTGAGCCACTGCGCCCAGCCTTGAAATGCTTATAACTAAGAACGAACTGAAAAAAATTAAATTTAGAAAAATAATTTCCCTAATTTTTCCTTTTTTTGTTGTTTGGTTTAAAGCATTACTAGACTTTTGTCAATATTTTTACTGTATCATGGATCCTATTACTTTATCATCTGAGGCTCATGATTTGAATATGGGGGGAAATGATTTAGCAGGCTCTTATTACCTTCTAACATGTAAAGTTTGCTATTCAGGTATCTCAAGAGTGGTCCCACCCTCTTGGTGGTATGTATTTGAGTTCACAGTATTTGTTTTATAGCAGTTTTGCAAGCACATACTGTGCCACGGATTTTCCCACATTATTTTTAGACAAGGGAACACAGCCATCAAAACTGATACCATGGCCGGGCGCAGTGGCTCACACCTGTAATCCCAGCACTTTGGCGGGGCCGAGGCGGGAGGACTGCTTGAGCCCAGGAGTTTGAGACCAGCCTGAGCAGCACGGTGAAACCCCATCTCTACTCAAAATACAAAAATTAGCCGGGTGTGGTGGTGCGCACCTATATAGCCCCAGCTACTCGGGAGGTCCAGGCTGCAGTAAGCAGCGATTGTGCCACTACACTCCAGCCACGGGCAATGGGAGAGGGACCCTGTCAAAAAAAAAAAAATGGTACCAGCCAATGCCTAATATATACTTAGGTATATACTCCACTGGAGTGTTCTTTTCACATTAAACATGTAAAAAAAAAAAAATCCTATCATGCTCAAGGAGTAAGGCATGAGGATTTCTCAGCAGATCCCATGATGGGGTGGCTGCTTGGAGGGTGACCAGATAGGAGGAGAGTGTAGATGCGAAAATATTTTGAAAACTATAAAATGCAATTTAAATGTGAACGTCATCTGCAAATCCATGAGCAAGAACAGGAGAAACATGGACAAAGGGCGCGCAGGCCACGGTGCGGGGGAGTGTGGGGTCTCAGAGCACGGGGAGCTACTCAGCGGCCTCTCGGGCGACAGGGAAGCGCACACAGATCCGCAGGGAGGGGCAGCTCACAGCGCTGACGGGCAAACAGGGAAAATCCCCAAGAAATGATGGTCTGCAGGCAGGAGGGGCCGCTGGGGGCCTGGAGGGATGAGCAGGGCAGGAATCCCAGCTTCCACACTCAAGATACCATGGTCATGGAAGAAGCGACACACCATGGCACTGCCAAGGACACACTACTAAAAATGTATTAACAGTTGCACTTGTTTTAAAATTATCAGAAACAATTCAAACTTGCTTTAAATCAGGGGTGTGCACTCTTGTGGCTTCCCTGAGCCACAGTGGAAGAAGAATTGTCTTGGGCCACACATAAAATACACTAACATTAACGATCGCTGATGAGCTAGAAGGAAAAAGATTGCAAAAAAAACTCAACATATGTTTTAAGAAAGTTTACAAATTTGTGTTGGGCCTCATTCAAAGCCGTCCTGGGCCACGTACAGCCTGCAGGCCACAGGTTGGACAAGCTTGCTCTAAGTGAGAGGAATAATGTGTGACGAGTGGACACTGAGTTTTGCTGGGCCCTGGTCTCTGCCACCTGGCACGTGGGGACAGGTGGATAACACTGAAGTCACTGCAGAGGCAGCTGTCTCCTCTTTTGCTCCAAAAGAGACCCAGTAACCACTGTGCCACCAGGAAACACCAGGGTTCCCAGGAAACACTGCAGGTTCATTTTAAGGCCCTGGTCCCTGGGAACCTTAGTGCTGCAGTACAGGATGGAAGACATCGTTCCCAGCCTGGGCAGCGTGGCAAAACCTCATCTCTACAAAAAATACAAAATTAGCCAGGCATGGTAGCATGCACCTGTAGTCCCAGTTACTCAGGAGACCGAGGTGGATCCCTTGAGCCCAGAAGGTCGAGGCTGCAGTGAGCCATGACTGAACCACTGCACTCCAGCCTGGGCAACAGAGCAAGACCCTGTCTCAAAAAAGAAAAAAAAGAAGGAAATTGTTCCCAAAGTGTGTGAAGCCTGTAATAAGCAGGCAGAGACCACAATGGCTCCACTTCACAGAACTGACGTCGATTTTTATTATTTTATTATTATTATTATTTGTCTGTTTGAGACAGGGTATGGCTCTGTCACCCAGGCTGGAGTGCAGTGGCGCGATCTTGGCTCACTGCAGCCTCGACCTCCCAGGCTCAGCGATCCTACCACCTCAGCTTCCCAAGTAACTGGGACTACAGGCACGCTCCACCATGCCCGGCTAATTTTTGTAGTTTTTGTAGAGATGGGGTCTCACTCTGTTGCCCAGGCTGGTCTCAAACTCCTGGGCTCAAGGCAATCCACCCACCTCAGCCTCCCAAAGTGCTGAGATTAGAGGTGTGAGCCCCTGCAATCTATTTTTAGATGGGGGCCTGAAATCTGTTTTTAGATGAGAAAGTCAAAGCCATTATCTTCTCCTTCAATAAGGACGTGTAAGTAGAAGTTTGGAACAAGCTTACATTTAATTTGAAAACTCCAGGTGAAAGTTAAGACCCCCTGTTTACAGAAACCGAGTGAGGCTGTGGAATAGCTTGTATCCTACTGTCGAATATGGATGAACACACTTGGGTTTCAGAAATCACGTGAATTCAGAGGCTTCTTTCCTGACGCTTCGTGTACTCACCACTTTTGCAGTGCCCACTTTAAAGGAGTGCTGGTGGATGGTCCATGAAGAAGCATTGAACACGGTCACCTTGCCTTCGCTCAGAGCACACCATAACTTGGGGTGAGCATCTTCAACTTTTTCGGCTGGGTCAAGATGCCCTAAAGAGGAGAGCAGCACAAAACTGTTAGGAGGAAACACTTCTGCTGTAGCAGCAGGTGACTGGTGCCCTTACTCAGGTGCCTCCTGGGCCCTCCTAAGCGCCAGGCCCATGTTAGGTGCTGTACGTACAAAGACGTGCCCAGGCAGAGGCTTCCCTGCCCTCTGGGAGCTCAGAGTCAAGGGGGGCAGCTGGCTGGTGAGAGGGCCACAAAGACAGGGTCAGAGCCGCAGGCAGATGCAGAGCCGAATGCCTGTGAGCTTTGCTAAGCCAGGACCTGCCAGCTGAGTGAGCATTCACTAGAGGAAACAGCCAGGCAGAGGGAACTGGAAGAGGAGCAGGTGGACACAGAGGGAGGGAGGCAGGGAGGGAGGGCAGCTGGAGAGACGGCGGCAGGGGCCATGGTGCCCCCCACACCCTCATGTGCAGCGGGCTCCGCGTCTTTCCCAACACTTGCTGGCGTCCGTCCATCTTTTTAATTTCGGCCATTCTAAGGGTGTGGAGCTTTTGGCTTTTAAATTGTGGTTTAATTGCATTTCTCTAATTGCTAATGAGCCTGATGGCTTGAACTGGCCATCCCCATGCCCTCTTGTGGGAAGTGTCTGTTTTTCGTTCTCCCTAGTTTGTGGCTGTTATTTTTTTTTATTTTTATTTTTTTTTACTTTTTAATAGACGAGGTCTTGCCATGTTGCCCGGGCTGGAGTGCAGCAGTGTTCACAGGTGCGATCACAGCAAACCACAGGCTCCGAGTCCAGGGCTCTGGCCACCCTCCCACCTCACTGGGACCACAGGCACGCCCGGCCAGCTGTTCCGGTGTTCTGGATATGAGCCCCTAACTGACTCCATGGTGCTGTATTCATAAATTACGTATGACATATAAAAATACCATAAAGCAAAAGACTGGTGAATCTGACTACATTAAAAGCAATGATTTTAGCAGCACCCATTTTAAAGATCCTTCCCAGTCTGCAGCTTACATTTTCACCCTCTCAAAAGTGTCTTCTGTCCATTTCCTGTGGCAGGGTCTGGGGAAGAGGCTGTAGGCGCCGTGTCCGGCCATGAAGATGGCAAGAAGCCTCTGAGACAGCCCAAGAAGCAGGCCCAGGAGAGGGACAGAGATGATGAGGCTTCCAGCAGAAAGCAAAACAGACCAGAACCTCAAGGGGCCGAAAGCACAGGCCGCAGGGAGGCCCAGCCACAGCTGGAACTAAGACCCCTGGCGGAAAGCACGCTGCTCCCTCTGCCTGGGCGGTGGCGGCCTGGACTCCACTCCTGTTTCAACACCTGCACCCCCGCCAGGACAGCTTTTGCCATCTTCAGCTAGAGTGAGCGTTGCCCTGGAGCCTGTTGCACTTTCAAGCATAAACTTTTCTTTTTTTTTTTAAATTAAAAAAAAAAAAAAACAAAACAAAAAACTGACAGTGTCACCGGACGTCTTCAGTGGCTTCTCACCCGTCATTCCCACCTGAGCCTGCCAGAGGGCGCTCTTTGGTCTTCTACCCTCAATTTTGTGTCACCGTGAATTAAACCAGCTCATTTGAAAGGAGGAAAAAAAAAGTGTCTTCTTTTTAAAATCATTGCTTTTGGCCAGTTGTGGTGGCTCACGCCTCTAACCCAGCGCTTTGGAGTCCAAAACCGGCAGACTGCTCAAGCTCAGGAGTTCAAGACCAGCCTGAGCAATACGGCAAAACTCCATCTCTACAAAAAAAAAAAAAAAAAATACAAAAATTGGCTGGGCATAGTGGTGTGCACCTGCAGTCCAGCTAATCAGGAGGCCGAGGGCGGAGGATCGCTAGAGCCCAGGAGGCAGAGGTTGCAGTGAGGTGTGATCGCGCCACTGCACCTGGGTGACAGAGTCAGACCCTGTCTCAGAAAAAATAAAAATAATAAAGTCATTGCTTTTAATATAGTCAAATTCAACATTCTTTTCCTTTATGGTATTTTATATATAATTTATGCATTTTTTTCTTTACCATAAAGTCATGAAAATATTCTTCTACCCTATCACCTAGAAGTCTGCTTGCTTTCATTGTTCACATTTGCCTTTTACCACCGCGTTGAGGTTTCGGCCCCCTTGGGCCTGACCGCAGGGCAGTGTGAAGGGGCGAGGTTTCACCTTTCCCCTGAGGATATTCAAGCGACCCCCCGCCCTGCAGTGCTGCCTCCGTCCTGAGTCCAGAAGGGCAGGCCTCCCGGTCTTTCTGGGGTGCGATTCCAGTGGTCTGTTGCTCCCATGGGTGAGACACTGCCGTCTCTGAGAGGCACGCTCCCCATGGGCAGAGCCTGAGCTGACCTGTGGCCTGGCCTCAGGGCTGGTTCTCCTAACTCCTAGGAACCTGTCGGAGACCCAGCCCCAAGCTAATGGGAATAACAAGACTCCCCCTTCTTGATGGGGCCTGACCCCACCTCTTGTCCCTGCAATCTCACAAGGCTTGCAAAAGCCCTGCTCGGCTACCAGCTTCTCGGCCACCCCTTCCAGAATCGGCAGCCACAGGAAAAGGCGGTTTCCCCATTCCCCACGGCTGCTTTGCACGCTCTCTGCAGGCCTTCGAGATGCTCCTGGAGGGGAAGCCGCCTGAACTCCTCGCCCGTCACAACAGGAAGCTCAGAGTGAGTTTCATTTCAGGGAAACCAACCGGGACCTAAAAATACCATGTATTCAAATGCCACGGTCAAAGTATCTTGGTCTGTGGAGTCATCTCTGGCGAAGTCAGCACAGAGCCTGGCTTAGACACATCAGGTAGGGCTCACGCGGGGCGGCCCTGATGACGCTGCCTGCTCACTCAGCCAGGGTCTATCGCGTTCCTGGGTTTCTTGGCCTGCCATGAAGAGAGAAAAACTCTCTTATGGGGAAATCGCTTCACACACAGCTTCTCTGCCCACCTGAAGCATGAGCTCCGTGTGTGAATGGCCAGGTGCTCTGTGAAGCCGCGGACATGGCCTGTGAGAGGGGGTGACACCTACATCTGCATCCCTGACACCTACGGCTGACACCTGCAGACGCAGATGCAACAAACAAAGTGACAATTTTAAAAATCCCTTCTGGGCTGGCGCAGTGGCTCACACCTGTAATCCCAGCGCTTCGGGAGGCCAAGGTGGAGAGGTATCGCTTGAGCCCAGGAGTTCGAGATCAGCCTAGGCAACATGGCGAAACCCCGTCTCTACACAAAATTTTTAAAATCACCTGGTTTCGGTGGCACGTGCCTGGATTTGGTGGTACAAGCCGATGGTCCCAGCTACCCAGGAGGCTGAGGCAAGAGGATCGCTTGAATCCAGGAGGTTGAGGCTGCAATGAGCCATGATTGCACCAACTACACTCCAGCCTGGGCAACAGAGCAAGACCCTGACTCAAAAAAATAAAAAATACACAAAAAATACAAATCTTTTCTGCCGAGAACTGTATTCCTTTGTTTTCCACACTGTAAACCCTCAGCATAAGCTTCCCTGCTGCACTGTCCATAAGCCAAAATTAAATAAAAGTATTTTCCACAGTTTCAACGTGCGACATGACAGCCATCTTTTTTTATACCAAGACTCTTGGCCGCGCCCATTTCCTTCTCCTGCCACCACCCTGATGCGGCGTGCAGGGTCCCAGGAAAGCCAAGCACAGGAGGCAGGTGCAGCCGCACCCAGCGGAGAAGAGGGACTGGCAGGCACTCAGGGCCGCTCAGGGCCACACAGACTCCTTGTCATTCCAGTTCCTATGACAACAAATATCTGAGGCGCCATCACCTTATCACCATGACAAGAGGATCCCATTAAGAGCTTCTGCGGAAACGATGTGAGCAAGAGTGCTTTAGAAAGTGCCAGTGTGTTAGCCAGACATGGTGGCGGGTGCCTGGGGTCCCAGCTACTCGGGAGGCTGAGGCAGGAGAATCACTTGAATCCAGGAGTTGGAGGATGCAGTGAGCCAAGATTCACCACTGCACTCCAGCCTGGGTGACAGAGCAAGACTCCGTCTCAAAAAAAGAAAGAGCTAGCGTGACCGTCGACTGCTCTAGAAGGTGAGGGACGGCAGCCCTGGGGCGGGAGCTCAAGTGCTGGCCCCAATTCCATCTCCCGTGGGCTCTCTGGCTCCAGTCACCGTGAGGCTGAGTCCGTGGAGCGGTCGTGCCAGCTGCACACCTGTCACTCAGCACTTCACCTCAGAAAGCAACAGGCACCTTGTCCCCACTTATCCCGTGACACTGGCTCCCCTTTCACTTCAGGGCTGACCCTGAACCCAAACCTAAGCGCATCAGATTGGCTGAAAACTGGCAGCGAGGCGCGGGCAGAGGGGCCTTACCTGGAGTGTAGAGCAGCACGTCCACCGCTTGTGGGAACGCCTCCCCCGCCGAGGGGTTGATTTTATGCTTCAGTGTTTCCAGGGTTGTCTCCGGAAGCGTCATGGGCACTGAAAGACAAGACACTTGGAGTGTTACTGTTGCAGCCTCAAGGAAACAGACGCGATGCAACGGCCTCACGCACTCTGATTTCTGCAGAATATCAGCTTGCAGGTAAAACTTCCTAATTTGTGAAGACGAAGGTCTCTTGGACCCGGGGCACTGAAAGAAAGCCATGCACCCTCGGCCTCCTTTCCTGGTTGTCACCTGGTGTGCGAGTGAGTGGCCAGGCGCATCCCCCACCTGTGTCCACACCACACCTCCATGCCCCTATGCCTCGAGCTGCCTTTGTTTAAACACAGCCTTCTTCTCTGCTCCTGAGCCATCCCTTGTGATCTCTAGCTACACCCAAACATGACACAGTGCCCAGCAAAGCGGAGATATAAAATTCTCCTCAATAACGAAGCCCTCCCAAGATGAAACCCAGAGACCTAACCCATGAGCGCGGTTTCCCAGCCTAGAACCAGGGGCGTGTTGGGCTGGATAATCCTGGCTGTGGGCGAATGCCCAGCATCCTGTGTGCCATGGGATGTGGAGCATCATGAGATGCCAGTAGCACCTCACACACAACCACAGATATCTCCAGGTGCTGTCAAAATGCCTCTCCGCAGTGAGGGGGTGCAACATCGCCCCCCGTTCAAAACCACTGCTCCTCAGGATATCCTAATGCTCCTCTTGCTATCCAATCCAACCCATGTTTCCAGGCAAAACCTAAAGCGGCCTCCTGCCTGGAGGCCCCCGGGCACAGCCTGCTCTGACACGGCTCCTCATTGCTGCCCGGAGGCCCCTGGGACCAGCCTGTTCTGCGGTCCCTCCTGCCAGCCCCTGCGGGCGCCTCGACCTCCTGCGTCCAGGACTCCCTCAGTCCCTGCCGTCCAGGGCCTGCCCCTTAAGTGCTTCTCTTCCATCATTTTGTTACTGTCATAGCAACCTGATGAGATTGGTCCCGTTATCCCCATTTTGAAAAAAGAAAGATGAAGAAACCGACACACGTCGACATCCGTGATCAAATGAAGATCACACTGTCAGCAAGGGGTCGACCAGGACTCCGCACGAGGCTGGCGGGCTACACCGGGCTGCGGTGAAAGCCAACTGGCCGCGGCCAACGCCTCTTCAGCTCCTGCCTCGGACTATGACATCTTCGGGTATTATTTAATTCCGTACAGTCTGAGACCTTCCATCATGAGTTGGCCATAAGCTACTAAATTAAGCTCAGGCTCATGTGTCCTGAGCTTTACACATGGGAAAATGTTTCCGGATTTGTAACGAGGGAGCGGGAGCCAGCGCACCACACCAAGTGACACCAGCATGGCGGCTCCTCGTCTGCCGTCATGCGCTGATAACAGAGGCGTTAGAAGGCTTTCCTGTAAACGCCCGACAGAGATTAGGCATGAGTTTGGAATGAGATCAACAGCTGAAGTAGGGGGTTTGTTTGATTTTGCTCCCAAGGAAAAAGAAAAGAGCAATCAATGTCTGGTTCCAGGACTGTCAGACAAAAGCTCCTTCAAGCCACTCAGCTGGCCTTGCAGGAACACAGGCACCTGAGCCCGGCTGCTGCTGCAGCTCAAGGTCCCTCTGGGTCACGTGGGAGAGGGATTCTGTACCCAGAAAGTGGCAGAGGTCCTGCAGTTGGTGACAGATGCCACAAAGAGAGCAAACTGTGCCCAAGGAAATAAACACGTAAGTGAGGTTTGTTCCTAATTCTGCGACTTTTTAAAAAGCCAGAGTCCCCTAGATCTACGCCCAAGGGAAATGAAAACAGATGTGCACACCAGAGCTTACACATGAATGCTCACAGCAGCCACAACACAGAGGCCACGCCAGTGCTCACTCACTGATGAAGGGACAGACCAAACGTCCTTCACCCAAACGGTGTCTATCACTCAGTCACAAGAAGACCAGAAAACCCTAGGCTTGAAGATCACCTTTCACAAGAAAAAAATGGGAGTCCAGCACCAGCCTCTATGGCTTCCAGAATGCGAGAGCCAGATGCAAATCTACAGGACAGTCAGAGGATTCCTGTCTGGGGAAGCTGACCCAATCAAGAAAAAAGCGGATCCTGACGTGCAGGGCCTCTCCTCACTCATGCAGCGGTGAAGCCCGTCAGTCAACAGGCCAGCTGTGTAGACGTTCCCAGCTTCTCAGCAGGTGTGTTCCTAACTGCAAGTCCCAGACACCCGCTCCCCACCAGTCAGAGATTCCAGGAGCCGCTCCACAACCTCCCACAGGTTTCTAGTCTGCTTCAGCCAGCCAGAGGAAAGGCTGTTGTTTGTAATTACGAATCACCACAAATGCTTGCAGTGTACATTGCAATGCTATCCAGACATTAAAACGACGAGGTGCCTCAATTGGATGCGCAAGGGGCTCCAAGGTGCACTGTGCAGTGAAGGAAGGAAAGATGCCGGATAAGGTGTGCGACTCGAGAGTAAATTACAAATATAAAAGAAAAAACTGGGGGAGCTGGGCTCGGTTCTACTTGATAAAACAGACATCGACCAGATAAAATCACTTAAGGCGTGTAATCAGGACAATGATCCACGCTAAGAACGGGCTTATCTTACTTTCGTTACTCATCTTATCAAAGTAGGATAACTTGGAGGCAGCGTAGATGGCGCCTGGTGACTGCAGTGTGCCCACGACGGCGTCCATCAGCAAGACGTTGGTCAGCGCCTGCTGGACGTAGTGAGGGTCCTACAACAGAAACACGTGCGTTTCAAAACAGCAAGAATCACTAAGATCAGTTCACCGGAGACCTTGTTGCAACACACAGGACAATCCTTCCAAAATGCCTTTTTCCAAAGTGACATGAAGAGTTTAGATCACGGATGAATTTGGATTTTATGTCATATATTTCTTCTCTTACTTAAGACAAATATTGATTGTTTATACCAGGGCTCAGCCAGTGTTTTCTAGAAGGGGCTAGGCAGGAGGCATTTCAAGCTTTGTGGCCAGTCTCAGCTGAGATCACCCACTGCCTGCCACTGCGGCATGGGAGCACCGAGGGACATTTCATAAACAAACAGGCAGGACTGTGTTCCAATAAAACTTTACTTACAAAGACAGTCCACTGGCCCACGGGCTTTGGTTTGACTATGCTGGTTTATGCTATGTAAACCAGTGGGTATAGCATCAGATGGCTAGTCTAAAAGCCACAGGGCACTGGAATCTTAGAAAGGACCCAGTCCCCCTCTGCCCTGTGACCGGGAACTTCCTGTAATAACAGCAACCCTCCCGCTGTGGCCCCATCTGTTCCTCCTAGCACTGCCACTGTAGTGGGTGCCATCGTCCCCGGCATTTCTCTGAGGATTAGTGGGGCTACACACCTCTTCATAACCTGGTGAACTGTTCCCTTTCTGTGAGTTCCGCGTTCATGGTCTTTGCCCATTTTCTAAGGCGTCTTCCTGTCTTGTGCCACCCTTGAGCAGCGTGGATGCCTCCTCTACACACCACCGGCCCATGGTTCCCTTCATTACTATGCAATTGTCATTTGATATCATCAAAGCTATCAATTTGGCCCAAAGTAAATTAAGGTACAACAATCCCTAGAAAAATCATCTCAACCCTGTGGAAGGAAAGCAGTACTGCCCCTGCCGAATTCCAAATCCTGTGACTGTGAAGAGTCGCTCAGAGCAGGGAAGCCCAAAACACCCAACTCCGGCCTGCGGGTGTGGACAGCACCAGCACCGTCCGCCCCCGGGAGGCCCCACTCTCTGGGATGTCGCCAGTCTGGAGCGGGCAGTGGGGCACCCACACCTGCCCAGACCGCCCTGCGTTTTCTCATCATGCTCTTCCGTAGCACCGTGAGGCCTCTCGCTGGGTCACACAGACCACATCTTCAATGCTTCTGTCAAGATGGTGTCCGACAAACTTACTCTGCTTAAGACACTCAGACCCGAGCCCGAGCACTCACAGCTGAGGACTGCCACAGGACCCACAGGTGGCGAGAGGCCCCTGAGGCAGCCACAGCAAAGGGCAGAGGGGACCCGCGTCTCCCACCTTGTGGTCATCGGCCAGCTTCTTCCCAGCCCACATCTCCTTCACCATCAGGTGCCAAAGGTCACACTCGGTTTTCAGGTTGGCTTCGAAGACTTCTTTCTTGGACGCCACTCTGATTTTTAAAGTGGGTATTCTCCGAAGTAGAAATGTAGTAGTGGTTCTCCTGACCTCCTGCAGAGGCAGAAAAGAAAAGTTAGGAATGTCACACTCAGAGAACACGTGGATTCACCAGAGACAGAGGCAGAGCGGGCTCTGGAATGAAGAGGCAGATGGGCTGCAGGCACGCATCCTGCTGGCATGTGGAAGGCAGGGCCCCGGGTGAGGGGCAGTGTTCCCATGGACGGCAGGTAGGATTCACCTGCGGTGCGGCACCTACACCCACCCACACAGCTGGGCTCGCCCAGTGTCCGAAGGCAGCGCATTCTTTCACATCCTTAAATACTTCTCTCTCCCTCTTTTTGTTTTTTTTTTTTTGTTTTGTTTTTGTTTTTTTTTACTTCCATCTCCCTTTCCTTATATTTATTTACATTTCTTTGGAATTCTAGAAGGAAGTCTGGAAAAGCAGGTGTGGAAAAAAGCATAAACTGAAGGCCAACAGCAAGAGGGGGATCTACTGGCCGAGCATTTACTATGGGCTGCGGCTGTGGCTTGACTGCCTTTCTGGCTTCTATGACCACTCAGCAGGTGATCACATAAAACATTTGTGTATCTGACATGCCTCTTACAGTCCCCTTAAATCTGGGAAAACAACTATAAGGCGTAAGAGGAATCAGGATGAAATTCAGATTTCCTCGACAGGGAAAATGACTACCTTTAGAATATAATGTTAAAACTGTTTGAAGATTTTTTAATTGTTATAAAATAAGCTTGTTATGTTTTATATGAACCAGGTCCGACTGTGACTAGAAAATGTGAGCTACTGTAGCTCACCGTGGCTGGCACATGGCAGTTTCTCAGTAAACATCTCATGGATGAACGAAGGCGTCCTACTGTCCCTAATGAGAATGTCAGCCCACATTCTTACTTCCTGCCTCCCAGATGCAAGTCAGCTGTGACAGAGAATCAGTTACCATTCTAAGCATGCTCCATATGCAAACTATTCAATCTCCACCACCCACTGAGAAGGTATCAGCCTTATTCCTACTTTACAGATGAGCAAACTGAGGGACAGGAAGGCATTCGGTCTGCAGAAGGGCTGCAGCTGGTACTTGGCATGGCTGGCAGACTGCTCAGGGCCCACTCCAGCCATCTGTCTCCTAAACACAGGTGGGGTCTGGCGCCGTCTGCCTGTGCTGTCCTTACCTCTATATTTCTGAAGGTGGAAATCTCCAAGTAGCCTGGCCTTCCTTCGGTTAGGAGGAACAGGCGCTTCTGGGTCATGGCGATCTTGCCAACGCCTAGGTTTGTCTTGACGGAGCTGGACAACTTACACACACACTCGTTTTTATCCAGGTGTTCCATCACCAGCCACGGCAGACTGACCTCCTGGGCTTCTGCTTCCGTCTCCTTCCAGCAGTTGTAGAAATCTTTGAATGTTTCTGGGTCGATTTGTTTCTCCTGTCCTTAGTTTGATAAGAAGAAAAGAGAGGTATCTTACAGCCACATACCTCGGGAGCCCCAAGGGCTTCTCCATGACCTGAAGAAACCGCACACTACCGGAACCCGGCAGCAGGTGGCGCCAGCACTCAGGGCGCTGGATGGAAACTGCCTAGAAGGTTTCCCAGGGCCTTCCCTGCAGCCCAGGTGTGTCCAGCTGTCAAGGGAGGGGCACACGATCTAGGCTGAGCCCGCAGCCCTTTCCAGCCGCCCGCTCTGGGATGGCCACGGGACCTGCTTCAGGTAGTCACAGCAACTCTTACCTTTGGGTAGGAAAGTCCTTCCGGACAAGGACACTCTTCTAATGGGGGCAAAGACCTTCCTCATCACTAGAACTGCTGGCCACTGTCTTGGGGTCACAAGGGGAGCTAGTCCTAGGATGAAGCTAACGCCGGGAAGGTTGGATCCTTAGCGCCGCTGCCCTGCCACTGGGTCGGCCTCTCCTGTAACTGGCCCGACCTCCACACTCTTTGGTTACCAGCAAATCATTGACTTTTGTTGTCTGCAACTGAAATCACCTCCGCTGATGAGAAGCAGTAACCTTCCCACGAGGCCAGCACTCACGGGCTCTGGAGTCAGAGGAGCCTGAGCCTGAAGCCCGCTTCACGACCTTTCACAGAGACTCCTGGCAAGTCGCGGAACGAACCTGCTTATCTGTCAGCGGGAGATGGGACGACCCCTCGGAAATCCCAAGTCCCTGCCGGCAGGTCCTGCCAACTCAAGCCCCTAGCCTGCCTGCTCGGCTCTGCCTCCACCCAGTGTCCCTCTCTCTGTCCCCTGACGTGCAGCAAGTCCCCCTCAGTTCTGCACAGGAAAACCCTCCTCAGTGGCTCCTGCCTTCAGAGCCACCCGCACTCACAGCCTGCTTTGCGTGGCACTCAGAGCCACTTTTCTCAAATGCAGAGAGGAGTTCCCGCTCCCATGTTTAACACTCAGGGCTGCTTCTGTATACCACAGCCACATTCTTCCAAGATTGGGCCCCACCTACCCACCCCACAGCCCAGCCGTACCAAGCATGCTCCCAAACAGGTCGTGTTGTTACACGCACACACACACTCATCCTGCCTGCTCACACCAGGAAACTCCTACCCATCCCTCAACACCCAGGTAGGCATGCCCACGCACGCCTTCCCCGATAAGGCAGAGACATCCTGGCCAGGCCACTGCTGAGCTGCACACCTGCTTCCCTTATGGCACTGCTGTATCCAGCAACACTTGCTACACCCCAAGAACCAGAATCCACTCTATATGGGGTCCCACTGAATCCTTACAGCCACCTTATGAGGTGGCTCATTCAAAAGGGGAAACTGAGACACAGAGAGGAAAGCCCTTTGCCAGCAGACCTGGGCCGTGAGGCTGGGCAGACGGTCTGCCCAGAGCTGGGGTATGCCTTCCCTGCTGGTCGCTGCTTGAAAGGGGAGTACCTGTGACCTCAGATCCTCAGATCCTCAGATCCCGAGTCTGAAACAGCAAAAGACGTGGCTAATGGTCCAGCTCCGCCACGCCCTGTTCCGATTCCATACCAAAGCGTCAACAGCGATGCCTGTCTAGGGAATCCGCTATCATGGCCACAGTTGAGTCCAGGACGACTGAGTCGTCACGGCAGCAACTAAAAGACGACCGCCACAGGAAGGAAGTCGGCGCTGTCACAGGCTCAGGAGGAAATTTCCTCATCTCTTACATCTCACTTCCGAGTCACAGGCACTGCCGGCCCTGCAGGGGTGAGCTGAGCGGGAAGGCAGGCTTCAGCACGCGGCGCAGGCACCAGGTGGTTATGCGAAAATCTCCACCAGGTGGCGGGATTCCCGATGAATTATTCTTTTGGCCCGTCGGTATTTTCTAGTCACCAGATCCAAACAGAAGAGAAATATGCACCAGTAAGGGTCTCTGTAGGCCTAGTGCAATTGTTCCAAAGAAGTCACAGAAGAAGACAAAGGAGGATGCTGTGGCCCAGTGGGCGGGGCCTGTCAGGCCAGGTCTCTGCAGCCCCTGTGCTGGGCAGCAAGGTCATCTGTGAGGTCGCGAAGAGCATGGGGGTCCTCTCCTGACTCTGTACCTAAGATTGTTTGCCAGAGTCTCCCTTCCGTTTTAGAAATAGCACCCAATGCAGCCACCTCCGCCTCTGACTGGGGTGCCTCAGCCACCTCCGCCTCTGACTGGGGTGCCTCAGCCTACACTTCCCAGGGGTTCTGAGTTGCTGGATTTATTTTAGTTTTTATTTTATGTATTTCTTTCTTTTTTTTTTTTTAAATTTAGAGACAGGGTCTTGCTCTGTCACCCAGGCTGGAGTGCAGTGGCGTGATCATAGCTCACTGCAGCCTCGAATTCCTGGGCTCAAGCCATCCTCTAGCCTGGGCCTCTTGAAATGTTAGGATCACAGGCGTGAGCCAAGGCACAGACTCTGGGTTTAAGGCAGAAGCACTTGTTACATGAATCACATCACATAAAGCAATCTTTTGGTCAGGTGGCCAGGCGAGGAGAGGCCCAAGAAACAGGAAAAGGAGAGCAAGTGAGAGTGAATCGGCGAAGCCATCACCTAATGAAGGAGCCAGACACCCTGAGTGTGGAGCCCCAGCCATGGGTCCTGCCCCTTGCGCCGCTCAGGGCAAATCTTCTTGCTGCCTGGTCCACAGCAGTTACTGGGGGGCTTGGCAGGGTGAAGTGTGTGTCACCAGAGCCTGACACAGCTTCTTCTCACAGATAACAGCGCTGACCTCAGTGTGAGGGCGCTCAGGGCTCTAGAAAACCCCAACCAAGGGAGGAGCAGCAACACCAAAGAAGTCCCATCAGGCAAGAAGCAACACTCACCGCAGCTGCCACCAGTGCTCAGCCAGCCTGTGGACACTACGCCACCAGCACTGCAGCAGAACAAGACAGTGCATGCCCAAAGTCACTGTGCAAACCCACCACCGTGCACACCCACAGACACTGTGCACACCCACGGCCACTGTGCACATCCACTGTGCACACCTACCACAGTGTACACCCACACTGTGCACGCCCACAGTCACTATGCACACCCACTGTGCATGCCCACCACCGTGCACGCCCACCACCGTGCACACCCACCACCACTGCGCACACCCACCCTATGCAGCGTGCCCACCACTATGCTCACCCAAGACACTGTGCACACCCACAGACACCGATATGCACACCCACTGTGCACGGCCACCACCATGCACACCCACTGTTCACACCTACCACAGTGCACACCCAGACACTGCACACCACCACCATGCACACCCTCGGCCACTGTGCACACCCACTGTGCATGCCCATCACCATGCACACCAACAGCGTGCACATCTAGGCACTGTGCACGCCTACCACAGTGCACACCCACGGCCACTGTGCACGCCCAGCACCGTGCACACCCACTACTTTGCACACCCATGGCCGCTGTGCACACCTATGGCTACTACGCACACCCACAGCCACTGTGCACACACACCAACACTGCACACTTATGACCACTGTGCACATCTGTGGACACCAGGCACACTCATGAGCCCATGTGATCCACAGCAGCTGTCATGCACGCAGTTGTTGCACACGCCCACGTAGACACAATGCCCAGTCCTCATTTGTCTCCAGTTTCACACAAACACCAGCCGTTAACCTCTCTCTCGTCACCCACACGCCTCCAATACAACTGTTCCTGCTCAGCTAGGTGGCGTGCAGGCAACGTCACCATTGGAGCTGCCCATGGACGTCTTGCTTCTGCACGGCCATGCTGGAGGTGGCAGACATGTCAGCGTCCCTGGGGAAGGCCACCTCACGGGCAGCTGCAACAGGGAGCATATTGGCCTTGCACTGTTAATAGCATATTTTGCCATTAAAGTATGTAATGATGAAATTGCAATATATTTTTCAATAAAATCTCTGATGTATTCTTATATCACATAAATTTGTCCAAAGATGGTGACATTGAGCTCTGACCAAACCTTGTTGTTTTTTTTAACAAATGCCCATTTGGCCAAAACATGTATTAGGTGCTGCTTTACATTGGTAACTTCAGGCTCACATATCCCAGAATCAAGACCATTTCCTAACCTAATCGGCAACGTAAGCAAGGCCAAAGTGACAACAGGGCCACTGATGGCATTATCACAAGCAGCCAGGTCTGCTGGACAGGGCCCACGCACCCTTCCCGGGCTCCCTTGCAACTGGGCGGCCACATGACACGATTCTGCCCAATGAGAGGAAACAGAAGGCACTGTGTGGCGGGGGTGGGGGTGCCTCAAAAGATGGACGGACCCTGCTCTTGCGGTGCTGATGCCCACGGGCTGGCTCGTGACCGGGAGACAGCAGGCCGCTCCAGGCCACAGAGGAGTGACAGAAGGAGCTGGCGCTAGATGACACGGAGGAGCCTCCATGCATGCCCTGGACTCCTGTCATGTGAGAGACAGTCACCCCCAGTGGGATTCAGCCCCTGCCCTGCCCCCCAGGTGGCTCCTGGGTGGTGCTCATCATCCGCAGGAGCTCGATGGAAGTGGGGCCCACCCCGCCCTGCCTGGCTGGTGCAGCATCTCAGCGTCCCCGAAGCACGGCACAGGGAGTGACCACAGAGCATCTGAGCTCACCCTCATCGGACTCCACAACTGGGACCAGTGAGGCCACGATCTGATGGCTTCTGAGCTCACCCTTATCAGACTCAACAACAGGGATCAGTGAGCGCACAATCTGATGGCTTCACCACGCAGGGAGAGGTACAGCGCGCGCACACACGCACACTCGCACACATATACACACATACACATTTTCACACCCACACACATTCATATACACACATACACACTCATACACACACTCGGCCATGACATCCCTCAGAGCCCACGGGCACGATAAGCAAGGAAACTGCATTCCGCAGCGCTTGTTTCACAGCCGGAAGAGAGACCTGCCGGGCCTCTGTCACCAGGACAGCTTTTCCCAAGGGCCTGAAGAGCCCTACACATCCCTAAGGAAAGGACAAGCAGCCCAAGATAAAAATGGGCAAAGACCATGACAACACAGCTCACAGAAAAGAAACCAGAACTGCTTCCAAGCACGTGCACTGTTTGTGACGTCAGTGTGGCATCCTTGCAGGCTCACAACGGGCGAGAGTCGAGACTGAGGAATGTGTGCTGCCTGGGAGCATGGAGGCGCGGCCCCCGCCAAGCCCGACTGACGGTTCTCACATCTCAAAGCAGGCCTTGGGTACACATCTCAGAGGAACTGACCCACACATACTCCAGGAAACAGGTGCGACACCACTGATGGTGAAACAGGTGGACAAATGGTGCCCACACACTACATACAGCACAGGCAGTGGTTGAAGTGAATGAACCCAACGGATGTGGAGCAACACAGATACGTCTTGAAAACACCATGAGTAAAACAGCACGTGCAAACTCAGACATACGGTGTGACAATTCCCATTCTCCCATTTTTGTGTTTAAACTCACGACCACTAGGTACCGCGTCAGGTGCATCCATTTGTAGTAAATGCATAAAAACATGGCCAGAAAAGAAAGCTCCAGCTTCGGACAGTGGCTCCCTCTGGGGAGGGAGGGAGAGAGGCACACGGAGCCCCCGCTGGGTCTAAGCACAAGCCCACTGCACTCCATGGGAAACGCAGCAGGTGTTAGTCTGGGCGCAGGACCCTGGCATTTGTCCCACGTCCCCGCTTTTGCATGTGTCTGCAGCATTTCAGCCGAGGCCATGGTTCTGTGCAGATGCTGAGCAATTCTCCCGGACAAGGAGCGTCTTCATCTCCCATCAGCAATTCTAGGTCCCTTCCACCCACACAGAGCGCAGCTCAGAGCCCAGCCTGGAGACAGGCTGTGTAAGATCTCAGGACAGGCACATTGCCTAAGGGCCCCGCCAACCACACCCGTTCCCAGGTAAGTGCCCAGGGCAACTGTAAAGACCACGGTGCTGCAGCGGTCTTGCCTGCCACCTGCTGGCGGCTTACCTCACCACTGCTGTTACCTGACCACTGTCGTTAAGCATTTAAAATATATAGGGTCAGGCGCGGTGGCTCACGCCTGTAATCCCAGCACTTTGGGGGGCCAAGACAGGTGGATCACCTTGAGGTCAGGAGTTTGAGACCAGCCTGGCCAACATGGTGAAACCCTGTCTCTACAAAAATACAAAAATTAGCTGGGTGTGGAGGCGCATGCCTATAATCCCAGCTACTCAGGAGGTTAAGACAGGAGAATCACTTGAACCCAGGAGGCAGAGGTTGCAGTGAGCCAAGATCGTGCCATTGTACTCCAACCTGGGAGACAGAGCAAGACTCCATCTCATAAATAAAGTAAAATAAAATATATGGGCCCAACGCAGAGGCTCACTCTTGTAATCTCAGCACTTAGGGAGGCCGAGGTGGGTGGATCACTTGAGCCCAGGAGTTCGAGACCAGCCTGGGCAACATACTGAAACCCTGTCTCTACAAAAAATACTAAAATTAGCCGGGCACGGTGTCGCGTACCTGTAGTCTAGTCCCAGCTACTCGGGAGGCTGAGGTGGGAGGACTGCTTGAGCCCAGGAGGTGGAGGTTGCAGTGAGCTGTGATTGCCAGTCCACTCCAGCCTGGGCGACAGAGCCAGACCCTGTCTCTAAATAATAAAATCTGTGATGGTGCCAGGCCTCCTCTTACCTACAGTCAAGGCCTCGAACAGCCGGTGTATGATGCTGGCGTCCTTCACGATCCCTGACTCCTGGACCCGCTTCATGAAGTCGCCCAGCTGCATGTGCTTCTTGGGCAGCTTGAACTTCTTCACGTGGTCGTCCAGCTTCGAGGCCTCGTGCGGCTTGTCCAGGATCTCGCTGATGAGCCTCATCAGCTCCGGCGCCTGCTCAGCCCCCTCCCACTCAGGGGCAGACATGGATTCCACCGTCCTCTTCACCAAATCAGTGGGAAAGATCCGTATGTCTGTTTTATACAGATTCTGGAAGTCCAAGAGGGCGTTCAGCAGCTGTCCCTGCATCAGATAAACGAGCCCTCGGAGGTACAAATAGCGGGCCAGGAGCAGAGAGTTATCGGGGGCCAGAAAGCACATGGCCTCGCTCAGCATGGAGACAAAGTGGGCATGGTATGCCTGCACGCACTTGCTCTCCAGCGGAAAGTGGATTTCGGGAATCTTGAATGTATACGGGGACTTCGGCGTGACATTCAGAACTAAAACATTCAGGGGGAAAAGGAGACCATTAGCACAGACCTTCCAAATGAACACGTGTCCCTGTCACATCATCTTGTCAAGGACAATGTTTCTCTGGATGCAAAATAAAATGAGAATGGGTGTGCTCCCTCCAGAAAGCTCCACACACCCACCCCCCTGGGAGGCATGAGAGAACCCTCACTTTGCTTCCATGGTACCCCAAGGAGAATAGCAGCTAGCATTCACTGAACAATTTGGTTTGCTACAACTAGTAATACTACTGAGGTATCGGGTACTGAGGCTTTATTTGAGGATGAAGCTAATAGCCTAAGCCAAGATGTACCTGCTAGGCAGGATGAAGCCCTTTAGAACCATTGTTTCATTTACCTTAAAGACAACTCAGGACAGGGGTATTATTACTATAGTCCCGTTCTACAGATGCGGAAACCGAGGCTTCCACAGCCTGGGTTACTTGTCCCAGGTACACAGCGACTAAGTGCCTGAGCCACACTTCAACCAGGTGTGTGTCTCACACCAACTCCTTCTATAGATGTTACCTAAGGGCCCTCCAGGAGCTAGGCACCAACTGGGTGCTGGGTTTCCTCTTCTCCCAGGAGCTCCAGAGGACCAAGAGAGCAGGAGGAGGGTCATGGGGGCTCCAGGGGAAGGTTCCGAGGGCAGGGAAAGCGGAGCATGCTCCCAGGGTGAGTGGGCACAGGGCACCTGCCAGCGGCAGACTGACAGATGTTCAGAAGAGGAACTGCAGAACCAGGGAGGTGAAGCTGCCTGCCCAGGGTCACACAGCCAGGGGCAGAAGGCTCGGACCCCACAGTGGCCTCCAGAATGTTCGCTCTGAGCTCCAGCGCTCAGCCGATAAAGACAACGTGGTCTGTCATTCATGCGCACTGCCCCTGCTAGACCATAGCCCTCGGGGTCATCAAGGTGTCACTCGTGCAGCTCCTGGGGTCCCAGCACAGTGATCAGGAGGAGCCACATGGTACTTGCTGCCTGGGCCCGAGACAGCAGCAGCAGGTGCCCTGGGGGTCAAGGCCCCGGCCTCCCGACAGTTTCTCCCATTCACTAGGGACAGGACGTACCTCCCCAAGAAGGCGCGAGGCTGGGCTTGGCCTCTCCATGCAGTCCCATCTCTGTGGAAATGTCCCAACCACAGTCAAGCCCCCTCCCCATCCCTGGCCCTGCTCACTTTAGCCCTGGCCCTGGAATGCCAGCTCCACGAGGGCAGGGGCACTGGGCTCCTTCACAGCTCCGGCTCTAGAAAGTGCCTGGTGCGCTCCCTGCCTCCTATCACACGTGTGGATGTGTAAATATGTATTTATACACATGCAATCCACACATACAGAGACAGGCACAGCCTACACCTGTGAAGGATGCCGAACCATGCCGAGCCCCCGTTATCTTTAGCGGTGACACTGGGTGGCAGAAAATACAGACGAGAAATAATTTTCTAGAAGGCATACCTTGGCAAAATGAATATTCTAAACATTTCAAATAACTCAGCTGCTAAAACAAGCCCACTCGTCTCTCCTGAAACAAGTCCCAGTTTTGCTCAATGACTTGCAGGTGCAGGAATGGTGGGACCGACACACAGCACCACAGTGGGGGGCAGCCCTCACCTGCGCTGCTGCCCCTACAGCCTGCGGTGTCCGTCAGCCGGAGCGAGGAGTTCCTGGGTGCCAGCTCAGGCATGGCAATGTCCTGCAGGTTGGGCATGCTGACCACCATGCGCCTGTGGGTGACATGCAGGTGCGAGGACTTCCGGGAGGCTCTTTTCTCAACGGTCGGTCTCCTTGGACTTAGAAGCATTCCATTTATTCTGGGGTACGAAAAAGCAACGCGTTAGTTTATAGACACAATAATGATTGAAGAATAAGCCTAAACTAAGCATTTTTCCCAGTGTGATGAAGAGCACATGACACTCTTGGACACCAGTGGAAAACAGACTGGTAAGAACATGTTGCCCAAATCTCACCAAGTGCAGCCTCAGGGGGACCCAGACACAAGCCCAGAAGAAACCAGCATAAGCCAACAGGGGCCCTGACTGCAGCAGACACATGTTGGAGGGGGCTCAGGAAGAGAGCAAGGAAGAGATGGAAAACAGCAGGCTTTGAGGATGGGGGGAGGTGGGAAGAGAGAAAGGAGATGAGAGAGAGCAGCACCGAGGAAGACGCAAGGGCCACAAACCACGGGGAGCATGCTAACATCGGGCACGTTTCAAGTGTTCCCTCAAGAAGTAGAAACAGGCCAGGAGTGGTGGCTCATGCCTGTAATCCCAGCACTTTGGGAGGCTGAGGTGGGTGGATCACCTGAGGTCAGGAGTTCAAGACCAGCCTGGCCAACATGGCGAAACCCCATCTTTACAAAAATACAAAAATTAGCCGGGCATGATGGTGGGTGCCTGTAATCCCAGCTACTCAGGAGGCTGAGGCAGGAGAATTGCTTGAACCCAGGAGGCGGAGGTTGCAGTGAGCGGAGATTGAGCTACTGCACTCCAGCCTGGGCAACAAGAGCGAGACTCCGTCTCAAAAAAAAAAAAAAAAAGAAGAAGTAGAAACATGGAGAGAAGAGCTTCCTAGCTGTCGCCCAGTTCATCATGAGTTTCTAAGCACAAGGTATTTCCCATTGACTTTCTCATTTACTCATTCGAATAAAACTGAGGTCCTTGAACACTGTGATTCCTAAAGAGCTGCAGATCCAAAACACAACAGTGAAGCACCTGTCCTCCTCCGACTGGGTGTCGAGGTCCATCTGAGCAAAGGCGTCCATCCTCCTATTGAGCCGGGCTTTAAGAAAAGAATGGAACATGTAGGTGTCTAAGACCTGGAAAAGAGAGAGGGGCTGGTCACTGGGCTGTGCCGACTCCCCAGGTCCCTGCTCCAAAGCCCCTGAGCCTTCCTGGCACAGAACTGGGCATCACCACTCACACCCAGTGGATATTGACTGAGTGAATGAACTCGAGGGTTTTCTGCTCTTCCTCATTCACACAGGAGAAGAAATGGCTGCCATACATTCACACACTGGGTCCCACATACCCACCCCATGAACAAAAGAGTATTTCATCATAGCTACAAGAGGTGGACACAAGCTTCTGGCCATAAGGCAGTAGACAAGGCTCAGACATATCCTCCTGACATAAACTATGAGGAAACTCGATAAAAAAGAGGAAACGACTGTTTTCAGATGCTGGACGAGAGGCAGGCTCGTGGCTGGCGCAGCTCCAGCACTGAGGGCATGGAGGGAGCTCACAGAGGCTGAGGCAGCTGGAAGCCTCGGGCAGGGCTCTGGAGAGGAGGGAATGATACAGGGAGCTCCCGGAGCCTGCATCAGGGTCTCCCTAAGCCTTTGCTGAATACCCCGCTGCCCAGTCATAGGGCGAAACCGCATCAAACCAAAGAACGACTGGGAAGCTGTAAGCAAAACAACTCTCCAAGCTCACAGGGCAGAGAGCCAGTCACGCTCCCAACAGCCAAGGCGGAGGGCCCTGGCTGACCCCTCAGCCATTCAGGAGACACCCGGGGCAGGGTACGTCACTTAGCAGATGGGTTAGGCTATAAACCAACCCTAGAGAAAGGCTGTTCTCGGCCCACCCCAAAGCTGTAAAAACAAACCCCCAAAGGATCAAGGGGCTCTTCAGGCAGCTTCAATCGCCTGCCAGGGCAAAGCCCCCAAGGTGATTATTTTTTTGTAATAGTCACAAATGGAAACAACCCCAATGCTCAGTAGCAGGTGGACAGAAGAACAAAGCGCACTCTGTCCCAACCACGGGACATTCCTAGCAAAAAAAGGAGCCGCCGCTGAGACACACAGTAGCCCAGCTCGGTCCGAGGCAGGAGGCTGAGGGAGAGAGGCAGACAGAGCGCAGACCGCAGGACTGCACAGCGCAAGACTCTGAGATGGGCCAGCCGTCTACGGGGATGCACACAGGTAGAGTTGCCAGGACCTGGGGAGGGATGGGGCAGACTGGAGCCATGGAAATGTTCTATGTCCAGGTTGAGGAAGTGGTGATACAGATATGTACATTTGTCAAAATCCATCAAACCACACACTTAAAATGGCCATATTTTAAGTAAATTATACTTTTTTTTTTTTTTTTTTTTTGAGACGGAGTCTTGCTCTGTCGCCCAGGCTGGAATATAGTGACACCATCTTGGCTCACAGCAACCTCCACCCCCTGGGTTCAAGCAATTCTCCTGCCTTAGCCTCCTGAGTAGCTGGGATTACAGGCGTGCACTACCACACCCAGCTAATTTTTGTATTTTTAGTAGAGATGGGATTTCACCATGTTGGCCAGGCTGGTCTCGAACTCCTGACCTCAGGTGATCTGCCCGCCTCGGCCTCCCAAAGTGCTGGGATTACAGGCATGAGCCACTGTGCCTGGCCACAAGTAAATTATACTCTTAAAAAGCTGATTTTTTTAAAAAAGAGGGAGAGCCACATGGTCAAAAGGAACCATGCTAAAACAAACTTTTTGGAAAAGTTGATACACTTGAGAACACTTATTTTGAAAAGTATTTAAATACAGAAAAGGATAATGGATTGAACACACACAGGCACACCCAAATCCCACAGCTCTCACCTGCTTATAAAACTGATGGTCCCCTGGAGCCCTGGTTTTGAGAAATTCTTCACTATTAAAGACTCTGTGTTCATAGTTTAAATGATTCTTTACATCCCTAACAAAGAGAAAGAGAGTCTGAGTGCTAAAACTTTCTTAAATACATGAAAAATATACCACTTTTAGTAGCAGAGAAATGGTTAGAAGAGATACGAACTTTGAAAAAGCCATGTTCTTCAGAAAGATTCTTGATTACCAAAATGATACGATGTGGATGTATTTTGTGGTCAAGCATAAATTTCCCCCAGCTAGAACGAAAGTACAGGAGGCAGTGTTCCTGTTCTCACCTTCCTCCAGCCCACTAGTTCCTTATGCAAATTAAGACACAAAAGTCAGTTGCGGTCCACACACATGAAACTGAGTTCAGGGTGGGGAGCCCAGAGGGGCAGCCAGACTCTCCAAGTGCTGACCAGCTCGGCCGCCAGCCTTCCCGGACAAGTCACTTCACCTCTGTGTTTGTTTGTCTGTTTGTTTGTTTAGACGGGGTCTTGCTCTATGGCCCAGGCTGGAGTGCAGTGGCACAATCTTGGCTCACTGCAACCTCCACCTCCCAGGTTCAAGTGATTCTTCTGCCTCAGCCTCCCGAGTAGCTGGGACTACAGGTACACACCACCATGCCTGGCTAATTTTTATATTTTTAGTAGAGATGGGGTTTCACCATGTTGGCCCTCAGGTGATCCACCCACCTCGGCCTCCCAAAGTGCTGGGATTACAGGCGTGAGCCACCGAGCCCGGCCCACTTCACCTCTTTGTACCCGGTTTCCTCAGATCATGTTACAAACTCGCGATTTTAGCACATGATCTCCCAGATCTAAAGTAATATATAAATAGAATGAATAACCTTACAGGGCATACTTAGTACGTAATGTGTTCAGTGTTTTCTTGGAGAGAATAAATTATTTCATCTAGGGGAAATAAAGTTTTATCATATGTAATCATATTTTCTGCCTCTTTTTTTTAAAGAGCCGGGATCTTGCTATGTTGCCCAGGCTGGTCTCAAACTTCTAGGCTCAAGGGATCCTCCCACCTCAGCCTCTGGAGTGGCTGGGACTATTCTGCTTTTCTGTCAACTCATTGAGTTTGTAAAATATTAAGAAATTAAAAAAAAATTGTTCATAAGATATTTCATCTTCAAAGAACAAAAGGAAAACAACATATTTAGGACCCCACTAATTATGCCTCTTTGAGCAGAGATAATATCACATGTCTGTAATACACCATCCCATTTTTTCCTAATAAATTATTCGCTTTATGCAAACAAATACATCAAAAGAATAGGCCATTCAGGCTGGGCGCTATGGCTCACACCTGTAATCCCAGCACTTTGGGTGGTCGAGGCAGGAGGATCACCTGAGGTCAGGAGTTGGAGACTAGCCTGGTAAACATGGTGAAGCCCTGTCTCTACTAAAAATAGAAAAAATTAGTTAGGCGTGGTGGTGGCAGGCGCCTGCAGTCCCAGCTACTTCAGAGGCCGAGGCAGGAGAATTGCTTAAACTTGGGAGGCGGCAGTTGCAGTGAGCCCAGATGGCGTCACTGCATTCCAGGCTGGGTGACAGAGTGAGACTCCATCTCAAAAAAAAAAAAAAAAAAAAGGCCACTCAAATTTCCATTTTGAAATAATCACGCAGAGTACGATCAAGCCAGCAGGCTCTGTGCTAACCACCTCCCAAAGCGGAAGGCCCCTCAAGAACAGAGGAGGCCAGCATCGGGGGTGCCTCCTTCACTGCTGGACTCAGGGAGCAACCAGCAAGAAGGAGAGGAAGAACACTGCCAGAGAAAAGGAGAAAGGGTGGGAGAAGCCCAAAGGCTTTTGCATTAAAAAGTACTTATCTATGAAGCTATCATTTTTGCCATACATTCCTTAAGTGACTGCCTATTTAGGCCAGAAATAGCAACTCAATACCTGTACTGTATCACACTGAAATAAACACACTTGACTTGTCCACTTAACCAATTCCAGCTCAGGTGCTGGGGAAGCAATAGCATGCAGGAGGTAGCTAATGCTGTAATTAGTGGAATGAGGAGAAAGAAAACTTGCTAACAGGCACATCTTGAGTGCCCCACCCGTCCTGTGGCTCTCCCATAGATGGTTTCATGATCTAGCTTATGAGTCACATCAAAATGGCCTGTCTGTCCCTCACTAGCCCCTGGATGCAGGCCTCTCGGGACAGAGCCCTCCACGGACTGAGCCAGAGCCCGGAGCCAGCACAGGCCAGAGTGACAGGTGCTCCCTGCAGGTTTATCAGATTTGCGTCTTCCTAGAGGGCTGTCCCAAAACAGCCACCTGCAGGGGGTCACCAGGAGAGGGCGTTAGTAAGGTAGTAAGGCACAGTCACCAGCAGGAGAAGCTGTTAGGAAGGCAGTCACCAGCAGGAGAGGGTGTTAGGAAGGCACAGGCAAGGTCAGAATCAAAAGAACAAACTCCCTGTAACTGCTGATTGTTACAGTCACAAGAAAAGCTTTGGCAGGGGGCGGGGACCACTCATGTTTGCCAGGCAAATGGTACTAATGGCCTGCCCTCTGGGGCGGGGTGCACGATCCCCATAGAATGGATGGCTGGCTGGTTACCTCCTCATGGACACTGGGAATGTTCTCTCACGTACCTGAAGATGCTCACGAGCAGCTGCAGGGTGGTCTGCTGTATCTGGCAGTTGAGTTTCTGCTGCCAGGACCGCCGGTGGGCTCGGCCCTCCTTCAGGTCTGTGCTGGAGAGGAGGTGGGCGGCGTGCAGCTCATGGTGGAGCTGGAGGCTCTGCACCCTGGAAGGAGGCAGACCGAAGCTAGCTCAGCCCCAGCAGCACTGGCCACGGCCGCTCACCAGCACACAGCCCACCAGGTAAATGAACACTTCACAGACACAAATACCGATCAATAATTTGAGGGGCGGGTGGTCATTAAAGTACATCACTGGGGCTGGACGCGGTGGCTCACGCCTGTAATCCCAGCACTTTGGGAGGCCGAGGTGGGTGGATCACCTGAGGTCAGGGAGTTCAAGACCAGCCTGGCCAACATGGTGAAACCCATTCTCTACTAAAAATACAAAAATTAGCCAGGCATGGTGGCAGGCACCTGTAATCCCAGCTACTCGGGAGGCTGAGCCAGGAGAATCGCTTGAACCTGGGAGGTGGAGGTTGTAGTGAGCCGAGATAGTGCCGCTGCACTCTAGCCTAGGCAACAGGAGCGAAACTCTGTCTTAAAAAAAAAAAAAAAAAAATACATCGCTGGAAGACTGGAAGAGTGGATTCACCTCCACACATGGACTCACATGGGCCTCGACTTGGACTATGCACACTTCACCCAGGCCAGCTCATTCCTGTCCTGCCACTGCAGTGAGGGCACTCCCCCTTCTAGGTCACCAAAGGCTTCCAGGTCAGGCTGCCTCTTGACGGGTCACTCATGGCTGCCTAGAAGGGACAGTCACAGCTCCCCCATGGCTTCCCCTCTGTACTTCCTGCCCAGGCAGGATCAGATGCCCCTCTGTGCCCTGCAACAAACGTCCCGGGTGTCACCACTCTTGGCCCACCAGGAGATGGCCAAAGGCTCACCCCAGAGGGCCTCACTCAGGGACAGGAACTCACAGATATCTGTCAACCCTGAGCCACCATGAGATTGGACCCCTGGCCTTCCCAACACCACTAAAGGCTGCATGTCTAGAGGGACGTTAGAAATATACAAAATAAACAGAACCAACGCATATCTGGTCACACATATTTCTTGAGCACCTACTGTATGCCATACACTGATCTGTGTGCTAGGGATGGGTGGTGGACACAGGCCAAGCCCCTGCCTGCGTGGCACTTCCATGTGAGTGGGAGGAAGTAGGAAAAGAGACAAATCAAGAAAACAGGAGATAATGAGGACATCAGGCAGAAACGCACATCACAGCGATGGGCTAGAGAGACACGGCAGTCAGACTGAGCGGGCAGAGAAGAGTTCTCCCAGGAGACGACCTGGAACCGGAGATGTGACAGGAAGACACAGACGGGGGACTTGATGGACCCAGTGCGGCCCAGCATGGTAGGGGGAGTGGGAGTGTGGGCCAGGTCAGCATGGCCGGCAGGAGCCAATCTTCTCTGTGATGGGAAGGGTGCACTGGCCACAGGCCCCTGCCGCTGCCTGACCCTCCTGGAGGCAGGGACAGGAAAAGGGAAGAACGGGATTCTGGGTGGAGTGGCCCACCAGGGGATGGTAGCAGGCAGGCACGCGGTGCCAGGGCCAGGACCAGGGTTCTCTCCAAACGTGCTGAGCAGCAGCTGCTGAGGGGCCAGCCCAGCCCTGGCTGACCAGACTCACAGGACTTGGGCAACTACCCTTGCCTAGATGGGTCTCAAGAACTGTGATGTTTACCAGCACCAAACTGGCCTTTCATCTGAAAGAACACGCAGAATGCCAGGGAAAGAAATTTTGATGACTTTCCTCATGTAAAAAGGGCTATGATGCCACCTGGAGTGGCAGCTTCTCTTACTGCATCTTCTGGTGCAGGGACAGTGGGGTCTGAAGGAGATGGCCATCCCCTCTCCCGGAACCCCATGCCTCCCTCACCCAAGCACGCAGCCAGCATAGCCCTGAGCTGGCGACCCTACCCCTGCTGCCCAGGGAGAGAGCGACTTCCATCAGAGATGAAGACAGCAGTGAAGAGAGTGACCAAGAGCCAAGGGTGCTGGGGAAAGCTGGGCAAGGAGGGGGCTGCCCCGTCCCTCCCAGCCACACGCTCACGTGCAGAGAGATGCATATTGTACTCCAGAGCCCCTTGAGCAGGCACCCCAACGACACCGCAGCCCACAACCTGTATCATGAGCTCAGAGGCCTCTTATAGACAGGTCACCCATGGCACAGGGATTAGCTTGTGTTTACAAAAGAGTCTCCAAAAATGAGGCTGTGGGAGACACGACATCCTGCATCCCCATTCTGGGGGATCTAGCCAAAGCGGGGCCCAGCCTCCGTATCGTGTGTGTTTCTATTCCGGAATTCTAACAAGAAGATGAGGATGCAGGCAGAATCCTACCTTCCTGGGAATGCTCAGAGCTTCAACACAGTCTCACAAAGCTCAGTTCTATTACAGAATGTCACGCTCTAAAAGTCAAGGAAGCAGCTGTGGCTTACCAGAAAGTAACTGAGATGATTGGGAAAGCACGTGTCTCCTTCAAAGTTCGCGCAGAGGACAGTTGCCAACAGAACAGCTGCTCAGGTGCCCTTGGCTGGGGAGGAGAGCCCAGCGATTCCACAGCCCAAGCAAGCAGAAACCAGCCTTGCCTGTGCAGGACCATCGCTTGGCTTTAAGGCCTTAGGGAATTTTTTAAGATGCAAGAACAATAATAAAGGTAGTTCTCCGACTGGGCGCGGTGGCTCACGCCTGTAATCTGAGCACTCTGGGAGGCCCAGGCAGGTGGATCACCTGAGGTCAGGAGTTCGAGACCAGCCTGGCCAACATGGTGAAACCCTGTCTCTACTGAAAACACAAAAATTAGTCGGGCATGGTCACAGATGCCTGTAATCCCGGCTACTCCGGAGGCTGAGGCAGGAGAATCGCTTGAACCTGGAAGGCGGAGGTTGCAGTGAGCCAAGATCACGCCACTGCACCCCAGCCTGGGTGACAGAGCAAGACCCTGTCTCCAAAAAAAAAAAAAAAAAGAGGTAGTTTTCCTAAACATTTTTCAGAAACCTTCCAGGTAGAAGGAATAATCCACACCAAGGTAAGAGTCAGAAATCAGAAAAGCCAGGTGAAAGGCCAGGCCAGAAACCGCCCTCCTCCTTCCCACTCCTCCCAATGCAGACAAAGGAAGGCGAAGAGAAGAAAGGTGATGGCTGACTGAAATCCAGACTGCATCACAGGCTTCACCAGAAGCAAGTACAGCCCGGCTGTTTGCAAAAAGCCTAAGCGCTCCCCTCCCTCCAGCGTCACCTCCACGACCGCACTCAGGGCCTGGCTGCAGTTGGACCCACAGGTTGTGAGGACTCAAGAGCAGGATCTCTCCTCCTGCTATCATTTTATAAAATGCTGAAGGGAAAAATGAGCTCCGCAGAGCAACCCCGAGGGAGCCCTGGCACTGAAGCTGAGTCACTGCTTGGGGCACACCCAACACCTCCGTCCTGACGTAATTAGCAATTACACCTCCTCTCACCCTCCCCTGACCAAAGTCCCTGCCAAGCCTTTGCACCTCGACAGAGACCTCAGAGCCCCAAAGCATGAAATATTATTTGACACTTGTTGGAAAAAGTTTGCTGACGCCTGATCTAAGCCAATGAGGTTGAGTAACAGAGATGAAAGAAAACATAAACTATAAAACGGTGTGAAAAAATTAAGTGCCAGGCCGGGCACAGTGGTTCATGCCTGTAATCCTAGCACTTTGGGAGGCTGAGGTAGGCAGATTACAAGGTCAGGAGTTCAAGACCAGCCTGGCCAACATAGTGAAACCCATCTCCACTAAAAATACAAAAAATTAGCCAGACGTGGAGGTGCAATCCCAGCTACTCGGGAGGCTGAGGCAGGAGAATCGCTTGAACCCAGAAGGCAGAGGTTGCAGTGAGCCAAAATTGCGCCACTGCACTCCAGCCTGGGCAACAGTGCGAGACTCCATCTCAAAAAAAAAAAAAAAAAAGGAAAGAAAAAGAAAAGATAAAGTGCCAATACAGTGGCGGGAGTGAAAGAAATGGACAACTTCTAGCTCGGACAGAATGCGTCATGCCCATCAGAACCCAGCAGACAAACTCAAGGGGCAGGGGCCATGGCTGTCCTGTCATTAGTACACAGGCACTGCCCAATTCCGGGTATACGACGGGTATGCAATACACATCTAGTGAATGAATGAATGAATGAATGAGTGAATGAATGAATGAATGGATAGGGAACTTCAAGGATCACAGGCACAGGATCCTGGGGCACAGCACAGAGGTTGAGTAGGTTTCCTCTCAAGAGACAGGATGTGACTGTCTCTTGACTTGAAGTAACATTCAGACAAGATTGGAATAAAGACAAATCACTTTCATTTCAAAATATTCATGGCCAGGTGCGGTGGCTCACACCTGTAATCCCAGCACTTTGGGAAGCCAAGGTGGGCAGATCACTTGAGGTCAGGAGTTTAAGACCAGCCTGGCCAACATGGTGAAAACTGAAAATACAAAAATTAGCCAGGCATGGTGGTGGGCGCCTGTAATCCCAGCTACTTGGGAGGCTGAGGCAGGAGAATCGCTTGAACGTGGGAGGCAGAGGTTGCAGTGAGCCGAGATTGCGCCACTGCACTCCAGCCTGAACAACAAGAGTGAGACTCAATCTCAGAAAACAAAATTCACAAATAATTTCCAAACTATAATATATAAAACATCTATCAGTTATATAAAATTGGAAAAGATACTCGAAGTGGCAAATACAGAATCTGAACAAAGACGGTCTGAAATTCATACCATTAATGTTTCCCGTTACCTCTGAATAAACGTCTGGGCTGCCAGGAGGGGGACATCAGGAATGTCCACGTTATCGTCCGTGGACTTGGAGTAGGTGATGCTCCCATGATCAATATTTATCAGAACTAAACCGTCGGCTTCCTAGAAAACAAGGAATCATCTGTAAAGATTGATAAAAGAATTTCGGAATTTGTATACCTCTTTGAAAACACATAAATATGTTTTGAGTTCACTAAGACAGTGTCATCATTAATTAAATGACCCTCTTTAAAATGCACACATAGGCCGGGTGCAGTGACTCATACCTGTAATCCCAGCACTTTGAGAGGTCAAGGCAGGCAGACTGCTTGAGCCCAGGAGTTTGAGACCAGCCTGAACAACACAGTGAGACCCTGTCTCTACAAAAAATTTAAAAGAAATTAGCCAGGTGTGGTAGCACATGCCTATGGTCCCAGCTACTTGGGAGGCTGAGGCAGGAGGATCCCTTGAGCCCAGGAGGTTGAGGCCGCAGTGAGCCGAGATCACACCACTGCACGGAAGCCTGGGCAACAGAGCAAGACCCTGTCTCAAAAAATAATAATAATAATAAAATAAAATAAATGCACACATAGCCTCATATTTTCTACACAAAAATCTAGTATATATCATGAGCTATGTTAATGGGCTAAATTTGATTAAATATGCCTTTCTCTTATTTTTCTTAATTGTGGTAAAATAAACATAAACTGTGTCAACGTAACCAATGTTAAGCGTGCAGCTCGACAGTGTAAGTGCATTCGAGTGGTTGTGCAAGCATCTCCCCCAGCCATCCCCAGAATGTTTTCATCATCCCAAAACTGAGACTCACTATCCAGCACAGCTCCCAGCCTCCCCTCCACAAGCCCACTAATCTGCTTTCTGTCTCCATGAATTTGACTCCTCTAGGGACCTCAAATGAGTGGATTCACGAACAGCATTTGTTCTTTTGGGACTGGCCTATTTCACTCCACGTTGATGTCTGTGAGGCTCACCCATCTGAGGCATGTGTCAGAACATCCTTGCTTCTTCAGCCTGAATAGTCCATTATTTGGAAAGACCACATTTTGCTTACCCATATGCCTTTCTCTTTCAGTGAAGATTCCAACACAGGCTGGGTGCAGTGGCTCATGCCTGTAATCCCAACACTTTGGGAGGCCGAGGTGGGTGGATCACCTGAGATCAGGAGTTTGAGACCAGCCTGGCCAACATGGTGAAACCTCGTCTCTACTAAAAATACAAAAATTACCCAGGCATGGTGGCGTGTGCCTGCAATCCCAGCTACTCAGGAGGCTGAGGCAGGAGAATCGCTTGAACCCAGGAGGCGGAGGTTGCAGTGAGCTGAGATCGTGCCATTGCACTCCAGCCTGGGCAACAAGAGCGAAACTCCATCTCACAAAAAAAAAAAAGAAAAAAAAAAGATTCCAATACATGTTGTTGACAAGGTTTCTCCTACCCTGGAACAAACACTGCATGTACTGCTTTTTGGGAGTCTTGGAGGGAGCATTCCAGAACTCCAGTGAGGGCACCACCAACCTCCAACATCCACTGTGTTGGCTCAGCTCCCCAGCCAGCTCCGCCCCTCCAAGCACCAGAGCATGGGCAGGGGCCTGGGCTAAGAGACCGCGTAGCCCTGGAATATTTGAGATATGCACATGATGACTTGGAGAGGCTCCTGTGACAGAGTACACAAATACTGAGTCACGCACCCGAGCCCTGCACTTCAACAGCCCCGGAATGCAATGCCAGGTTCCTGGGGAAGGCCCCGACTCCCCGGCTCTCATTCTGGGCCCCGCCCTTTGGAGTGCAGTTCAGGTGGCTACATGAAATATGTGCAAACACATTCTTGGCCTCAAAACCTTACAAGGCAAATACACAAAACGCTAAAGCAGCGAGGCACACAGCCGGTCCCGTGGATGTGTTAACGCCCAGCGTCTTTGGGAGACACAAGTGTTTGGTGGAGGCGCATAGGGTCACTGCCAGCTCCTTCCTGCAGATCCCACCGCCAGCCACAAAACACAAAAACAAAACACCCAAACAAATCCAGAAGAGCAGCTGCCTCTCCTGAAATCTTTCCCAACAGGTGAGTGCCTCAAAGGTGTCCCCCACTGCTGACTGGAACTGCTAGGTGAACATGTGGAAGAAAGTTGTCCTCCTAAAAGAGCCTGAAACACAATTTTGTTCCCCTAATGACTAAAAAAAGAAACAACTTTAAACTTCACAACACAGCTTATTTTCTCCTCGTCTGCGAGGCGGGATGGATGACGCTTTTCCGTTCCTTCCACAGAGGTCTGCCTGGCCTTTTCCTGAAGTGTGTTTTCCCCAGTGAGTCACTCGCCTTGGCAGGAACACACAAGCACTGTTCTCCCCCGCAGCGGGGACCCTGGCCGGGCCCAGCCAACGGGCCCTTCCCAACACTTGTGGGGGAAGCATCTGGACCCTGGGATTTGCTTTAAAACGCTCCGGGAAAAGCGGGGCTGGGGGTGACTGCGAAGCTGGCAACAGGCTGAGGACTGTGAGGGGCGCATGACACACGCTGTGTTCTTCTATTTTTGTGCACACTTAGAAATTTTCAAAATGGAGCAAGGCGTGGTGGCTCACGCCTGTAATCCCAGCACTTTGGAAGGCCAAGGTGGGCGGATCACTTGAGGCCAGGAATTTGAAACCAGCCTGGGCAACATGGTGAAACCCCATCACTACTAAAAATACAAAAATTAGCCAGGTGTGGTGGCACATGCCTGTAGTCCCAGCTACTCGGGAGGCTGAGACAGGAGAATCGCTTGAACCCGGGAGGCATTGGTTGCCATGAGCCGAGATCACGCCATTGCACTCCAGCCTGGGCAACAGAGCGAGACTCTGTCTCAAAAAAAAAAAAAAAAAAAGAAAGATATTGTTCAAAATGGAAAGTTAAATGTAAACCGACCCTGTACAAACCACCAATAACACAGGAAAAGATGCCCAATATCATTCGTCACCAGGGAAATGCACATCAAACCACAGTGAGATACCAGCTCCTCCTCACCGGGTCGGGGGCAGGGCTGCAATTCAAATGGCAGACAACAACCAGCGCTGGCGCGGACGTTAGGAGAAGCTAGAACCCTCGTACTGCTGGTGGGAGTGTAAAACGGCACGGCCGCTTTGCGAAAACAGCTTAGCAGTTCCTCAAAGGGTTAAACAAAGAGCTGCCTTATGACCCAGCAATTCCACTCCTAGGGACACACCCGAGAGAAACGAAAGCACATATCCACACAAAAACTTGCACACAAGTGTTCAGAGCAGCCAAAAGGTGGAAACAACCCACACGGTCATCACTGAACAGTGTGATGAAGATTTTATCACGACGACCTCATTGTGAGTGGATGGACAAAACTCGGTCTATTTATACAATGAAACCCTAGTCAGCAATAAAAATAAAGGGCTGAGAGATGCTACCACGTGGAGGAGTCTCAAAGCCATGACGTGAAGTGGAAGGAGCCAGATGGAAGGATAGCGCATGGAGCAACTCTGTTCCCACGAGAGGTCCAGAACCGGCAAACCCAGAGAAAAAGCGCATGGGTGTGGCTGTCAGGCCCTGGGGGCTGACTGCTAATGTGTGATGAAAATTTCCCTTCTAAAATTGGACGGCGGATGATTGCACAACTCTATAAATATCCTAAAACCCACTGATTCATACATTTTAATTGGGTAAACTTTGAGGTATGTAAATTGTATCTCAATAAAGCTATTTTTAAAAACCAAACCCAGTCCACCTCCTGGCATCATTGCAATATTTAGCACAAATCCATCAGCTCACCAACTAAAAACATGCTGTGTCAGATTCACAGAGGGGTCACAACAGTACCATCTATGAGCACCTGCTGCAGGCCCAGTGCTGGCTACTGCCTCACTCGGCCCTCACCGGGACAATGAGGTGGGCACACTCACTGTCCTGTCTCCACTAGGAGACTAAGGGGTCCCGGCTTCATCACAGGACAATGACACAGTGAGTGAACAGCCACTTCTCACGGTACCCGTGACCTCTCTGCGGCACACAGACCCCGCCTTCACCGCGGAGCACTTTCAGACGCATCTTCCCATGTGTCCCCGTGATGGACTCACAGGAATTTAGCATTCCAAGTCAAAGGTTCGCTACCTAACCTTGCTGACTTCTTCGAAGTGGTCGAGATGGCAGCCCATCAGGAAGGACGTGGGGGCCATGACGAAATCCAGCATCTGGTCCGACAGGATGGGCACGAAGGGGTGCTGCCACTGCAGCGGATACAGGTAGGCCATGAAGCACTCAGTGACCAGCGTCAGCAGAGCCCAGTCCGAGGAGAAGAAGACGATCCGCTGTTCCGTCAGGATGCATGTC